>NC_000019.10:41786328-42089358 GCF_000001405.40 Homo sapiens | reverse complement strand
TAACAACTTTTGGGTGGTTTGATTCCTCCTTTGATTTCTTTTTCGGTTCTCTTTTGTCTGACCTCTCTCCTCCCCTCCTTCCTCTCTCCTCCCCTCCTTCCTCTCTCCTCTCCTCCTTCCTGTCTCCTCTCTCTCCCTTTGCTCTCCTCTCTTCTCTCTCAATCTTGTTCTTTCTGTGTCTCTCCTCAAACCAAAGTGTTGCAGTGAAGGACACGAGCCATTGAAATCAGGGTGGGGCCTGACAGCCGTAGTGTGGCCCCTGCCCCTTGTTGGGCAGGAGCAGAGAGAGAGGAGAGCCCTGAGACCGCAGGGCTTTGGCCTGGGCAGCTTCCACTTTCTGCCGGACACTCTGAGGAGAGGCAGATGGAGCTCCAGGCCTCAGCGTTCTCTTTTTTCCTTGTCTCCCTTCTCCCACCCGGGAAATGAAACTGTTGGGCTGGGCGACGGAGGCAGCAGAGACTCGGCCATTGCAGGGGCCTCTGGGTGCCTTGTCCGGGCAGTGGTGAAGTAGCCGCCCCTCCCACCCCGGCACGATGGGGCCTGGCACCTCGTCTACCCAACCTCACCGGAATGTAAGCATCTCCGCTGAACGACTCCCTGCCCTTACCCTACCTCTGAGTTTGTCCATGTTTATTTCCTGAAGAGAGAAGGGACTGGCAAGAGGGCTTGGGCCCCAGCCCAAGGGTGGAGAGGGGGCCAAGGGCTCCTGACCAAATAGGAAGGACATTTGAGCAGAGCAAAATGAAAGGAATTACAACCAAAAACCCCCTCCGAGAAGACAGGCAGCATGGAAGGCATGGTGGAGATGACTCAAACAAAAACTATGATTCTAGACCAAAAAGGAAAAAAAAAAAAAAAAAAGGAAAGAAAATCCAGGACTCACCACCACCCACTTCATCCTGCTTCCTCCCCATCAAGTCCCACCACCTGGGACCTCTCCCCACCCCAGTATGTGGGAGTGGGGTAAAGAGGAGAGGAGGAGCAGGGGGCAGGGATGGGGCAGATGCCCTGATGTTGGTGGAGGGACCCCTGTGCAGCCGGGGGTGCTGGGGACCCTCCCCATCCAACCCTCACACCTAGGAAAAGAAAAACAAGAAAAAAAAATTCCTGGGAGGGGGAAAAATAACCAAATCCCAAGCTTTAACTACAGCTGTGAAACCAAATATTGGGAAGGGGGTAGGAGGGAGGGAGGGGCAGGTGAGCCCCAGGTCTCCCCCTGGGCCCCCCTCCCCTGAGGACTCGAGATAAGGCACCAAATACCTCATAGAACTTTAATGTTAAAAAAAGGAAACCAAATATCGTTGGCTGGGGGCCAGCCAGGGCAAGGGGCTGGGGGGCTGGAGGGAGCCAGGGTTGGGAAGGTGATGGGGGAATTCATGCCCCCCACCCCCATCTGCCCCTTACACTCTGGTCCCCCGTCTCGACTCCGGGAAACAAAACTATCTCATCGTTTTTATTTTGTGGTCTGTACAGAGCCTGTGTCCGTGTGTCTGTGTATGAGCGAGAGAGTTGGAGGGCTGGGGAGCTTTATGTGGGGGATGGGGAGGGCAACCCCAGGCTAGGCTATGGGCTAGGTTAGATGTCCGAGGTTGGGGGCCAAGGGCCTGGGCTAGAAAGAGAGGAGAGATGAGTGGGTTGGAGCAGTGGGGAGCCCTCTGAATTTCTCTTCTCCCCAACCCTGACCTCCTACTTAAGGGAGGGACAGAGACTGGGTCTACCCTAATGGTGGGCCTTTTCATTGTGCCAAAAAAAAAAAAAAAAAAATTGATGCCAGTAACTAAACCACCTCTCTCTGTTCTCTTCTGGGGGGTGGGGTGGGTGTGTGTGTGGGGGTGGGTAGGGATGGGGAACCCAAGCCCCAGTAGGAGTTGGGGCTGAGATCAGGAGGAGGGGAAGGATATGAGTTTTCCATCCATCTCCCTGGAGAAGGCCATGACGGGCTCTCCAAGCCCTGGGGAGATCTGGCGAGGGACTAGCCAAGTCAGGGTGACCTCTTGACCTGACTAGTTTTTCTAACCCACATGAACACCAGGGTGCCTCTCTCTTCCTCTAGCCCAGGGTAGGGGGACCTGAGTGAGAGAGAGAGTGAGACAGACAGCAAGATTGAGACACGCGGGCCCCCACTGGTCTCTGAGTGGGAAAGGCAAGTGCGAGAGATAAAGGCCTCCAAGAGAAAAAAGAAACAAACCAAAGATTTAACCATTTAAAAAAAAAAAAAAACCCACAGACAACTCCGCTACCTTTTTATATGTTGGAAAAAAAGTGAAAAAAAATTAAAAATAAAAATAAAAAAAAATACACAAAAACTCCAAGCCGCAAGTCCTTCATGCGGTTTAAACTTTGACCTCAGCAGTCTCCAAAGCAAGACGACGATGACAAAGGCGGAAACAAAGAAAAAATAATGTATATTTTTAAGTATTTGTCCTTGAATTGTTAGCTCCTTGTTAAACAAACAAAAGGAGAGAAAAATCCAGAGAGAAGTGTTGCTGGGATGGAGACAACTATTTACTATGTCTGTGACCCCTCCCTTCTGCCTCCCTCCCCTTCCTCTCTTTCCTGTCCTCTATCCTTGCTGCCCCTCCCCCAATATGTCCCCCAAACCCAGGGGCTCAGTATTTATTTATTTATATAATTGCAGGGTGACTGGGGGCCTCTCTCGGCAACTCGTAGAGAGCCTTTGGATAATGGCAGGGTGGGGAATGGGCGAGGAGTCTTTGGGAAGAGCAGGGGCCTGAACTTTCAACTCCTTTCTGGCCTCTTGTCCCACTGCTTCCACCATCACCTTCCAAATCCAGGGCTGCACTAGGGCAAGGTGACCACCCTACTTGGTAAAGACCTGATTGGCGCAGCCCATTCTGGTGTGGGTGTCTTTCACCACCCAGAATGACCAGGTTGGAATGGGGGTGGGTGAAGTTGGAGGGGGTGGCAAGTACAAGGCAAGGGTGCCCAGGAACCGGCATCCAGAAATCAGCCCTGGAGTAGACCTGCCTTTCCTCCATCCTTACCAAGTTAGCCTCCCTTTCAGTTCCGTCTGACCCCTGTGTTGGTAGCCCCTTCCTTCCCTTCCTGTACCCCCTCCGTCTCTTCTCGTGGTAGCGGGTTAGTGTTTCAGTGTTCTTAACTCCAATCTGCTTGTTCATTGTACAATGTGCTTCTTTTAAGGCCCCATTTTTGTAACTTGAGTGTGTCATTCATCTGAACAACAAACATCAAAAAATAAAAAATTAAAAACTGTACAGAGAGAAATGATGCCTACTCTCCCTTGGTCTCCTCTCTGTCCTGGGAAGAGTGGTGAAGAAATCAGGGTGTGGGGTTGGAGATCTGTATGCTGGGGAGGGGAGGGTTTTACTTCTGTTCCAATAGTGAATGTTCACAGTCTGGGCAACATAGAACTCTTCTCTAAAAAAGCCCCAAAAACTCAACTCGGCATGGTGGCATGTGCCTGTTGTCTAGTCCTAGCTACTTGGGAGACTGAGGTGGAAGGATTGCTTGAGCCCGGGATGTCAAGGCCGCAGTGAACCGTAATCGTGCCACTGCACTCCAGTCTGGGTAACAGAGAGAGACCTTGTCTAAAAAACAAAAAAAACAAAAACAAAAAAAATTAAATTTTAAAAAATAGTGAATGTTTGGAAGTAAAACCTGCACAAATGTTCTTGCCAAAGAACCAAGTCTTTGAATTTAGGATGAATTCATACTTCTGAATTCAAATCTCAGTTCTGCCATTTTATAAATATATGACCTTCAATATGTGAGCTTCTGTGTCCTCATCTGTAAATAAGGGACAATACCTACCTCACAAGGTTGTAGGATGATGGTCTAAGTAAAGTGCTTAGGACTGAGCTCCAGCACACTGTCTTCAATATATGAGAACTATGAGAAAGCCAGGAAACCAGCAAATACCTCTCCATTTCCATCCCTGGATGCTTCCCCAGAGGACTAAAGAGACTCTTTAAAACCAGAGTTTCAATTAACACATTAAAAAGTTTCAACCTCACAAATAGTCAAATAAATTAACAGAAGAGTTATATGTCATTTTTTCACATCACCAAAAAAATGCAAAAAAAAAAAAAAAAAACACCCAAAAACAAACAAAAATGCCGGGAGCGGTGGCTCATGCCTGTAATCCCAACACTTTGGGAGGCCGAGGCGGGCGGATCACCTGAGGTCAGGAGTTCAAGATCAACCTGGCCAACATGACGAAACCCCGTCTCTACTAAAAATACAAAAATTAGCCGGACGTGGTGGCGCACGCCTGTAACCCAGCTACTCGGGAGGCTGAGGCTGGAGAATAGCTTGAATCCGGGAGGTGGAAGCTGTAGTGAGCTGAGGTCGTGTCACTGCACTCCAGACCAGGCGACAGAGCGAGACTCCATCTCAAAAAAAAAAAAAAAAAAGTCCGGGTGCAGTGGCTCAGGCCTGTAATCCCAGCACTTTGGGAGGCCGAGGCGGGTGGATTACGAGGTCAGGAGATCAAGACCATCCTGGCTAACACGGTGAAACCCCGTCTCTACCAAAAATACAAAAAATTAGCTGGGCATGGTGGCAGGCGCCTGTGGTCCCAGCTACTCAGGAGGCTGAGGCAGGAGAATGGCATGAACCCAGAGTCAGAGCTTGCAGTGAGCTGAGAATGTGCCACTGCACTCCAGCCTGGGCGACAGAGCGAGACTCCGTCTCAAAAACAAACAAACAAAAAAAACAGGCTATGTGTGGTGGCTCATGCCTGTAACCCTAGAATTTAGGAGGCCAAGGCAGGAAGAACCCTTGAGCCCAGGAGCTCGACACCAGCCTGGGCAACACAGTGAGACCCCATCTCTACAAAAATTGAACAAAATTGGGCCAGGTATGGTGGCTCACGCCTGGAATCCCAGCACTTTGGGAGGCCAAGGCAGGTGGATCATTATAATGGTCAGGACTTCGAGACCAGCCTGGCCAGTATGGTGAAACCGTCTGTACTAAAAATACAAAAATTAGCTGGGCGTGGTGGTGTACGCCTGTAGTCCCAGCTACTTGGGAGGCTGCGGCAGAAGAATCACTTGAACCTGGGAGGTGGAGGTTGCAGTGAGCCAAGATTGTGCCACTGCACTCCAGCCTGGGTGACAGAGCAAGACTCCATCTCAGGAAAAAAAAAAGCTGTTGCGTTTCCTCAGCACTGTTCCATCCTCTAATGTATGCTTGGCACACAGGTGCTGGGATCCTGCAAAGTCGATAGTGAGGGTTGGGGGAACTGAGGCACAGGAAAAAGGAATAGAGTGAAAGACAGGTTTCATATTTAGTAAGACAAAAAGTGTCAGCATTGCAGTGTTTTGGCAAGACAAAGAAAGCAAAGCCCCTCAACTCTCAAAACAAATCAACAGGGATGGGACATAAAAATAGTACATGGAGGAAGATCATTTGGTTCAGGCCCATCTTCAAGGTGGCACAGTCAGAACCAAACAGAACCCAAGACGCCATCTCTACAAAATAAAGTAGCCAGACGTGGTGGTGCTCGCCTGTCGTTCCAGCTACTTGGGAGGCTGAGGCAGGAGGATCACAGGATCACTTGAGCCTAGGAGGTTGAGGCTGCAGTGAGCTGTGATTGTGCAACTGCATTCCAGCCTGGGTGACAGAGCGAGACTCTGAAAAATAGAAAAAAACAGGCCAGGTGTGGTGCCTCATGCCTCTCATCCCAGCACTTTGGGAGGCCAAAATGGGATGATCCCTAGAGGCCAGGAGTTTGAGACCAGCCTGGCCAACACAGCAAGACCCCATTTTTAATAAAAAGATAAAAATAAAACCTAACACAGGAACAGAAAACCAAACACCACATGTTCTCACTCTTAAGTGGAAGCCGAACAATGAGAACATGTGGACACAGGGAGGGGAGCATCACACACCAGGACCTGTCAGAGGGTGAGGGGCTAGGGAGGGATAGCATTAGGAGAAATACCTAATGCAGATGACAGGTTGATGGGTACAGCAAACTACCATGGCATGTGTATACCTATGTAACAAACCTGCATGTTCTGCACATGTGCCCTAGAACTTAATTAAAAAGAATACTCCAAATCCTAGGATTTGGAACTATATATATGTATATAAACATTAAAATGTATGTTTGTATGTCTATAGAGTAAAACAAACTATAAAAAAATCTTTATATACATATATATTATTTACTGTATCTATTGTGTAATTTATATACATATAACAGGTAGGATACACACATACACACACACGCACATAACCTGATTTTTTTTTTGTATAAACAGAACCCTAATACATTAACTTTTCAAATGTTATGTCATTTATTTTACAAGAACAATTATTAGAATTTGTTTTAGGCCAGACGCGGTGGCTCATGCCTGTAATCCCAGCACTTTGGGAGGCTGAGGCAGGTAGATCACCTGAGGTCAGGAGTTCAAGACCAGCCCGACCAACATGGTGAAACCCTGTCTCTACTAAAAATACAAAAAACTAGCCTGGCATGGTGGTGCGCAGCTCTAATCCCAGCTACCTGGGAGGGTGAGGCAGAATTGCTTGAACCCAGGAGGCGGAGGTTGCAGTGAGCCGAGATCGTGCCATTGCACTCCAGCCTGGGTGATACAGTGAGACCCTGTCTTAAAAAAGGAGTTCTTTCAGGCCGGGCACAGTGGCTCATGCCTATAATTCCAGCACTTTGGGAGGCTGAGGTGGGCAGATCACCTGAGGTCAGGAGTTTGAGACCAGCCTGGCCAACATGGTGAAACCCCGTCTCTACTGAAAATACAAAAACGTAGCCGGGTGTGGTGGCACGCGCCTATAATCCCAGCTACTCGGGAGGCTGAGGCAGGAGAAACGCTTGAACCTGGGAGGTGGAGGCTGCAGTGAGCCGAGATCACACCACTGCACTCCAGCCTGGGCGGCAAAGACTCCAACTCAAAAATAAAAAGGAAAAAGAGTTCAACAGAAAGATCTGGAATAATCTTTGGGGGGGGGGGTCTCAGAAGCAAGGCTAGCACAGCAGCCTAGCATCCCACCAGTCACATACTCCCATCTTGTCTCTACCACCCTCCCCAAAGTATGCAGAAGGCAACAGAGTAGAGAGAAAAGCATATCGGTGATTAAACCAAATGAAATGAAATCAGGCTTAAATTCAAGCTCTGCCCTGCCTGGATTGAATGTGACCTTGGGCAAGTCATCTCAATGCTTTTGACTGGAGATTCCTTCCCTGCAAAATGTTCTCACGTAATCAGTGTGAATATTATTCAGTTATATAGTACTTGAGACTGACTAGATGTTCAAACATTAGCCAGCCATCCCAACAATCCATCACTCACAATAAAAATCTGTTGGCTGAGCCAAAGTCCAACTCCAGGGGAATTCAAGTCACCACCTCTCATGAATCTTCCTACATCCAGACACATATTATTCAGAATCTCCTTTAATTCCACAGCTCTAGAGATCATGCCTACCTGCATTTGCTCTTGGGGATCAATGAGAAAATCAGATGGCCTTGGGAGACAAGGTCCACATCAGGCCAGGAGTCAGGGACAGGAGTGTAAAAATCTGATTTCTCTGAAAGTTCCTGCCACCAGTACAAACACTCTTGAGCTTTTCCACAGAGCCATGGGACCTCTAGTGGCAAGAGAGCCATGCTACCTCCATCTAGCAGTGAAGTGAAGGCCCTGCTATGAGAGCCATGCCCATGAACACCAGGTCATTCTCTTCAGCCCAGCAAATGTTTACTGAGCTCCTACTACCCCTAATACCTGCCAGGCCCACTTCTGGGTGTTGGTGATGCAGCCACGAGAGGTAAGACCCATGACTCCCAAATTCCACTCTACACACTGCTGGCAACTCAGTCTTTATTGATGGTTTCATTTTTGGGGTCACCAGTGCTAAGAGGTGGAAGGTGGGGGGGCACCTTTATGTGTGTCAAGGACCCCAGAGCACCCCCCTCACGAGAGAATAAATCCAATTTAGAACTTACAAGGTGGTGGGGATGGGAAGAGGAAGGGACACAGTATGTACAGATGCTTAAGGGGATGCTGGAGGGCCTTCAGCAACAGGGAATGGAGGTGCCAAAGAGGAAGTCGGGCAGAGTCAGCCACTGATCTGGACCCCCTCAGCCTCGGCCAGAGGGTAGATCTCAATGGCTTCCACCAGGGGTAGCGCCTCCACAGCAGTCTCCATGACGGCCAGGCCAACGGCAGCCTCCGCCTCTGCCAGCTGCTGCCGCACAGCTGCCTGATGCTGCTGCTGATGGGTCTTGCGGTGCTTCCAGAGGTTGGAGAAGGAGCGGTAGCTCTTGCCACAGTCAGGGCAGGAGTAGGGTCGTTCGCCTGTGTGGATGCGGCGATGTTCTGCCAGGCGCATGGAGATGGCAAAGGCCTTGCCACACACTTCACAGGCAAAGGGCCGCTCACCTGTGTGCAGGCGCCGGTGGTCTTTCAGGTGGGTACTCTGACGGAACGCTTTGCCACAGTCTGGACATGGGTATGGCCGCTCACCTGTGTGGATGCGCCGGTGCACCTGCAGTGACGTCTCTGTGCTGAACAGCTTCTTGCACTCGCTGCACTCTAGACCCCGGCGGCGGGCAGGGGCCGCAGGGGATGCTGTAGCAGTGCTTCCAAGGGCTGCTGGAGAGGCAACTGGTGCACGAGTGGCCCGTGGGGCTCGAGGGGCAGGGGGCTCCTTAGCCAGGACCTCTCCAGGCCCAGCAGCTGCATGGGCCGCCTCGTGTGCCTGCAGTCGAGCAGCTGAGCCCACTTTCTTGCCACAGGTGCCACACTCAAAGCGCCGTGGGGCCTGGGCAGCAGCGGCTGCACAGCGGTGCTCCCGGAGCCGCAGTGAGGAGGGGAAGGCAGCCCCACAGGATGGGCAGCGGTGGGGCTGGCGCCCGGCATGGACCACGAGCTGGTGCACCTCCAGCAGCCGACGCAGCAAGAAGGAGCGGGGGCACTCGCGACACTTGTAGGGGTATTCACCTGTGTGATGGTAGCGGTGCATGAGCAGGCGGTAAGGACGGTGAAAACGCACCCCACATTCCTGGCAGCGGTAGGGGAAGTGCTGGGCATGCACCAAGCGGTGCTGCCTCAGTGTGGAGCTTTGCGTGAAAGCCTTGCCACAGTCCCCACACCGGTAGGGCCGCTCTCCTGTGTGTGTGAGCCGGTGGCGGGCCAGGTTGGCAGGTGAGTTGAAGGGCTTGGAGCAGTCAGGGCAGGGGAAGGGCCGCTCCCCTGTGTGTGTGCGCAGGTGGTTACGCACGTGAGACTTCTTCTTGAACATCTTGCCACAAATGCTGCATTTATGGCGCCGCTCCAGCCGATGCACAAAACGTTGGTGCCGGGTCAGCTGCAAGGCCTTTCCAAATTCACGGCTGCACAGGAGGCAGCGGTAGGTGCCTGGGGCAGCGGGCCCTGCTGAGGTCTCCTCAGACACAGGGGGCTCAGGGGCCTCTGGCTCTCCAGTCTCTGCTGGGGCTGGCTCAGGGAAACCAATGACAGGTTCCTCTGGTGGGACTGGTGTTGTGGGCAGAGGGACACCCCCTACCCCATGAGTACGCCGGTGATAAAGGAACTTGGTAAGGTTGACAAAGGTCTTCCCACATGGACATGAATGCAGAGGATTCGGGGTGTGGGCTCGCCGGTGGGCCAGGAGGAGGGCCTCTGTGCCGAAGGCCAGGCCACAGTCTACACACAGGAAGTGTGACTCGCTGCTATGGTCTCCAAGGTGCTGGTCCAGACTGGAAGGGCTAGGGAAGACACGACTGCACAGGGGGCACTTAAAGACGCCCTCCCGGTGACTCCGCAGGTGCTGCTGTAGCTGGTGGGGTGAGAGAAAGAGCTGGTCACAGGCTGAGCAGAAGAGCTCCTGTGTGGCTGCCCCGCCTGCTTCTCCACTGTTGTTCCTCCGGGCCCTGCGCCCCCGGCGATCCCGCCCAATGGCTTCACCATTGCGCAGCTCGTAACTGTGGTCAGAAGCTGGCAAGGGGTCAGGCTGAGACACAGGCACCTCTGCAGGTGACGAGGCCTGCACCTCCTGCTGTAAGGCAGGCTCCTGAGACTCGGGTACAGGAGCAGGGAAGTGAGTGGCCTGGTGCTCCAGGAAATCCGCCGGCAGCTGGAAGAGCTGGGAGCACTCAGAGCACTTGTAGAGGAGCAGCTCCACCTCAGTCACTACCTCAGTGGTGGTGGCAGCGGCAGATGGGACAGTCGCCCCTTCCCCACCCTCTTCTGCCTTTCGGTATGAGTGCTCCACAGCCACTCGGGCCTGGCCCACAGGAGGCCCTAGAACAACTGGGGACCCCAGGACAACAGGGGCAGGAGCCTTGGTGGGTGTGGCCCGGAGGTGCGTCTGCCGGTGGTTCAGCCAGAGCTCCTGGCTGGCAAAGAGAGCCTTGCAATCCACACACTCGTAGTGGATGGTGCTGGAGCTCAGGGGTGGTGCCTTAGGTGATGGCTCAGCTGGCACTGCCTCCTGGGGTGCCATCATCTTCAGGTGCAGCTCCTGGTGCTCCAGGAGCTGGCTGGGTGACATCAGCAGTTGACCACACTCCAGGCACTGGTACTGGCTCTCCTGCACAAGGGTCTGATAGAGGCCCGTGCCTGAAGCTGTGTCTGTGGCCACAGTGACTCCGGGATCAGCCACGCCCACCAGCTCAAAGTGCTGCTGGGGCACGTGGGAGTTTTGGTGCATAAGCACCTCTTCCAGTGATCCATACAGCTGGTTGCACTCAGAGCAGACATAGCGGTGCTCAATGTACAGGACTGTCTCCTCTGATTCCTCAGTCATGGCGGCAGCAAGGCCCTGGGCTGGAAGAGGAGACAGTGGGGACAAACCAGTTAGGTCACCGATTCCTCAGCTCTTCCCTTCATCACTCTCCACTCCTAATACCTTAGATCTACACCCCCTTAAGTTCTTCCTTCGATTTTTAAAATTCTGCCTCCCTCCCAATAATCCTTCCTCCCCTCAGCATAACAAACACCAAACACAAATCTCCCAGGCAGTCCCTTCCCCAGGAATTTACCCACAGTCTCACCTCTGTATCAACTTGCATCAAACTCCACCCACCAGATCCTTGTAACCTGTCCAGTCCCCTCATCTCCCACACCTCACAGTGGGCCCCACAGTTCCGCCCAGCACATGGGAACCTCCACTCAGACCTCCTTCCACTGACTCCTTTTCTTACCAACTCACCTCACCCCATTCCTCTCCAAGGTACCCAACTGAAACCCCATATAGGCCTTCCCCACCTGTTTCTCCCAGCCACACCCCTCCCATGGCCTCTGCTCCTTCTCCCAGGTTCTCAGACTTCTTTTTACACTCAGACCACTCAAACTGCCCAATGCCCCACCACTCCACTTTCAGCACTGTACAAGGTGCCACCCCTCCCCTTTACACGCAACCCCTGCTACCCACCAACTCTTCCTCAGGTGCCCAGATTCCTCACGTCAAACTATATCCCTTCCCCCCAGTCAAATTTTCTCACACTGGCCTAACCCATCTCCACACCCAGACTTTGCCCACCTTAACCACTTCATGATACGCAGCCCTGTTTAATTACTTAACCTCCTCTACAAATCAAGGCCCTCTCCTACAACCCTAACCCCCTATCCAGAATACCCAGACCCATTTTCACAAAAGCCTACTCCTCCCCGCTTCGGACCTAGGCCCTTCCACCACCCTAGCTCCTGTCTCCAGGGTATCTATCCACTCTTTACATTCATCACCTCTTCTTTGTACCAAGACCAAATCGACAATTCTAATCCCCTCTGAGATACCCAGATCCCCTCTTCCCATTGATTTAAACCCTTCCTGTTCATACACAGCCACTCATTCAGGGATGCCCATACCCTCATTTTATATCAACCTATGCCTCTCTTGCAAACAGAGCCCCCCCTCAAATCCATCTCAGGAATATCCAGATCCTCCTCCACATTATTAACCTAATCTTTTTTAATTTGCTAGAAGACCCAACCCACCCTAACCCATTCTAGGGATGCTCAGACCCTCCTCTTCGTAGCAACATAACTCCTCTTCTTTGTGTAAAGATCCACACACCCATCTTTCACAATGGCTTAAGCTCCTTTTACACACACCCCTCGTGCTGCCCAAACCCCCTTTAGGGATACCCGGACCTCCTATTCTCATACAGAACCTCCATCACCACCTTAATCCAGCACAGACCCCTCTTCCTCACACTCAAGCCCCTCTCACCAGCCTCCTATTCTGGGGGTACTCAGACCCCCCAGCGTCTTAGCAACCTCTCAGTCTCATTCCAGGAATTCCCAGGCACCCCTCACTTTAGCACACAGATCTCTCCCACCCTACTTCCTCCCCTTCCAATAACCAAATCCCATCTTCACCTTGGCCTAATTACCTGTACTTAAAAAAGACTACCTTCCCCAGCTCATTCTAGGGACACCCAGACACCCTTTTAAAATACACTTAATCCTTCTTTGTACAAAGACTCCTTTCCACGCATTCCAAGGGTACCCAACCTCCTGACACATTGGTTTAAGGCCTCTTCACATTAATTTAACCCCATCCATTACAACTGGACCCCTCCTTAGCTCTAAACCGTTCCCTTGGGGATATCGATTTCCTAATGTCTTCACACCAAAACCCCTCTCACCGCCCCAATTCTTTCCAGGAAGAACTAGATATTTTTCCCCTGCATTAACTTAATTATCTTTCTCACGCCCTAAGCCCCTAACTGGGCACCCACGTGCCGTCTAACCGGCCCAGCCCCTTCGTCCTGGACTTGCCACACCACCAAGTCCTTTACCCCAAACCCTGGGGAGCCGCGGAGCCCTCTTGGGACAGCTCTGAGGCCTCCCCTTCCCGCCCAGGTGCCCCACCAAAGCCTCAGCCCGAGCCCCGCCCCTCCTCACTCAGCCCCGCACGCGACTCCAGGCCCCTTCCCCACCCGCCGCTCCAGCCCGGCCCCCGCCCGGCTGCCCGCGCGCCGGGTCGGCCGTTGGTGCCGCTCCGCCCTAACTGCCCGGCGCGCACCCCCTCAGGCCCTCAGTGCGCAGGCGACCTGGCAAGAGGAGGCCGCGGCGGCAGGGAGCGCAGCCCGGCCGGCCTCTGCGCGCCCGCTCGCGCTCACCTGCTTCCGCCGTCTCGCACGCCCCGGGCCCGGGCCACGGCTCCCCTTGCACGGCCACCCTAACGCTGCGCCCGCTCTAGCTCTCGCCGTCGCCTCTCGCCTGCTCCGTAGCCTCGCTCTCGCCCCCAGCTACCCTCAGCAACGCCCCTCCCACCTTCCTCCTCGGCCGCCGCACGGACGGCCGGACGCAACCAATCATTGCCCGCTCGGGCCCTGCCGTTCGGCCAATCGACGTTCATGTCTCTGAGGCTTGGGCCAATAGTGAGGAGCGTCGAGATTCCCCGCAGCGCCCAACCAATCCTTTAGCGTCGTTCCCTCACCGGTCAGCCCTCGGGTGGATAGTGCCCGCCCCTTTAATCCTCCTTAGAGGATGCTCCTCCTCCTCCTCGACTCCGCCTCCGACGGCTCCAGAGGGGAACTCTGAGCGGAGGGCGGCGCGATGACGTTAGGCGGCGGAGCGCGGCCGCGGGCGCCATTTTGGGGACGCCGTGAGGGAGTCAGCGTTGGGGACAGGGAGAGGGAGGAAAAGAGCCTGGGAAATTGAGGCACGCGGCACCTTGAGGGCTGGAGCGGGGGAATGGAGGCACGGGAACCTTTGTGGTTTCCCCGAGGGTCAGAGGGAGAAAGTGAAACCACTTAGCGCGATGGGGAGAGGGCAAACTGCATGCAGCACCAGTCACATGGAGAGAGAAAAGGGAAACCAAGGTTCCAGACTCACTTTATTAAAAGGAGGGGAATGAAGGCAACAGGAAGAAACAGAGAAAAGACCGAGGGGACTTTTGGGAGGTGGAGAGAGGAGAAATGTCATAGGGGAAGCAAGGAGAGCGAGGATATGGAGAAAAAGAAGCAGGGACAATTTCATTGGAAGAAATAGGGAGTGTGGTGGGTAGAGGACCTGAAGGACAATCGGGGTGAGAGCCTGAAGGAAGTGAGCCGGTAACGGGCGGACTCCACTCCACCTCCTTCCGGGGTGACTCTGACCCTTACACCTCGAGATTGGGGCCCCATGTGTCCAAGGGGCTCTGGCCATTCCTACTCACCTCGTTCCTGCGCCCCTCAGGGCCTTGGGAGGGAGTTGCCCCAGTACTGTTAGAAACGTTTCCAGGCTGGGCGTGGTGGCTCACGCCTGCAATCCCAACATTTTGGGACGCTGAGGCGGGTTCACTTGAAGTCAGGCATTCGAGACCCACCTGGCCAACCTGGTGAAACTACCATCTTTACTAAAAATACAAAACATTAGCTGGGCGTGGTGGCTCGTGCCTGTAACCCCAGCAACTCGGGAGGCTGAGGCTCGAGATTTGATTGCACCCAGGAGGCCGAGGTTGCAGTGAGCCGAGATCACGCCACTGCACTCCCGCCTGGGCGACAGAGCGAGACTCCATCTGAAAGAAGAAAAGAAACATTTCCAGACCTACTCCTTGAACCCAAACACAGAGGAATTTCAACTTATCGGATGAGGAAACTGACTCTCAGAATTGTGTTATTTATTTACTTACCTGAAGCCACTATGGGATGCGTCTCACAGTGAGACCCGGGGCCAATTCTATGGCCATTTGGTCACTAGATGTCCTAACCTTCTCATGGATTAAATTCCCTAACACCAGGCATGTATAGTTAAAACAGATTCCCGGATTGGAATCCTGGTTCTAGGGCAAGTCAACTGTCCTGAGCCTAAGTTTCTAATCTGTGAAATGGGGCTAATAACAGCCCCATTTCATGTGAGCCCCATTTCATCTCATGTGAGGCAGAGAGTAAAAGACATCTAGGAGTTACTCATTTTATTTTTATTTTATTTTATTTTATTTTATTTTATTTTATTTTATTTTATTTATGAGACAGAGTCTTTCTCTGCCGCCCAGGCTGGAGTGCAGTGGCGCGATCTCGGCTCACTGCAACCTCCGCCTCCCAGGTTCAAGCGATTCTCCTGCCTCAGCCTCCTGAGTACCTGTGACTACAGGCGCTCGCCACCACGCCTGGCTAATTTTTGTATATTTAGTAGAGACGGGGTTTCACCGTGTTGGCCAGGATGGTCTCAATCTCCTGACCTCGTGATCCACCTGCCTTGGCTTCCCAAAGTGCTGGGATTACAGGCGTGAGCCACTGCACCTGGCCTATTTTTAAAATTTAATTTAATTTTTTTTTTTTTTGAGATGGAGTCTCACTCTGTCGCCCACCGCCCAGGCTGGAGTACAGTGGCACGATCTCAGCTCACTGCAACCTCCGCCTCCTGGGTTCAAGTGATTCTCCTGCCTAAGCCTCCTGAGTAGCTGGGACTACAGGCAGACACCACCACTCTCGGCTAATTTTTGTATTTTTAGTAGAGACAGGTTTTTGCAATGTTGGCCAGGCTGGTCTCGAACTCTTGACCTCAGGTGATCCACCCCCCCACCCAGCCTCTCAAAGTGTTGGGATTACAGGCGTGAGCCACTGCGCCCAGTCCCTAATTTTTTTTTTTTTTTTTTTTTTTTTTTTGAGACAGTCTAGCTCTGTCACCCAGGCTGGAGTGCAGTGGTGTGATCTCAGCTAACTGCAACCTCTGCCTCCCAGGCTCAAGCAATTTTCAGCCTCCTGAGTAGCTGGGATTACAGGCATACACCGCCATGCCCTGCTAATTTTTCCTAGTTTTTGGTAGAGATGGGTTTTTGCCACATTGGCTGGGCTGGTCTCGAACTCCTGGCCTCAAGTTGATCCATCTACCTTGACCTCCCAAAGTGCTGGGATTACAGGCATGAGCCACCATGCCCGGGTTTTTTTTTTTTTTTTATAGAGATAGGGTCTCACTATGTTGCCCAGGCTGGTCTCAGAACTCCTGGGCTCAAGCTATCCTCCTGTCTTGGCCTCCCAAAATGGTGGGATTACATGTGTGAGCCACTGTGTCTGGCCAGTTGTTATTTTTATTAGTATCTCCGGGAGCCTAATAATAATAACTAACATCTCTTGAGTGTATTATGACGTGCTAGGTATTATGCTCAATGCTTACATGCATTACTCAGTTTAATCCTCTCAACAACCCTATGAGAGAGAAACTGTCATGCTGACTCTACAAAACATCGAGGCCCCAGAGAAGTAACTAGTCGTAGTTCCCATAGTTAGGAAGAGTCAGGATTCCAACCCAGGAGTTGACCTTACAGTCTACATTCTTGGCCCCCAGGCTCACCTGCCTGCCAGGCAGGAAGTTCAAGTGGTTGCATGTTGAAGGGTTGAATGCAAGAAGTGGAGGAAAGAGTTGGTGGAAATTAGTGAGCTAAAGCTAGGCTCGGCCTGCTCTGAAGCAGTCTGGGTTTGCCCTTAGGGCAAAATCACCTGGGGTAGGTGACAGAGAAGTGGAAGCCATGCTCAGTTTTTGACAGGCTGTGTGACCTTGGGCAGATTCTTGCTTCTGCTGAAACCTCCTTTTCCCCACTTGAAAATCTGAGGATCAGGCTGGGTGCGGTGGGTCACACCTGTAATCACAACACTTTGGGAGACCGAGACAGGCCGATCACCCGATGTCAGGAGTTCAAGACCAGCCTGACCAACATGGAGAAACTCCGTCTCTACTAAAAATACAAAATTAGTCAGGCATGGTGGTGCATGCCTGTAATCCCAGCTACGCGGGAGGCTGAGGCAGGAGAATCACTTGAACCCCGGAGGCGGAGGTTGCAGTGAGCCAAGATGGCGCCATTGCACTCCAACCTAGGCAACAAGAGCGAAACTCCATCTAAAGAAAAAAAAAAAAGAAAGAAAGAAAAAATAAAAGAAAAGAAAACCTGGCCGGGTGCAGTGGCTTGCGCCTGTAATCCCAGCACTTTGGGAGGCCGAGGCAGGCAGATCACGAAGTCAGGAGATCGAGACCATCCTGGCTAACATGGTGAAACCCCGTCTCTACTAAAAATACAAAAAAAGTTAGCCGGGTGTGGTGGTGGGCGCCTGTAGTACCAGCTACTCAGGAGGCTGAGGCAGGAGAATGGTGTGAACCCAGGAGGCAGAGCTTGCAGTGAGCCGAGATCATGCCACTGCACTCCAGTCTGGACAACAGAGCGAGACTCCATCTCAAAAAAAAAAAAAAAAGAAAAGGAAAAAAAAAGAAAATTTGAGGATCCAGGTAACTTCTCAGGCCTTTTGCTTGGACTTCTCAACTTGATTTGGGTGGTGCAGGTCTCTTTTCTCCAGATCATATAGGAATAAGCTGAGGATAAGCTGAGGTCTTTCTGGAGGTGGTAGTGCAGGACTGGCTGGGATTTCCGGGACAGGTTGAATTTAGAGGGGATGGTGGTTGGTTTTTGTTTTTTGTTTTTTTTTTGGAGATGGAGTCTCGCTTTGTCTCCCATGCTGGAGTGCAGTGGCATGATCATGGCTCACAGCAACCTCTGCCTCCTAGGTTCAAGCAATTCTTGTGCCTCAGCCTCCCAAGTAGCTGGGACTAAAGGAGTGTGCCACCGGGCCTGGCTAATTTTTGTATTTTTAGTAGTGACGGGGTTTTGCCATGTTGGCCAGGCTGGTCTTGAACTCCCAACCTCAGGTGGTCCACCTGCCCCGGCCTTCCAAAGTGCTGGGGTTACAGGAATGAGCCACCGCCCTGGTCGAAAGGATGGTGTTCTGTGTTGAGGTCCTTCATAAGCAAAGTCCCAGAGGCAGGTGTGAATCTGGGCTTTTAGGCCTGACTGGAGTTAAGTGTGGATGTTTGAGGGGGCGGTGTAGATGTTGACCAAGTGGGGTAAGGAGGTGTGTGCAAAGTTGGTGGTCCTTCAGCGTCAGATATATGTGTCAGATGTGTGTCCAGGATGCCCCACATGCCAGCTTGCAGAGGGCTTCCTGTGCTGGGCTGGCATGTGGTCCAGGAGTTGCCATGTGCCAGCTGTGTGTTCGAGGCATGCGGTCACATATGCTGTGGGCCGCACGTGAGTGTGTCAGTGTCTCCTCCCCATCACGAGCATCGGGGGTGGTGGTGAGTCACGGGCTCAGCCTTCGGCGCCAACTGTCATGTTTCTTCCCCCCAAATTTCACCCCCCACCCAGCCATGCACCACCCACCCCCACTCCAAGATCTGTGTCGCTTCTCTCTTCCATCCCCCTGTCCTGCTCAGCTCCTTCTGAGAGGCTGCAGGGTGTTCCCTGGGAAGGAGTCTCCCACTTCTGGCTCTGCCCTCCAGCTTCCTCTCCTTGTCCCATCCACCTTTCCCACTGCCTCTCTGCTCCTGTGACTAGAGAATGAGGGCCCCTTCTCTCCACCCACTCATCTCTGTGGGTCCCAAGGATTTCTCTGTGCACTATAGGGAATTCTCATACTCACCACCCATCCCCTCACCTCTATAGGAGCTATTTATATTGGGGGAGGCTTGCCCCGCATCTCCAGGCTGGCAGCTCCTGCCTCAGTGGCTCTCTTGTGTCTATGAGCCACATCCTTGTCTTTTTGGTACCCTGGTGTCTGTAGGCCTCCCTTGTTTCTGTGACCTTCTTCGGCTCTCCTTGGCTCTCTCCCTGCCCTGTGGACCGCTCCCCATATCTGAGGAGTGCTTTCTGTTTCCAGGGGCCTCTCTCTTGTGTCTCTGGCTTCTCCCGTTTTCCTTCGCGGGAGGTCTCTATGTCCACATTACTGCCCCTTGTCTCCGAGGTCCTTTTGCTTGTCTCTGTAGGCTGCTCCCTTGTCTCCATGGGCCTTTCTTTCTTATCCCTGGGCTTTTCCTGTCCTTGTCCTTGTGGGGTTTGTGGGCCTCAGCCCACTTCTCTGGACAGTCTTGACGGCTGTCTCTCTTCTCTTCATTTCTCTTCATCTCTGTAGCCCTCTCCCCTCATCTCAGTGGCCTTCTCCCTGGGTCTTCTTGCCTCTCATCTCTGTGGGCTCCTGTGCCCAGGGCTGCCTGGGCAGGGCGGTGGCATGGTGTGGTAGAGGGGGTGGCTCGGGGGTGGGCCTTCCATCCAATGCAGCTCCTTCTTCTCATCAGCATTCTCCTCGCGGGGGGCCCCCAGCCCCAACCAATACAGGCTCCCCCTCCCCCGACTCACCTCCCTACTCTCTCTTTGCCTGCCTCCCTCCCTTCCTCCTGCCCGCCCTCCTCCCTGCCTCCCTCCCTCCCTCTTCTCTCTCTCCTGAACCACCCCACTGCGCTCCAGGACCCAGCGCAGGCGGCAGGCGGGCAGGCAGGCGGCGGCCTCGGAGGGGAGACTGAGCGGTGGCGGCAGCCAGCGGCAGGGAGGCAGGCCCAGCCGGGGACTGGAGCCGGGGACTGGAGCCGGCTCCTCACAGGGGACCAGGAGTGTGTCGCCAGGCCCTCCCACTGAGGCCCAGCACCGGGAGCCCCTGGGACACCCCACCCTCCTCCGCCTTTCTCTTCCACCTGCTCCTCTCCATCCTCCTCTCCCTCCTCCCTATCTCTCCACCTCATTTGCCCCCTTCTTGGCCTCTCCGGGTCTCCCAGCTCTCCATCCTCCCCAGCTCTCCACTCCCGGGCTCTCCCCGCCCCCAGCATGCTTTTCCCGTGGGGGCTGAGGGCTTGAGGACTCCGGGCCCTTGCCTCAACCAGGGCAGGGCCCAGGCTCCAGGGGGGAGGGGGAAAGGGGGCGGCCCCCTCCCCCAGCAGGCCCTCCCCTCCCCCACTTCTCCTGATGGCCGGCTTCCTTTTCTCCACCCAGTCCTCGCCCCCTGTGGCCCCCCCAGGCCGGCCCGGCTAGGGGAGGGGGCGGGGGCCCTTTCCTGGGCCAGCTTCCCCCTCCCCCGGCTTTGCCTGTGCCCCCCCCTTCCGTTTTCACCTTCCTCTCCTCCTTTCCTCCCTCCTTCCCCTCCATTTGCTCCTTCCCCCTCTCCTCTCTCCCCTTCTCTCCTCCATTTTCTCCTTTCCCCTTCCTCCCCTCCCCGGCCCGCCCTCTCCTCTTCCACCTGTCCTTCCTCCCTGCTCCTGTGGAGCCACCGTTTTGGATTAGTTGGGAGCCACCACCGGCGGCGGGGGAGGGGGCCCTGTGGACTGCCCTCTCCCCCCGCCCAGCCCCACCACCACCCAGCGCCAGAGCACCTCCCGCTGTCGGTCTTCGGGCCTCGAGGGAGCCCAGCCCTCCGTCCCACCAGGATCCGTGAGTGTCTGCAGGGCAGGGATTGGGCTGGGTTCTGGGTCCTGGAAGGCTGGGCTCTGGTGCCGCCTGGCAGGGGGGCACCACATTCTCCCCGTTCTCCGGACTGGCAAGTACCCTCCCCCACTAGGGGCCTGCTCTGCGCCCTCCATCTCCTCAGCGTCCATTCACCTCGACCTCTTCTCACCTCTTCTTCTGGGTACATAGCTCACTGCCGCCCCTGGCCCTCTAGCTTTCTGGGGTCCTACGGGGCTGATTGCTCTTACTTGGGCTCTCACTTACCCCGGGCCCCTGGCATGTCCGTGCCCCTGCTGTCTCCAAGCCTCCGTCCTGGTCCCAGACTGGCTCTTTCTGTTCCTCTGAGCCTCATCCTCTGCCTGCGGTGGGCCTTGGCCCTGTCCCCACCCCGTCCAGTCTCTATCTCCTGGATATGTCTTTCCGCTTTTGAGCCCCCATTTCCTGTGTCTCTTGGGCCCCTCTCTGACTCTGCCCAACTTCTCTCTTTGCTGTTAGCCCAGGTTGCTCTCGGCATGTCTCTGTTTAGATCCCTCTCTCTGTCAGAACTCCTCCACCCTGGCTTCCCTCTTTCCAAGTCTCCCTCGGCAGGTCTCTTTCCATTTCTCTTTCTATTCTGTGCCTCCGCTCACCTGTCCTCCTCCCTCTCTCTGCCTCTGAGCTTGGAGGCTGTCTTCCCTCTGTCACTTTTCCACCTCTTTCCCCCAGATCCACTCTGGGTGCCCGGCTCCTCAGTCCCTCCCTCCTCAGCTGCTGCCCCACCTCTCCGTGGTCCATGCTGACTTTTCCTGGCTGGTCTGGCTCTTTCCACTCCCATTCTCTCTCCCGACTTCTGTGTTACCTCGCGTGGCCTTTCTGCTCCCATTCCTCTCCATGTCTGGGGGCTTTCAGGCCCCAGGATCTCCTGCTCCCCCACACGGCATTCCTGAGTGTCTTGGGGTGGCTATGCCTCTGTGTGGGTCTGGCCTCTCCTGCAGGTGCTTGCCCTGTCCCTGCCTGTGCCCCTCTAGTGCACTCACTCCATCTCCCCACCTCAGTTTCCCTCCCTGACTCCCCCTTTCTCTCTCCCAGGTGCTTTTCCCCCTTGCCCCTTCCTCTTCTATGGGCCTGTCGTGCAGCTCCGACATACTGTCTCTCTTTCCGACTGGCCCTCTCTCTTTGTAGAGTTTGGCCATTTCTTTCCTTCTCCCAAGTCTTGTACCTGCTGCTGTTTCTTTATCTCCCTTTGCCTTCTCCCTCACCCTGTGTGCCTTCGCTGGCCCTCCTTGCCTCTCACCTTTGCTGATGTCTCTCCTATGCCCACTGTTGCTCAGCTCTCTGCTGGGTTTTGACTTTTATCTGGCTTTGCCCAGTCTCTGGGGCTGAGTCCTGGACCTGCCTGACACCCTACCTGCCCTGTCTCTGTCTCCTTTGCTGTCTCACTTCTAGGCTGTGTCTGTCTCTTGCTCTCTCACTTAGCCTCAGTTCCTACGTCTTGGGCTGTCTTTCTGTGTGTATCTCTGTGTCCACCTGCTGCCCCTCAACCCTGTCTTTCTCTGTCTGCTCCCACCTTTGGCTGCCACCTGTGGGTCCCTGTCCTTCTGTCCCATCTCTCCCTCGGTCTTTCTGTCCTTTGTCCTCTGCTCCCTGATTTGCCCCAGGAGTCCCTGGTGTCTCAGGATGACCCACTCCACTCCTGCCTCTCTCCTAGCTCCGCCCTTCACACTCCTCCCACTCTGAGCGCTCCTCCGGGTCTCCCAGCATCCCTTGTGCCTCCATCCTTGACAAGCCTTCACCTTAATCCACATTATAGTTTGCAGTCCCCAGCCTGTCCAGCATACCCTCCCACCTAGCACTCTCTTCTTCTCAGAGGCCTAGAAGGCAGTGACTTGCTCAAGATCACGCAGTGAGTCAGGGGCAGAGCTGGGACTGATCCCCAGCCTAGGTTTTGCAGGCCACTTGAGATGGTGAGAAGGACTTGTGCCTCTATCCTTCCCTCGAAGTTCTCATTCCACAGTTTCACCAGCTCAAGCTGTCCTTCCATGGGGACTGAGTGGGGTCCGGTGTCCAGGCCCACTTCACAGCATTCTGTGCCCCCCACAGTAACCCTACTCCATGGAAACCCAAGCATCCCTTCCCGTGGGGCACAGCCCTCAGCCAGGGGAAGTGGAGCTGTGCATCTGGCCAAACTCCTTGCCCAGTGGTTGCCCTGCAGAAAGCTGGGGTGCCTAGAGGAATCCCTGACTCCTTAGGGGTGGAGAGTTGTGAAGAGCAAAGATGCACCATCTCCCCCTTTACTTCTTCTCCCCAGTAGGGTGGGGGGCAGTGGTATGGCACCCACTTCTGGCAGGCAGCTCCACTCCCTGCCTTACTCACTCCTCCCTTCCAGCTCTTCCTGCTTGTATCCGAGTCGGTTCCTATCTTTTCTCCATCCTCTGTCTCCCTCTTCCTGTGTCTCGCCTGTGCCTTGGTTTCCCCACCTCCAGCCTGCCCCTCTTTCCTCCGCTCCCTGCTCTGTCCTTTCTTTATCTTGCCTCCTCATCCTCCTGTCTCTTCCCTCTTTCTCCCTCCTAGTCCTCTCCCTGCCTCCCTGTAACTCTCCTCTTTTCTCTCCATTTCTACCCCCATTTTCCTATTGTCTTGTCTTTCTCTTCCCTTGTATTTCTATCTATTTTGACCTTTCTCTCTTTCTGAGTCTCTCTGTCTTTCCCTTCTCTAAGCCTCTCTTTCACTTTCTCTGTTTCCTCCCTTCTCTCTCTT
The DNA here is from genome assembly GCF_000001405.40 of Homo sapiens. NCBI lineage: Eukaryota > Metazoa > Chordata > Mammalia > Primates > Hominidae > Homo > Homo sapiens. Next base: position 42,066,489 of record NC_000019.10, on the reverse strand, counting down.
TGCTTTTTTTTTTTTTCCCCCTTTTACTGCTCTGGGTCCATTCATCTATGGGGTTCTGTGTGTGCCTCTCTCTCTTTTTCTCCATCTCTCCATCTCTCCCGAAGTTTCCTAACTCCCAGATACTCTCTCCTCCAGACCTCGGATGTCCAGGCCTCTCTCCCCATGGGATTGTGGGAACTGGGGATGTTAGGAAAGTGGCAAGTGAGGCCTGGGATGGGGTTGCCTAGCAACCACCGCATCCTCTCCAGCCGGTTTCTGTTGCCTAGTAACGGCTGCCTGCCCAGAGACAGGGGCGGGACTGGGTGGGGGGTGGCACTTCCTGGTTTCCTATTTGGGTGGGGCTGGTCCCAGGAATTCACTCCTACCTGAGAACCTCGCACGCCTCCCTCCTGTTTTGGTAGCTGTGCCCATCCTCTCTCTTGCAGCCTGTCCTACTCAGCGCCTGAGCACTGTGACCTCCACCCTGGTAGTGCCCCTCTGAGCTGAGCTTCCCTTCTTGCAATGCCCTCAGTATTGCCAGCTTCTAAACAGAGCAGGGCTCTGCAGAGCTGTGAACTGCTTGCCAACAATGTCCCCAAGGCTTCTGTGACCACCCCATCCAGCAGGCCTCCAAGGGGTTCCATCCCACCACATAGTAATCTCCCCTTGGTCTGGGGGGTCTCCCTGCAGGTGGCGAGTGGGGGCCGCGGCAGCTGCGTCCCCATGAGGAGGGGAGGAAGATGCCGGCTGAGCTGCTGCTGCTGCTGATTGTTGCCTTCGCCAGCCCCAGCTGCCAGGTGCTCTCATCACTGCGCATGGGTGAGGCCCTCCCGCACCCTGCCCCTGCATCCTCAGGCCCTGGGGCTCCTCTGGGGACCCAGGCATGCCAGTCCGTCAGGGTCCAGGTCTCAGCTCTCTTCAGCAGCAAGGAATCCCAGCCTCCAGTTCCTCCTTCCCCCAGGACCCAGGAGTCCAGACCCCTAGCTCCCACCAACCTCAGATCCAGGTGTCTAGACCCCTGGTCCGTATACCCACCTCACCCTAGAGCCCTGGAGTCTAAGACCACAGCCCCCTCCTTCCTCAGGACTCAGGAGTCTGGTCCCCAACCCATGTGTCCCCTCAGCTGCAATCCTGGATGATCAGACAGTGTGTGGCCGCGGTGAGCGTCTGGCCTTGGCCTTGGCCCGGGAGCAGATCAACGGGATCATCGAGGTCCCAGCCAAGGCCCGAGTGGAAGTAGACATCTTTGAGCTGCAGCGGGACAGCCAGTACGAGACCACGGACACCAGTGAGCGGGGCCATGGGGGCGTGGGGTGAGGCAGGGCAGGTCGGTGGCCCTCAGTCCATCCCTCTGCCCCTGGCCTCTGGCCTGGCCTTGTCCTCTTCTAGCTCCATCCTCCCCCTTCTTTGTGTTTGTCTCTGCCTTCTTCCCAGACATGGCTGCTGCTGGGCCTGGGGGTTGGAGAGGAGGGAGAGCATAAGCCCCAGTTCTGCTCTGGAGGAGCACGGGGCGGCGTTGAAAAGATAAGCCCTATCATCCCAGCTGGCTGGGGATGCTTGTTAGCCCCCAGAGCTTAATAACAAGCCCCAGGCATGGAGGGCAGGAGGCTTGGGCGAGGGTCAGCAAAGGCATTCTGGAGAAGGCTAGTCTGAAACTGAGCTCTGAAAGGTGAACAGGATGTAGAAAGAGTGGCGTGGCTCCAAGCACGGCCGGCCACATCACAGGGGTGTGGAAGTGTCTATGGAATACTGATGGGCTGAATGTTCGAAGGTGTCACTTGAACAGATGTGCTGGAGTTAGACCTTTGGGAGATGCTGCCTTAAAACATGTTTTAGACAGGTTTCTTTCCTGCAGGCCTTATCAGAGGCTTTATGGTGTTCGTGTATGTTTCAGATCAGTAAGAGGAAGAATGGGGTATGGCATTTCACAGGCTTTTTTGGCTGATGTGGCACAGAGTACAACTTGGGAGAAGCTGGGATGGAGGGTGAGGAGGCAGATGGCATTCCAGTCATGTGCCTAGAGTCTGGAGATGAGGTGGGGATCGGGGTGGGAGCAGAGGGAAGTATTTGGAGCCAAGAAATGGGGGGGTATGGGGTTGAGCCCATCCTGAATCCACCTGGATTCAGGACATATTTGGAGAGATTGTGAGATACTTCAGAGCTAAGTGTGACAGGGTAGTAGGAAGCGAGGCTGTGCAGATTGTCACGCTGGCTCAAGGAGGCTACAGTGCCAGGGTGAAAGATGCCACCTTCACCCACAGGCACTGGGAAGCCATTGATAGGTCTATACCAGGGAGTGAGGCTTCTGGAAAGAGAATCTGGAGACTGGATTTGGGTGATGAGTGTGTACTCTGATATATGTCTGAGTTGAGAGTCCTAAACTAGGTCAGGGGCCAAGGGGTTGAAGAGAAGGGGATACATGTGAGAAATTTGAGGACAAAGAAGAGACAGGACATGGTGACTAACTGGCTGTCAGGAGAGAGATTGAAGGCAAGGACCATTTCCAGGCATCTGGTCTGTGTGAATGGTGGGGCCCTTACCAGTGTGGAAGGTCCAGAAGGAGCCAGTTTGGAGGAAATGAGGTGTTGAGTTATGATGCCTTTAGTTAGAGGTGGCAGAAACCAAACTCAGCCTGGTTTAAGGAAAAAAGAGAACTTATTAGCTCATGTCACTAAAAGACCTAAGGACAAATTTCAGGCATGGCTGAATCCAGGTGTTCAAACGATGGCCTAGGATTGTTTCAGGCATGGCTGGATTCAGGCATTCAGATGACATCCTGGGAATCTCTGTGTCTTTACCTCTGAGGCCTGCTTTCCTCTGAGTTGGCTTCATTTTCAGAAATGCTCTCTCAACTGGTGGTGAGATGGCCCCAGCAGCACCAAGCTTACATCTCACCAGTTTAGCAAACCCAGTGATAATTGTAGCAAAAGACCTGGGGAAGGTGCTCCATGGTCTGATTTGCACCCATATGTATTTCTGAACCAGTTGCCATGGCTAGAAGAATGGAGTTCTGTGACTCCCCAAGGCCTGCATCAGGTGCCAGTCAATCCTGGGAACCCTGGACTGAAGGGTGAGGATAGTTCCCCCAGGAGAAGTTAGGGTTCTGCCATGAGAACAGGCACTGGACAAGCAAAAACAACAGCTTTCCACCTCCCAGTCTTGAGACACACATGTGTATAAGGAGGAAGAGAGCAGAAGAAAGAGGAGGAAGTAAGTGCAGTGGGAGAGTGGTGTTTGGAGTATGGGAAGGCTCCAGGGGACCTGGGCTGTGGGGTCAGGGGAGGAGGTGGTGAGTGCACCGTGGGTTGTGGCATGGCTGAAAAGGTTGAGAACAACAGTGGCTGAGGGACTAGGCACAGGCTTTGTAGGCAGAGGAGGCCCCTGGTGTCTCTTTCTCTTCATCCCTTCCTTTGATCTCCCTTGGCCTGACCTGTCCCTCTGTTGCTGTGTCCTCATCTCTCTCCATCTCATGCCCCCTCATGTTCACTTGTTGGGTGGGGTCAGAGACTGGCCTTCTGGGTCCCGGATGGCAGAAGAGGATCAGGCAGTTGCCAGTGTCTGATCCTCTCCTGGGCCATGGCGGCTCCCTGAGGGATGGGGAAGGAGAGGAGGCAGGGGGTCCCTGACTCTGCGGTCTCTTCCCCTTCCCACGCAGTGTGTCAGATCTTACCCAAAGGGGTTGTGTCTGTCCTTGGGCCCTCCTCTAGCCCAGCATCTGCCTCCACCGTGAGCCATATCTGTGGAGAGAAGGAGGTGAGATGGGGAGTGTGGGCCGGCGCTTTGTGGGGAGCGGGTCCCTGGGAGGCGAGGGCTGGGCGGAGAAGCAGGATGGAGGCCAAAGTTTCCTCTCTGTCCAGATCCCCCACATCAAGGTGGGTCCCGAGGAGACACCCCGCCTTCAGTACCTTCGCTTCGCGTCTGTCAGCCTGTACCCCAGTAACGAGGACGTCAGCTTGGCGGTCTCCCGAATCCTCAAGTCCTTCAACTACCCCTCGGCCAGCCTCATCTGCGCCAAGGCTGAGTGTGAGGGAGAACTGAATGTTTTGTTTTCTGTTCCCCCAGACACCCCTTCCCAAGAGATCTGGTGTCCCACACAGTGGTTCACTGCCCCCTAGTTAGAACCCTGGGGCACCCAGGCACCAGGCTCTTCTCCCATCTTCAGAAACCGAGGCCTCTGGTTCTACAGACCCCTTCTCTCCCCAAAGAGATCCATTTAGTCCCCAGATGGTGACTAAGCACCTGCCATGTCAAGGCCCTCTGCTAGGCCCTGGGCGTGGTCCCTGGGTGCTTGGAACTCCGGTTCTAGTGGAGGTCATTGGTCATTGAGCTGTTGTGATACAGAGTGGTATGTGTGCTGCCAGGAGGCACGTGGAGCCTCTGGTATCACATAGGAGGGATCCTAATCCATCTGGGAGGTTCAGAGCCTGTGTCTATGAGAAAGAGACATCCAAGCTGAACCTGAAGGGTGTGGGAAGAAAGAGGGAACAGGTTCTAAGTAGAAAGTGTGACGGGCAGAGGTAGAGGGCCCAGGGAGCACAGCCCTTCAAGAGGCTTGCAGATACTCCCAGTGGCTGAAATGTGAGAACAACGAAGCAAGAGATGATGGGAGCCATGGGAAGTCCCCACGCCGGGCAGGGCGAGGGGACAGGGTCAGATTCGTGTTCTAGGAAGAGCCCTTTGGCTGCAGTGTAGAGAACAGGCTGGAGAGTGACAAGAGGGGTGGCAAGGAGACAAGTGAAAGGCAGGGGAGAGGCGACACTGGTCTGGGCCCAGGTGGTGGCAGTTGGAATGAGGGGGCCAGGGTGATGTGAGAGGCGTGAGGGAAAGAAGAGGGTGGGGCTAGGGATGGTGCAAGGCCTTTGCCAAGGAGGAACACGATTCATCGGGGCACACGTCGGGCATGGTGTGTCTTTGAGACATTCATGTGAGATGTCTGGTAGGCTGGTGGATTTGTGGGTATGGAGCTTGAGGCAAGGAGGAACTGTGCTCCATAGCCTCTAGAAGGAATTCCTCCTTCAAGAAGTATTTATTGGGCCAGGTGTGGTGGCTCATGCCTGTAATCCCAGCACTTTGGGAGGCCAAGGTGGGAGGATGGCTTGAGGCCAGGAGTTCAAGACCAGCCTGGGCAACATGGCGAGATCCCATCTCTTAAAAAAAAGGTATTTATGGCCGGGCGCGATGGCTCACGCCTGTAATCCCAGCACTTTGGGAGGCCGAGGCGGGCGAATCATGAGGTCAGGAGATCGAGACCATCCTGTGAATGGTGAAACCCCGTCTCTACTAAAAATACAAAAAGTTAGCCGGGTGTGGTGGCGGGCACCTGTAGTGCCAGCTACTCAGGAGGCTGAGGCAGGAGAATGGCGTGAACCCGGGAGGTGGAGCTTGCAGTGAGCTGAGATCACGCCACTGCACTCCAGCCTGGGCGACAGAGCGAGACTCCGTCTCAAAAAAATAAATAAATAAATAAATAAAGGTATTTATTAAGCACCTGCTCTGTGCCAGGCTCTGATCTTGGTATTGGGGTCAGCCGTGGGTGAAGTAGTCCAAGTACATTCTGAGGAGAGGACTTGGGCAAAAAACACCACAAATAAGTGCATTACATGGTTAGAAGTAGTGAGTTCTATGGAAAAGTAGAAATGACTTATGAAGAATGGTATGGGCGTGGGGTGCAACTTTAAATGAAATGGTGGGCGAGGGCCTCATTGAGAAGGTGATGTTGGAATAGAGACCTGGAGGAGGGGAAGGAGGGAGCTGTGTAAGGATGTGAGAGGAGAGGGTTCTAGGCCAAGGGAACAGCCAGCGTGAAGGCCGCAGGACAATAGCAAGACTATGGTGTGTGCAGAACAGCAAGGAGGTGGTGTGGCTCAAGCCCAGAGAGTGAGTGATGGGGAGAGGAGGAGCTGTGGGCTGGATGGTTAAAAAAAAAAAAAAGGTATTTATTGAGCAGCTGCTATGTGCCAGGCCTGGCTCTTGATATTAGGCTATTAGGGATCAGTCTCTACTCTAGTGTCTCAATGAGGCCCCCGCCCACCATTTCATTTAAAGTTGCACCCCACACCCACACTAGACTCCCAGTCTTCATAACTCATTTCTGCTTTAACATAGAACTCATTATTTCTAACCATGTAATGCATTTATTTGCGGTGTTTGTTGCCCAACTCATCTCCTCATCCTGTACCTGGTCTGCTTCACTCACAGCTGACCCCCAATACCAAGAGCAGAGCCTGGCACAGAGCACATGCTCAACAAGTACCTTTTTTTTTTTTTTAAAGAGATGGCTTCTCACTATATTGGCCAGGCTGGTCTTGAATTCCCGCAGTCTGGGCAGTAACAAGGGGTTGAGTTGGGCAGATTGTGTGGCTTTGGAGGCTGTGAGGACTTTGGCCTCTAGGACTCTGACTGAGCTGGGAAGGCATTTGAGGGTTTGGGGCAGAGGAGGAGCACATCTGACCCGTATCATTCTGGCTGCTGTGTAGGGAACAGACTCAGGGGCAGGCTTGGGGATTGCAGCAGGCAGGAGTTGGTGGTGGCTCAGGACAGGGTGGTGACAGTGGCACGGCGTGAGGGGATCTGATGTGTTTGGAAGGGAGGGCCTTGATGGATTGGGTGTGAAAGAGAGGAAGCCAGAGTTTTGGCCTGAGCGACTGGCACACTAGAGATGCTGTTCACCAACATGGGGAAGCCGTGGTGGTTGAGCAAGGAGATTAAGCATGAGATACCTGTCAAGACACCCAATGAGGGGTCAGGAAGGTGGCAGAGACAGGAATCTGGAGTTCTAGGAAGAGGTCTAGGTTGGGATTTTAATTGGGGAGGGCCCAGGCTTTGGGTCCCCAAGCCCATTACCCCATGGGACCCAGCTGCCCCATGTCCTTGCACACCCTCCAGTCCTCTGCCCAGCTGCCCCATGTTGAGGAGGAGAGAGTGTCTACGCCATGCCTGGGTACCCAGAAGGGCTCCAACCCAAGGCCCCACCCCTCCCTCAGGCCTGCTGCGATTGGAGGAACTGGTGCGTGGCTTCCTCATCTCCAAGGAGACGCTGTCAGTGAGGATGTTGGACGACAGCCGGGACCCCACACCACTGCTCAAGGAGATCCGTGATGACAAGGTGTCCACCATCATCATCGACGCCAACGCCTCCATCTCCCACCTCATCCTCCGTAAGGTGAGGCCCCTACCTCTGATTTCCCAAAGGACTGGGGCCAGAAACTTGGGGTGACCGAGCAAGTCACCCAATGCCCATGGGCCTCAGGAGTCAAAAGGGGGCTTCAAGACCTTCTTCTTCCGTGAAGATGATAATTGTAAAGTTTGTCTCTCAGCCTGCCTGCTTCCTGGTTGTGTGGTCCTGAGCAGTCACCGCATCTCCCTGTGAATAGTCCCTGCTCGGTGGGTTGTGAGGGTTAATGAGTGAGGCTAAGGGAACAGCCAGCGTTCAGGCTGCAGGACAGGAGCAAGACTGTGGTGTGTACAGAACAGCAAGGAGGCAGTGTGGCTCAAGCCCAGAGAGCGAGTGATGGGGAGAGAAGGGGCTGTGGGCAGGGGCAGGTAAAGTATGCAGGGCAGTGCCTGGCCCCGAGTCAGATCTGGCTACATCGTAGCTCTGAAGGATTTTTAAACATTTTTTATTGAGCTCTGTGTTAAGGTGTTTTTGCATGTATTTTTTTTCTTTTTTCTTTTTTTTTTTTTTTGAGACGGAGTCTTGCTCTGTCGCCCAGGCTGGAGAGCAGTGGTACAATCTCAGCTCACTGCAACCTCAGTCTCCTAGGTTCAAGTGATTCTCCTGTGTCAGCCTCCCAAGTAGCTGGGACTATAGGTACCTGCCACCACACTCGGCTAATTTTTGTATTTTTAGTAGAGACGGGGTTTCACCATATTGGCCAGGATGGTCTTGAACTCCTAACCTCGTGATCTGCCTGCCTCAGCCTCCCAAAGTGCTGGAATTACAGGCGTGAGCCACCACACCCGGCCAATAACCAAATTTGTATTATTTATTTTTCTCTACTTTTTTTTTTTTTTAATTAAAACCATATGTCAGCCAAGTGCAGTGGCTCATGCCTGTAATCCCAGCACTTTGGGAGGCTGAGGCGGGCGGATCACGAGGTCAGGAGATTGAGACCATCCTGGGTAACACGGTGAAACCCCATTTCTACTAAAAATACAAAAGAATTAGCCGGGCGTGGTGGCGGGCGCCTGTAGTCCCAGCTACTCGGGAGGCTGAGGCAGGAGAATCACTTGAACCCGGGAGGTGGAGCTTGCAGTGAGCTGAGATTGCACCACTGGACTCCAGTCTGGGTGACAGAGCAAGACTCCATCTCAAAAAACAAAAAACAAACAAACAAACCCATATATCACTGCTGACTGTAGCCCGCAGGAAGTGTGAACAGAATCCACTGGGTTCTTGAGACAGGATGGCTTAAGGAGGAGGTTTCAGGTTTGGGAGCCAGGCAGGCCTGGGCTGGGATCCCGGCCCCTCCCGTGCCAGCCGTGTGAACAGTTGTCTCTTCCCTCTCCAAGCCTGCCCTTCCCTGACACCCACGTGATGAGAGCCCAACTCCTGCCACCCAGGAAATGCAAGCTGGTGCCCTTTAATGTTATAATTCTCGTGGGGGGACAGACTTGGGTGCTTCTGGCAGGAAGAATTTTTCCAGCTTTGTTTTCCTCGAGGATTATGAGAAAAGGGTCTCAAGAATGAATCTTGACGTTCAAACTGGCTGCTATTATTGCAAAGCACTTTTAAAGATTGCAGGGAATCGATTTTCTGACCTTATGCCTAGGCTGAGTCCTACACATTTGCAGCCCAACCTTGGCTTTTGGAGAGTGTAGGGCTTAAAATTAAGGCTCTCCTCTCTGCTGGGCCTGGTGGCTCACACCTATAATCCCAGCACCATGGGAGGCCAAGGCAGGAGGATTGCTTGAGGCCAGGAGCTTGGGACCATAGCAAGACCCCATCTCTACAAAAAAACAATTTTTAAAAAATTAGCTGGGCATTGTGGTACATGCCTATGATTCCAGGTACTCAGGAGCTGAGGTGGGAGGATCACTTGAGCCTGAGAGGTCAAGGCTTCAGTGAGCTATGATCCCACCACTGCACTCCAGCCTGAGTGACAGAGCAAGATCTTGTCTTTAAAAAAAAAAAAAGATAATTCCCCTTCCTGCCCTATTTCTGAGGCTTCTTCTTGCCTATCTCCAGAAGGAAATCTTCTAAGTGCCTTCATGAGAGACAGGGGACATTTGGGAGTCCTATTCTCTCCTCTAGCAAAATCTCCTCTAGCAAAATCTCTCCTCTAGCAAAATGTCCCACCTGGGACAGCAGTCAGCATGGCGGGACACCAGGGACTAAGGCCTCCCTATGCCCCCACTTGTCTCCTCCTCCCTGTCTGTCTATCTCTGAGCATTTATTACTTTACTGTGTTTCCCATGGAGTGTCTTCTCACCAGGGCTGTCTCTAAATCTCTCTTCTTCTCTTGAGTCCTCCCCATCTCTGCCTGTGGGTCTCTGTCTCTCACTCTGCCTCTTTGCCTCCTGTGTTTTCCAGGCCTCGGAACTGGGAATGACCTCAGCGTTTTACAAGTACATCCTCACCACCATGGTGTGTATGCCCTCTGGCCCATCTCTGCCCCCACTTCCTTCCCATCACAGCTGTCCCATTAGGGCTTAGCCCCAGGCCTCACCACCTCTTCCTGGTCCCAGGACTTCCCCATCCTGCATCTGGACGGTATTGTGGAGGACTCCTCCAACATCCTGGGCTTCTCCATGTTCAACACGTCCCACCCCTTCTACCCTGAGTTTGTCCGCAGCCTCAACATGTCCTGGAGGGAGAACTGTGAAGCCAGCACCTACCTGGGCCCTGCGGTGAGCACACAGATACCCAGTCACACCCAGAAACACTCTGCACAGATACTTCTGGGGCCCCCTTTCAGACCTCACTCAGATCATGCTCAGAACCCTCTCGCCCTCCCTGAGGCCTCGTGGTGTGGCCTTGTGATGCATTGGACCCATGTCCTCCTCTCTCTCTACCTCCCACACCACTCTGGCCACACCAGCTCCTCGAGGTGCCTCTGATGCCCCAAGCAGGTGCACCTCAGGGCCTCTGCACACCCTCTTCCCCCTGCTTCCTGTGCACTTTCCGAGAGAAGCAGTGGCTTGCTCCCCATCACTAGGACATTGCTCCAGTGTCCCCTCAGGTATAAGATTTTTCCTTCCTCCTCCTGTTTAAAAAATGGTAAACTTGGCCCGGCGCGGTGGCTCACACCTGTAATCCCAGCACTTTGGGAGGCCGAGGCAGGTGAATCACCTGAGGTCAGCAGTTCAAGACCAGCCTGGCCAACATGGAGAAACCCCATCTCTACAAAAGTACAAAAATTAGCTGGGCATGATGGCAGGTGCCTGTAATCCAGCTACTTGGGAGGCTGAGGTGGAAGAATCACTTGAACCTGGGAGGCGGAGGTTGCAGTGAGCTGAGATCGTGCCATTGCACTCCAGCCTGGGCGAGAGAGCGAGACTCCGTCTCAAAAAAAAAAAAAAGTAAATTGGCCAGGCATGGTGGCTTATACTTGTAATCCCAGCACTTTGGGAGGCTGAGGCAGGAGGATCACTTTAGTCCAGGAGTTCGAGATCAGCCTGGCCAACATGGCAAAATCCTGTTTCTACTAAAAATACAAACATTAGCTGGGTGTGGTGGCGTATGCCTGTAATCCCAGCTACTTGGGTGGCTGAGGCACAAGAGTCGCTTGAACCTGGGAGGTAGAAGAGGTTGCAGTGAGCCAAGATTGTGCCACTGCACTCCAGCCTGGGTGACAGAGCAAGACTCTGTCTCAAAAGAAAAAAAAAAGGTAAACTACCTATTTTTTCACCCCTCCCTGCCTTGTCTTTTTCCATAGCACTTATATTTGCTTATTTCATCACGATGTGGCTTACTGTATATTAGACTTACATAGAGATATGGATTTGAGGACTGTAAGTTCCATGAGGGCAGGGGGTTCTGTTTATTTTGTTCACCATTGTATCCCCAGCACTTAAAACAGCCTAGCTCATAACAGGTGTCTGATAATAGATGTTGAATAAATACCAGCATACAAAAGATGCATATTTATGTGTATTTGTTCACAGACATCTACTCAGATACCAAGACACCAAGACACTTCTACGCGCAGAGCACACATGGACACCAAGCTGTCCAGTCAGATGTGTCCACACAGGGACATCACACACCCCAACACAGAGGCACATTTGTGTGTACCCCTGTGCACATCTACACAACACAGATACTCAGACCTTCACACTAACACAGCTGGGGCACACCCTAACAAGCACACACAGACACCGTGGTTGTGTCACAGATTGGGGGCTAGAGTGTATGGGACGCTAACTGTGTGCCAGGCACTGTTCTGAGTGCTTTACAGGCGTTATGTCACCGGAGCCCCGTAACAGCACATGAAGGTAGAGATTACTATTATCCTCATTTTACAGAGAAGGAAACTGAGGTTCAGGGAGGAATGAGGACTTAGCCCTATCAAAGAATGAGAAAATAGCAGAGCCAGGCCTCTAGCTCTGAGCCACCTGCCTCCCAGGCCCGCGACCAATCATTATATGCTCCTGCCTCTCTGACACCACACCCAAGCTGTGTATAGATGAATGGGCATGGTCGTCCAGCCCCACTCATGTAAACGTGCCCCAGACACACTCAGACGGGGACTATGGCCATCTTCCCTGGCCTGCATCACCCAGATTCACAGACATACCTGCCCATGCAGGTGACACAGCTAGCTATCCAGGCACCCTCTGAGAGATACATGGCCACATACATTCTGGGAGACCTACTCCCACCAAGACATGGGAAGCACACACACCTTCCCCGCTGTCAATTCCACTTCCCAAGAAAGACACCAGAGCCACTTCCTCACTCCTGACCCACCCAGTTTCCCATTCCTGGGGAGAGGGAAGTTATTTGAGGGTTTGAGGGTGGCAGCTCAGGGGCCTTTGGGGCTCCTCTGCCTAGGCAGCCTCTTATCCATCCCACCCCCGCCTCTGTCCCACCGCAGCTGTCAGCCGCCCTGATGTTTGACGCCGTGCACGTGGTGGTGAGCGCTGTCCGAGAGCTGAACCGCAGCCAGGAGATCGGTGTGAAGCCTCTGGCCTGTACATCGGCCAACATTTGGCCCCACGGGACCAGCCTCATGAACTACCTGCGCATGGTGAGCCCGAGCGGGGATGGGTGGAGGAGGCAGGACACGGCCACCTCAGGTGGGAGCGCTCACTGTGACCACCCTGTGGCCCTCTGCCCTCCCTGCTCTTCCCACCGTACCCACTGCCTCCCCTGTCCACTCCTGGCTGTTGCTGCCTATCTGGGTTACTCTCTCTCTCTCTTTCTGAGTCTTGCCCTCTTCATGCCTTTTGTCCCATCTCCTCTTGCTTCCTTGCATGTTATCTTGCTCTTTTGACTGTGATCTTCCTCTTCTCTCTCTTGTCCCCTCCACCCCGGTCTGTCTGTGCCTTTCTCTGTGGATGTCTCACCACGTTGGGCCTTCCCTGCCCATCTCTGGGCCCCTGCACTCTCCCTCTGCCCCACCTCCCCACCCTGCCAGGTAGAGTATGATGGGCTGACCGGGCGGGTCGAGTTCAACAGCAAAGGGCAGAGAACCAACTACACCCTGCGCATCCTAGAAAAGTCCCGGCAGGGCCACCGTGAGGTGAGCAGACCCAGGGTGACGCCAGAGCCCTGCTGGGGTGAGGGTGGGGGCGGGCCCAGAGGCTGCCATGACCTCAGGCAGGGCCTGAGCTGACAGCACCCTCTCTGCCCCCTAGATTGGGGTGTGGTACTCTAACCGCACCCTGGCCATGAATGCCACCACCCTGGACATCAACCTGTCGCAGACACTGGCCAACAAGACCCTGGTGGTCACAACCATCCTGGTGAGTGGCCCTAGATGGGGGCCTGGGAGTGGCGCTGCCCTGAGCCCAGTCCTAGCTCCCACCGTGAGGTGGAGGGATGCATTGGCTGGCACAGCGCATAGGCCAGTGGGGGCTGGGATTCCTGCACGCAGCAACTCCAGGTTGTGAACAAGGTGCTACCATCCTAAATGCTGCCAGAGCAGGGAGGGAGCAGACTGCCCTCAGGGCCAGATTTAACCCAGCTCTTTGCACAGTATCTGGCTCTGGTCAATCCTGATGAATCATGATTGCCAGAACAGTTGTTTTGCCACCCTTGCCAACAACATGTATCAACAATGCCAACTCAGTGTCCATCTTGAAGTTGTGGAAACTGAGGCTCAGAGAGGGGAGGCGACTTGCCCAGGGTCACACAGCAAGCACCCGGCACAGCCAGGACTGGAAGCTATGTCTCTAATCCTTCAGAGCCTGAGTCTTGACCTCTGTGTTCTGAAGCTCCAGACCTCTCAGTACCCAAGCACCAGACAGGGACGTTGTCCTGTAGCCCTGGGGGTGCCACTCCTGCATTTCACCAAATCAGAGGCAGAGGGGCCTTTGTATGTCAAGTATTTATTGATTGCCTGTTCTGCACCGGGCACTGTGCTAGGCCCTTTCCAAGCGTCATTCTTTAGACCTCACGGCTACCCTTGTGAGCTTTGTCTTATTTCCCCCTTTTGAGGGTAAGGAAGCAGGTCACACAGTGAGTCCCCGGCAGAGCTAGTGTCAGGCTCGGAGCTGGTGCCCTCTCTGCTGCACCATGCTGACTCCTGCCAGGCACAATGGGCTTCCAGTGCCTTAGGAGGTCAGGGAGGGGGTGATCCACAGGGCCTGGCGAGCAGGAGGCTTCCCCAAGCGGCTGGCCTGGAGGCTGGACATGCCAGGCAGCCATGCTCTTCACAGTGGCCAAGTCCGTGGCCTGTCAGCACTCATTGTTAGTGAGGGAGCCGCTCAGTAACTCTGAGCTGTGTCAGCTATTCGCTGTGGATGCTGACATTCAGAGAGGGTTACAAGAGGGTTTTGCAGGATGTTAGAGGGCCACCTAAAGCAGTGAGTCGCAGAGCAGTTCCCTCAGTCCCTAGGGAACTCCTGATCTAAAATGGACCTCGAGTCCCTCTGGAGCAGGGCCAGTGATCCTGTTGTGGAGGGACAGATGGCCTGCAGACGGGAAACCAGACACCTCCTAACAGCCTCCCCAGGGAGCCCTGGGGGCTTGGCTAGGAGCAGTCAGACCCTCTGTGCTGTGGTGTGCGGTCAATCCCTGAAGCCTCCTGGAGGCAGAAGAGTTGGGGGCCTTGGTGGGGAACAGGGTGCAAAGGTCAGGGAGGGGAGGTCAGGAGAGCTGAGCTGTGACCCTGGGAGCTTCAAGTGTCTTCACTCTCCTCCCTGCTTCTCCTCAAGGCCTGGGAGCTTGTATTTTTCTTCCCTTCCTGATGTTCACCTATCTCTTGATGGGTTGATTCACTTATTCATTCCATAAATATTTACCAAAGCTGTATGGTGCTGGCCCTTACATTCTAGAAGCACAGATATGAGTCAGGTGCTCTCAGGTGGCACTGGGAGGCGGTCCCAGTCTGATGGAGGAGATAGACCTGGACACAGTCATTCCCACAATGAGGGACTACCAAAGAAAGGAGGGACTGAGTCAGCTTTAGGAGGCTGGAGGAAGGCTTCCTGGCAGAGGTGGCATTAGATGGGGTTGCATAGGAGTTGGGTGCCCAGAAAATATCCCAGGCAGCAGGAGCGGCAGGAGGGGCAGGAGCTGGGGTTTTGGGAGGTGTTTGTCAGGTTGAACAGGGAGGCAACAGCCTCTGTGTACACAGCCAGACAAGCCCTGTTCATTCGCTGGTATTGCCTGACATGGGTTTCTGGGCAAGACCTGTGTCAGGCACTTGGAGATTCAGATGTGACTCAAACTGGGTGCCTAGGGCAAGATGTGGGTTAGAACTTGTCTCATTCGCTGCTCTATCCCAGGGCCTAGAGCTGTGACTAATACCTAGCAAGTACAGAGGGTTGTGGTGAGTGTTGGGACAGAGGCAGCCTAGGGGCTGCGGGGCAGCAGGTGGGGAAGGGGCTCTGAAGGACTCAGTTGTCCTGTGCTTTACCTTGGGGAGAGAGTGTTGAGCAGGAAGGGGCGGGGCCAGATCTGGAGTCAGGAAGGCTCCTTGTTGGCCCATGAGGGATGCTGCTAGGGATTAGAGGTGGTCCGGGTGTGGGAGCGAGGGCCTCTGGTGATGGGGTGCAGGCTGGCGCTGCCCCTGGGGCAGGCTCAGGGATCTTGTGCTGAGACAGGATGGGCTGGCGCTGAGATAGAGAGAGGCCCCATGGGGAAGCTGGGGGTGCAGAAGTCCCACGGAGTTGAGGCTGTGCATAGGCCCGCCCTCCTCAGCCGCTGGTCTCGCCCCAGTCTTGGAGAATTTGTCAGGGTACCCAGGTGGTCCTGAGGATTCCCTTCATTGAGCTGAGATGCCTCACTCTGCCCTTTGGTGACTAGTGTGGCAGTTAAGAGTAGTCTCTCTGCTGCGGACAGAGGGACCTCAGTCCCATTCCTCCGCTCTTATTAGTTCAAGTCACTTAACTACAGTATCCATTGCTTTATCTATACAACGGGTCTGCGTCTCGCCTTGAGGGGCAGTGGGAGGATCACATGAGCTAAGAAGGCCCTTGCAGTGCCCAAGGTACGTGTGAGAGCACCTCCCTCCCTCCCTCCCTCTCCTGAGCTTGTGGTTCATGGCTTTGAGTGTTGTGCCAAGCCCTGTGCTCATGTGACACAATCTTCACAGAAGCCCTGATTTTCGGATGAAGAAACTCAGGCATAGGAGGGTTAAATGACGTGCCCAAGGTCGCCCAGCTAGAAGGCAGCAGAGCCCACATGCCTGTCTTTTGCACCACGTTGCCTCTATTATTTTTTAATTTTTTTTTTTTTTTTTTTGAGACAGAGTCTTGCTCTGTCACCCAGGCTGGAGTGCAGTGGCGCGATCTCGGCTCACTGCAAGCTCCGCCTCCTGGGTTCACACCATTCTTCTGCCTCAGTGTCCCGAGTAGCTGGGACTACAGGCGCCCGTCACCACACCCGGCTTTTTTTTGTATTTTTAGTAGAGACGGGGTTTCACCGTGTTAGCCAGGATGGTCTTGATCTCCTGACCTCGTGATCTGCCCGTCTCGGCCTCCCAAAGTGCTGGGATTACAGGCGTGAGCCACCGTGCCAGGCCACATTGCCTCCATTATTTCTACTACTTTCTGAGCCCTCAGGGCTGTGTCCTGAGCCTGGCACTGCCATCCACACACTGTTTGCCCCTAGCAGGTCTCTCTATACTCAGTTTCCTCCTTTAAAGTGAGGGGATTAAAGTATTCCTAGCAGTCTGGGCATGGTGGTTCACACCTGTAACCCCAGCACTTTGGGAGACTGAGGCGGGAGGATCACTTGGGCCCATGAGTTTGAGACAAGCCTGAGCAACATGGCAAAACCCCATCTCTACTAAAAATACAAAAATTAGCTGGGCGTGGTGGTGTGCACCTTTAATCCCAGCTACTTGGGAGGCTGAGGCAGGAGGATTACTTGAACTCAGGAGGTTGAGGCTGCAGTGAGCCCAGATCATACCACTGCCAGGGCGACAGAGTGAGACCCTGTCTAAAAATAATAATAATAAATAAATACGTAAATAAAATATTCATAGCAGAGTGAGGAGGTTGGACTAGATCAGTGTTGACACTGCAGGAAATCCTGGACAAGGATTTGGATCCCAGGTTCATGAAAGGGTCCAAGCAATCAGCTTGTAAGGAATGTTCTAGAACCTACCCTACTTTAATTTTTTGTTTTTACTTTTGATTTTCACTGAAGTGTAACACACATACAGAAATGTGCACAAATCGTGTTACTTCTCACTGAAGTTTCAAAAACTGAACACACCTGTGTAACCAACCAGCTGTCCCCAACCCAAAGCCTCCCCATGCCCTTCCAATCACTAACCCTCCAAGGCTAACCCCCATCTCAGCTTCCGTCACCACAGATCAGCTTTGCCCGCCCTTGAACCTCATATAAATGGCATCGTACTGTGTGTTCTTTCTTGAGACTGGCTTCTTCTGGCAACATTATGAGTTTCATCTGTGTCATTGCAAGTAGTGTAGTCTCATTGTTGTATGTTGAATGTACTGCAATTTCCTGATTCATCCAATCTAGATGGACGTTTGTTTCTGGCTTTTTGCTGTTAGGAATAGTACTACTAGGAAGGTTCTCTTCCATGTCTTTTGGTGAACATGTACTGGTGTTTCTGTTGGGTGTGTTCTAGTTGCTGGGTCCCAGGGTGTTTGTCCTAGCTTTATCACGTATTGTAAAAGTGTCTTCCAAAGTGGTTGAACCACTTTCACTTTCATTCCCAGCGGCAGCGAATGAATGAAAATTCCACTTGCTACTCGGTTTGTCAGTGGTGAGTGTATAAAGGTACCAACCATATATGGTGGTTTTCATTTGCATTTCCCTAATGATCAGGAAGGGAGAACACCTTTTTGTGTTTATTGGCTATTTGATTTTTCTTTGTTTTTGTTTTTTGAGAGAGGGTCTTGCTCTGTTACCCAGGCTGGAGTGCAGTGGCCCAATCGTAGCTCACTGCAGCTTCGACCTCCAGGCTCCAGCACTTCTCCTATCTCAGCCTCCTGAGTAGCTGGGACCACAGTCGTGCACCACCACACCCAGCTAATTAAAAACAATTTTTTTTAATTGACAGGGTTTTACCATGTTGCCCAGCCTGGTCTTGGACTCCTGGGCTCAAGGGATCCACCCACCTTGACCTCCTAAAGTGCTGGGATTACAGGCATGAGCCACCACACTTGGCCCTTTATTGGCTATTTGGAAATCCTCATTTGCAAGGTTCCTATTCATGTCTTTTTCTATTTTAAAAAAATTGGGATATGTGACTTTTTATTGATTTGTGAGTTATTTTTTATTTTTTATTTGTTTATTTTTTTATTTTGAGACAGAATCTTGCTCTGTCACCCAGGCTGGAGTGCAGTGGCACAATCTCGGCTCACTGCAAGCTCTGCCTCCTCGGTTCACGCCATTCTCCTGCCTCAGCCTCCCAAGTAGCTGGGACTACAGGCGCCTGCCACCACGCCCGGCTAATTTTTTGTATTTTTAGTAGAGACGGGGTTTCACCGATTAGCCAGGATGGTCTCGATCTCCTGACCTCGTGATCTGCCCACCTCGGCCTCCCAAAGTGCCGGGATTACAGGCGTGAGCCACTGCGCCCAGCCTGATTGTGAGTTATTTATACATTCTTGGGTACAAGTCATTTGTCTGATGTATGTATTGCAAATGTCCTGTCCCCCTTTGTGGCTTACCTTTTCATTCTCAGTAGTATATTTTGGATAAAAGGATTTGATTTTTAATTTTACCAAAGTTCTCTTCATCAGCTTTTTTCCTTTATGGTTAATGATTTTAGAATTTAAGAATTCCGTGTATACCCCTATATCATGAAGATATTCTACTATTTGTGTTCTAAAAACTTAATAATTTTGCCTTTTACATTTGGGTCTGCCATCCTCCTGAAATTGATTTTTATGTAGCATGTGAGGTAGGGGAGTCAAAATACATTTTTTTCTTTTTTTTTTTTTTTTTTTTGAGACAGAGTCTCACTCTGTTGCCCAGGCTGGAATGTAGTAGCATGCGATCTTGGCTAACTGCAACCTCCACCTCCTGGGTTCAAGTGATTCTCCTGTCTCAGCCTCCCCAGTAGCTGGGATTACAGGCGCCCACCACCACGCCTGGCTGATTTTTGTATTTTTAGTAGAGATAGGGGTTTCACCATATTGGCCAGGCTGGTCTTGAACTCCTGACCTCAAGTAATCCACCTGCCTCAGCCTCCCAAAGTGCTAGGATTACAGGCATGATCCACCGCACTTGGCCAGAATACATTTTTTTCCATATGGGTATTTAATTCAGCAGCACCATTTATTATAACAATAATTCTTCCCCCTTCAGGACAGTTTTACCTTTGTCACAAATCAATATCCATTTATATGTGGGTTTCCAAACACTCCATTCTATTGTCTGTTTGTCTGTCTTTGTTCTAGTACTGCAGTGTCTTAAATACCATAGCTTTAAATTAAGTGTTAACATTTGGCAGGGTAAACCCCCAGTTTTGCTTTTCTTCTTTAGGATTACTTTGGTTCTTCTTGACTCTTTGCATTTCTTTTTATTTTTTATAAGTTATTTTTATTGAGACGGGGTCTTCCTATGTTGCCCAGGCTGGTCTTGAACTCCTGGGCTCAAGTGATCCTCCCTCCTTGGCCTCTTAAAGTGCTGAGACTACAGGCGTGAACCACCAAGCCCAGCCAACCATGCATGTTCATACACACTTAAATATCATACTTCAATTTTAAAAAAATTGTTACACTGGGGAAGGGGGCTGAGCATGGTGGCTCATGCCTGTAATCCCAGCAGTTTGGGAGGCCGGGGTGGGCAGATCACTTGAGCTCAGGAGTTCGAGACCAGCCTGGGCAACATGATGAAACCCTGTCTCTACAAAAAATACAAAAATTAGCCAGGCTTAGTGGCTCGCACCTGTGGTCCCAGCTACTCCGGAGGCTGAGGTGGGAGAATCACTTGAGCCCAGGAGGCAGAGGTTCTAGTGAGCCGAGATTGCACCACTACACTCCAGCCTGGGTGACAGAGCAAGACTCTGTCTCAAAAATAAATAAATAAAATTGGGGAAGGGACAGAAGTTAATACAAACCTACGTAAAATAGAATTCAAAGAGTACAAGGCAGGTGAGGAGTGAAAAATCAGTTTCCTTCCTTCCCTGGGTCTCTCATTTTCTTTTTTCAGAGGCCACCATCCTCCCAGAAATGTCTATGCATATACAAGCACATCGTTGCTCTTTCTTTAACAAAGAGTAGCATATTGTACACGTTGTTCTGTAGCTTGTTTTTTTCCTCCTAATATATCTTGTAGACCTTGCTATTTTAGTGGTTGCCTGGGATTCTTTTATGACATCGATAATCTTTTTAACTTGGCCCAAATTAGGTTGTTTCAGTCTTTGTTCTCACTACAAGCAATGCTGCACTGACTTTCTTGGACCTGCGTTTTTGATGCACAGCCATTTGTAGGGTAAATTCTTAGAACTGGACTTAGCAGTATCTCATTGTCTGGCTGCAGTGTTGGGCTTCTGCATAAGATTCTTTTTGAAGTCTGAAGACCCTGGATTTGAGGCTCCTTGAGGACCCTTCTGTTCTGATAGTCTGTGACTCTAAGTTGAGTCCTAGATTACGGTTATCTAATTTCTATTCACAGGCCCCAGTCTCTTTTTGTCTCCCTAAGCTCAGACCCCAGTCCTGAGACCCTGAACCTAAGTTCCTCAGTCTTGAATTTAGAGATCAGCTTGGCATAGTGGAAGGAACAGGGTTCAGAGTGCACAGTGACTGGGTTGTGAAGCCCAGCTCTGCCCCGTCTCCCTTCCCACTGCCCTGCTTCAGCTGGGTGGCCTTGGGCTAGATGCTTTACCTCTCTGAGCCTTGGTTCTATCCTCTATATGTCAAGGGGGCTGTATGGGAGCCAGGCCCTTGTCTCTAGGATTCTCAGTTTCTGATTCTCCAGCTTTGATACCCAACCTGGGTCCCTCGTCTCTCTCTGGCTTCTCCCATATCCACTGTCTGATTCTGTCCACTTGAGCTCAGTCTAGCACAGGGCTTAAGAGCGGAGCTTTGGAATCAGACCAACTTGTCCTTCTCAGCCACTTACTACTTCACTTCTCTGGACCTCAGCATCCTCATCTCTAAAAGAGACGTAATAATACTGCCATCCCACGCTGACGGAATTGCTGTCACACAGCAAGCCCACAAGAAATGCTGGCTGCTGCCGCTATTATTAGTATTATCTCACATTCTTGTTCCCCGTTCCACAATTTTGGTTCTGGAAAGGCAGCTTAATAGAGAATCACTGACTGCCCTCCATTCCATCACCCTGTAGCTGTAGGGCTCTGTGGGGTCCTGGAGTCCAGAGCCTATGACCTGGCCACATAGTAGGAGATTCTATTACTGTGTGACAAACCACCCAGAACCCAGAAACTGAAACAATAGCAGTTGATTATTTTGCATGATTCCGTGGGTCAACTTAGTGGTTCTTTGGCTGGTCTCACTTGGGCACACTGCGGCAGCATTCAGCTGGTGTCCAGACTGGACTGGAAAGTGCAGAATGGCTGTGGATGCTGGCTGTTGGCTGGCATGCCTTGGTTCACTCACCCTCCAGCAGGCCAGCCTGGGCTTCCTTAAATGGGGGCTGCTCTGAAGGCTGAGACTCTGGAATTCACACGGCATCACTTCTGCCACATCCAGTTGGCCAAAACAAGTCATAAGGCCAGCTCAGACCAAGAAGTCTGAACCCAGGGAGAAATGGACCCCATCTGTTGCTAGAAGAAGCAGCACAATATTGTGGCCACATCTACCATGGAGCTCAGTAATTGTGTGTTGAATGAATGAGAGGTGACAGAGGTCACCTAACCACTTTGAGCCTCCGTGTCCACATGTGTAAAAGGAATCTACTTATGCCCATTTCAGTGTAAGGTCACCATAAGGAATTAAAATAATGTCATCGAGAGAATGCACAGCACAGTTTCTCAATACACAATAACCAGTGTGGATATTTTATTTATTTTATTTTTGAGAGAGTCTCGCTCCATCTCCCAGGCTGGCCTGCAGTGGTGAAATCTCGGCTCACCGCAACCTGAGCCTCTGGGACTCTACCTCAGCCTCCCGAGTAGCTGAGACTACAGGTGCACACCAGCACGCCTGGCTAATTTTTGTATTTTTTATAGAGACGGGGTTTTGCCATGTTGCCTAGGCTGGTCTTGAGCTCCTGGGCTCAAGCCATCCACCTGTCTTGGCCTCCCAAAGTGTTAGAGTTACAGGCTTGAGGTACTACACCTGGCTCATTGTGTATATTTTAACCAAAGCTCTTTCCTGGCTCTTCCCTAAGTCCTAAGTCCTTTTGTTCATTATTCCAAAGTGACATTGTACAAACAACCATTTAGACAATAACTGTGTCCAGATAAGTTTCCCATTTGTTACCATCATCACATGCCTTGTTTTCCTAGCACTTGGACCATTCTTTCTGCTTTTGTGTTTCTTTGGCACAACGGGATCAGTAAAGTTTGCTCAAACCCCTCAGAAATAAGCGTCAATGTGGCAAACTGACTGTAGGTCAGAGATTGCAAACTAGAAACTGTGTTTGTTTTGGCCTGCAGAACATTTAATAATAATTGGTATTAGAATTTGAATTGGTTGCTGTATTAGTTCATTTTCATACTGCTGTAAAGAACTGCCCGAGACTCGGTAATTTATGAAGGAAAGAGGTTTAATTGACTCACAGGTTCAGCATGGCTGGGGAGGCCTTGGGAAATTTACAATCATAGCAGAAGGCGAAGGGGAAGCAAGGCACCTTCTTCACAAGGCAGCAGGAGAGAGATGTGCCGAGTGAAGGGGGAAGAGCCCATTATAAAACCATCAGATCTCGTGAGAACTCACTATCACTAGAAGAGCATGGGGGAAACCGCCCCCCTGATTCAGTTACCTCCACCTGGTCTCTCCCTTGACACATAGGGATTATGGGGATTACAATTCAAGGTGAGATTTGGGTGGGGACACAAAGCCTAACCGTATCAGTTGCTAACATTTATGTTATTTTATTTTAGAGACAGAGTTGCTCAGTTGCCCAGGCTGAAGTGCAGTGGTACAGTCATAGCTCACTGCAGCCTCAAACTCGGGCTCAAGCAATCCTCCCACCTCAGCCTTCCAAAGCAGTGAGATTTCAGGCATGAGAGTTGCTAACATTTATAACCAGGAGACTTTATAAAACAATCTTAAGTTTCCAAATTCTCTTAAAATTGCACCATCTGGGCCAGGTGCGATGGCTCACACCTGCACTTTGGGAGGCCGAGGTGGGCGGATCACTTGAGGTCAGGAGTTTAAGACCAGCCTGGCCAACATGGTGAAACCCCGTCTCTACTAAAAATACAAAAACAAAATTGGGCGGGCGTGGTGGCAGGCACCTGTAATCCAAGCTACTTGGCGGGGGTGAGGCAGGAGAATCGCTTAAACCCAGGAGGTGGAGGTTGCAGTGAGTTGAGATCGCGCCACTGCACTCCAGCCTGGGTGACAGAGCAAGACTCTGTCTCAAAAAAAAAAAAAAAAAAAAAAAATTGCACCATCTGTCATCTTCAGCCTGCCTCCCTCATGGGGAATTGGACTGGAGCTAAACCCTGGTGAGGGAATACCATCTTTAACCCATTAGTGGCTCATGAAGTTGGTTTGGTGAGTCATTACCAGCCATGTGGAAAGATGAAGTATAGCAGAATAGAAAATATCAGTGTATTGCCCATAGTTACTAGGGCAAGGACTGTTCTGTGGAATTAAGTCTAGTTACGTGTGTTCATGTGTGGGTGAATTAGGTTGCAGGGTAAAATGTATCTTTTACTGTGAATTGTAATAAGAAATCTGAAAGCCCCTGATCCACTTTGGCA
The DNA here is from genome assembly GCF_000001405.40 of Homo sapiens. Taxonomy (NCBI): domain Eukaryota; kingdom Metazoa; phylum Chordata; class Mammalia; order Primates; family Hominidae; genus Homo; species Homo sapiens. The sequence continues at coordinate 42,043,078 of NC_000019.10, read as the reverse complement.
CAAGATCTATCCAGTCTGACTCTAAAGTTACCTCCTCCCTCATACGCATTTGAGCTTGGCACCAATGAGCATCAGGTTGGCTGCTGAAGATTAAAATGGCTCCCTGCAATCTGCTAGGAACTGGCAGTACCCATGTGTTTTTCCCTGGCTTTCAGGTCTATTCCCCACTCTGAGCATTTGTAAGTGAGAAATGTGTACTATGAATAAATCAACCGTGCTCAGCAAGCAGATTCCTGCTCTACCTGCCTGGTCCGGGCTCCAGGATCCGCAACCCAGCCACTAGACACCCAGCCTCTGACCCCTGCTTTCTTCTGCCCACCCAGGAGAACCCATACGTCATGCGCCGGCCCAACTTCCAGGCCCTGTCGGGGAACGAACGCTTCGAGGGCTTCTGCGTGGACATGCTGCGGGAGCTGGCCGAGCTGCTGCGCTTCCGCTACCGCCTGCGGTTGGTGGAGGATGGGCTGTACGGGGCGCCCGAGCCCAACGGCTCCTGGACGGGCATGGTTGGCGAGCTCATCAACCGGGTATGGCTGGACTGGGGCCGGGAAAGATGCATGGACCCGGCGAGTGAGGGAGGGCGGGCAGCTGGGCAGCCAGTCGAACCTCAGAAGCAGCCTGGCTGGTGGCAGAAGAGGAAGGAGCCATGAAGGGCCCCTGACACCACCTCACTGATGTTGCGCTGTATGCCTGTGCCTGGCGGGTGCTGTGGGATGGGACAGAGGAGGAGAGGTGGTACATGCATCACCACCTGTGTCCTGCTTTGCCAAATGCCCCTTTCATGCCACCTTGGATTAGTCGGTGTGCAAAGATTTGTTAAGTGAATGAAAGAGACATGGAGTGGGGAGCAGGAAAAGGTCTGAGGAGGTCAAAGGCTTCCTGCAGGAGGCAGGGCTGAGAGCAGGGAGCACACCTCACCTGTGTGCTATGCCCAGCACCTGCTAGGGAGGGCCTGGCACATCATGGACCTGGAGGGCTGCATGTAGAACTCATACATTCACCCATTCAGTGGCTGTTTATTGAGTACCTACTATGTGCCTTGCCTCTTGCTGGGCATGGGATCCCACTGTGAGCACAGTGGATCTGGACCCTGCCCCCAAGAGCTTAGAGTCTCTTTGGGGCGCAAGACAGTGAATGACCACAGCACAGAGCTGTCTGGGCTGTGATTGGGGAGCTCAGAGGACGGTCCCAGAGGAGGTTCCTGACCCAGTCAGATATCCCAGTAGGGCTTCCCAGAAGAGACGATACCCAAACTGATTCCCAAAGGTCATGAAGGAGTTAGCAAGGTGAAGGGGGTGTGGGAGAAGGGGAGTGTATTTGGAGCAGGGGAAATAGCATCTACAAAGATGGGGCGATACTAGGGAGTGGGATGCACTGGAGGAACCAGCGGGGCCTGAGCGTGGGCAGAATTTGGTTGCAGCTGAGGAGGGATGGAAGGCAGGGCCATGGGAGGTGGCAGGCAAGGGTGCAGTGGAAAGGATCTTTGGGTGTCAGACACTCCTAGATTTGAATCCTTAAGTGTCATTTCTCTCCTCTGAACCTCAGTTTTCCCCTCCCTAAGATGGGGATAATAATACCTTGCAGGTCTATAGTGAGGGTTACGGGACGTGGGGACAAGTACCTCACACATCGCTTGGCAGATACTGGGGGACTGAAATGTAGTTCCTCTTTTTATTCCAGGTGGGAGAAACTATGGGCACAACTGCCCAGAGGCAGGACTGTGCCCTGGGAGATAAGTAGGCCCCTGATTAGGACACTCCCAGAGCTGGTGTGCAGACCAAGGGGCTGTGGCCAGAGATGGCCAGGGCAGCCTTGACGTTAGACTTGACAGAGCTCATCAGAGATTCTCACCCTCCTCTCTCTCATGCCAGAATTTACAGCATCCAACCCCCTGAACATCACGAGGGAAGACATGAGAGGGCCACTTTGCTTGACAAGGACGTTTATCCCTTAGGGCACTGACTTTCAAAAGTTATTTTGACAGAACTTTTTTTCCAATTGCAAACTCCCTCAGAACCCTGGGCAAGAGCAGAGCTGCTCTGGTGAAGGCAGAGATGGGGGTGCCTCCCACCCCACCCCACAGGCAGGTCCCAAGGCGCTGCCCCATAAAGCTGCCAGCTGGTTTGAAAACTTCTGCCCCAGGGTGAGTTTTAAGGTCAGGGTGAATTTTATTATTATTATTATTTTATTTATTTATTTATTTATTTTGGAGACAGAGTCTCCTCTGTTGCCCAGGCTGGAGTGCAATGGCACGATCTCTGCTCACAGCAACCTCTGCCTCCCTGCAACCTCCACCTCCCGGGTTCAAGCGATTCTCCTGCCTCGGCCTTCCGAGTAGCTGGGATTACAGGTGCGCCACCGTGCCTGGCTGATTTTTGTATTTTTTGGAGCAACAGGTTTCATCATGTTGGCCAGGCTGGTCTTGAACTCCTGGCCTCAAGTGATCCGCCCACCTCACCTCCCAAAGTGCTAGGATTACAAGTATGAGACACCACACCCAGCCCAGGGTGAATTTTAAAGCCTGAAGCCCAAAGAGGCCCCGGGTGAGACAGGAGATGAGAAGCCCCAGAGCTGACAGCTCTATGCCCACCTGAGGGCACAGGCTTCCTCGTGACCTGTTTCCACAGCCTGGTCTTTAGTCACGTAGGCTCAGAAATATTCTTTCATCTGGTATCCCAGAAATAAGCAGGCTCCAAGGGAGTAGCCCTGCACCTGAAGTCACTCTAAACTGGATGCCCTTTTTTCACCAACAGAGAAGTCTGGAACAGTTCTTATTTACAGCTGTCTGACCTTTGTGTCTCAGGGCCTACTCAGTAGGGTAGGGTGAGAGGATTTGGGGCCTGGGGCCAGCAAAGTGTGGCAGCTGAGAGTGTCTGTGGTTGGCTGTTTAAAGCTTAGCTCTGCTGTGCACTGGTTGTGTGGCTTTGGGCAAGTGCTTAACATTTCTTTAGGTTGTAGTTTGTTCAACTGTAAAATTGGGGAATAACAGCCCTTTAGCACATAGGGTTGTTTTGAAGAACAACATGCAGTGAAGAACTTAGAACAGGGCCTGGTGCATAGTGGGTGCTGTATGCGTGTGTCCTTTTTTTTTTTTCCTTTGAGACTGGGTCTCTCTCTGTTGCCCAGGCTGGAGCGCAGTAGTGCAATCACAGCTCACTGCAGCCTCCACCTCCTGGGCTCAAGCGATCCTCCCACCTCAGCCTCCCGAGTTGCTGGGACTATAGGCATATGCCATAATGCCTAGGTAATTTTTGTGTTTTTTGTAGAGATGGGGTCTGGCCCTGTTGCCTAGGCTGGTCTTGAACTCCTGGGCTTAAGCAATCCTCCCACCTCAGCCTTCCAAAGTGCTGGGATTATACTATTTTTATTATTGTTATTATTCATACCAGCATGGCCAGCACATACATAGATTTGTGTGTTCATCCATTTTCCATTCAGCCAATGTTTGTTGAGTGCCTACTGTATACCAAGCCCTGTGCTATACCCTGGGGATACCATGGTGAACAAGCCCGATGTGCTCTTACTGAGTGGGCTAAAGGGTTTGGGCCTCAGCAGAAAGCCCATGGGATGCCCTTGAAGAGTTTTGTTTTTGTTTTTGTTTTGAGACGGACTCTGGCTCTGCTGCCCAGGCAGGCTGGAGTGCCATGGGGTGATCTTGGCTCACTGCAACCTCTGCCTCGTGGGTTCAAATGATTCTCCTGCCTCAGCCTCCTGAGTAGCTGGGACTACAGGCGCATGCCACCACACCTGGCTAATTTTTGTATTTTTAGTAGAGATGGGTTTCGCCATGTTGGCCAGGCTGGTCTCAAACTCCTGAACTCAGGTGATCCACCTGCCTCAGCCTCCCAGAGTGCTGGGATTACAGGCATGAGCCACCATGCCCGGCCACCCTTGAAGGGTTTTGATCTGGCTCAAGTGAATTGGCCCTGGGGTTGGGGGAAGCAGTGGTAACAGGAAGACCAGTGAGGAGATAAGGAATGAGCTGGTGGGCCTCAGGCGGGAGAACGTCAGAGCTAGAGACTAGGGGAAGGGCTAAAGAGCACCAGGGCTTGGTGACTGCCTAGGGTGGGGGATGCAGGAGAGGACAGGAGGGAGAGCATTCCTCCTGTGTCTGGCTTGGGCATCTGGGTGATGGCAATGACATTTACAGGGAGAACACTGGAGGAGGAGCTGGAGCGTGAAGGATAGGCGGAGTTTGGCCTTGCCCTGCTGTGGGATAGCCGAGTGTGCCGAGCTGCACAGGAATAGTCACCACCGTCATCACAACAGCAGCAGCTGTCATTTGTTGATTTCACACCATGTGCGAGGAACTTTTCAAGTGTTACTTAACATAATTTTCATAGCAGTCCTTCATGGCCTGAGGATCACTGCCCAGTGTGAGATCTGGAGTCCCCAGTGCACAGGGCTGCAGCCAGGTGTGTCTGACTTAAGGCCCGTGCCCTTTCCAGCCCTCCAGCTGGGAACTTGGGAAGCTCGGAGTACACTGATGGAGTGGCACGCTGTGCCAGGCCCTTGTCTGAGCTTTCTGACTTGTCTCCATCCTTGACTCCTCATGGCCACCCAGTGAGAGAGGGACTGGTATTAGCCCCGTTTTCTCAAATGTACAGTGAGGCATCAAGGTTTCATGTCCAGGCCCATGGCTAGTGACCAGGAGAGCCAAGGTGGGCACCCCATCAGGGTGGCCCAGAGCTGGTGAGTGACTTCCAGATGGAAGACAGCCTGGGGCACCACCATCCTGCCAGTCACCCCTGGGCCAGGCACAGGTCTCCTTGGCCTGTCTTGAATTATGACCCATTTTTTCCACCCAGTGGCCATGGCTGACATTGGCCTTCTCCCTGCCATCACTGCCATGGTGTGAATTCAGGTCCCACCCCTCTCATCAGCCTCCTTACTGGCCTCCTGGCTTCTAGTCTCTCCACTCCCCAGCTTGTCCTCCAATAGAACCTTTCTACAGTGTGAGTCTGATCTGTCACTTGTATGCTTTAACTGAAGCCCCTGAGGCCCTCAGGATAAAGCTTAGCCTTCAAGGGCAAAGAAGATCTTAGGTCAGGGTCCCAGGAAGCTGACTCTGAGATGGAGATGTAGAGGCAGGAGGTGTGATGGCGTGCCCCTGGAAACCTGCCCTGTGCAGGAGGGAAGGAAGCAGGCTTGGGCAGAGGAGTTGAGCTGCGCTGCAGTCACAACTGGGCCTTAGCTGTCCCACAGGCAGCTCTGGAGCTGAGCTGGCCGTCAAGGACCTCCCCCTGTGGTAAGGGTGCCAGGCCTTTAAGCACCCACTGATATGTCACTGGACGTGGGCTGCTCTTGGGGAGAGTCAGGACTTTGGGTGAGGGGACGCTCTTCTACTGACAGAGCTGAGAGCCATCAGCCACCTACACCCTGGGCAGCTGAGGCAATGAGTGCCCCACTCCTGAAACAGAGTCTGGGTAGCCACCATGGAGTCCACTATAGCAGTGCACTGGTTAGGAGCCAGAAGGAGCCAGCTTCAGGTCCCCAGTGCTCCCACATGATCCCTGCAAAGCCACTTATCTCTGAAGGTCAGTCACTCCTCTTGAAAAGGGGCTAATGTTACCTCCCTCACAGAGGGTTTTTTTGTTTGTTTGTTTTTGTTTTTCTTTTTGAGGCAGAGTCTCACTCTGTCGCCCAGGCTGGAGTGCAGTGGCGTGATCTCGGCTCACTGCAACCTCTGCCTCCAGGGTTCAAGCGATTTTCCTGCCTCAGCCTCCTAAGTAGCTGGGATTATAGGAATGCACCACAATGCCCGGCTATTTTTGTATTTTTAGTGGAGACGGGGTTTCGCCATGTTGGCCAGGCTGGTCTCGAACTCCTGACCTCAAGTGAGCTGTCCGCCTTGGCCTCCCAAAGTGCTAGGATTACAGGCATGAGCCACTGCACCCAGCCAGTGAGTTTTAAGGCAATTAAATGAGAGCGCATTTGCACAGAGCCTGGCACATGCCTGGCTCACATGTGGTCACTACTGCTAGATACCTTTCTTGAGGCGGTCTGTATGTGAGTGTAGTTAGAAGAATGGGTTTTGGAGTCGGCTAACCCTGGGTTCAAATCTGGACTTACTCCTTACTGGCTTTGTGACCTGCAGGCAGGTGGCTGCCCCCTCTGAGCCTTAGTGTCTCCTCAAATGGGGAGTGGTGACCCCCTAACTTGGAGGGGTATCACAGGGGACAGATGAGATCAGCACAGGTCATAGATGCTGGCATGACCAAGACAATACCCACCCACCTCACCTGTGGCCTCCACACCCTGGGGATGGGAGCCTTGTCTACTTAGCTATGTCCCCAGCTCAGGGCCTGACACATGGCAGGTTTCTAGTAAATTAGTGTTGAATGGGCAATTGACTGATTCTATCAAGGAGTCTTTAGAAATGTTGTCCCCAGTTCTCTTCATCTGATAGAAGACGCACACACACGCCAGGCATGGTGGCTTACGCCTGTAATCCCAGTACTTTGGGAGGCCGAAGTGGGAGGATCACTTGAGCCCAGGAGTTCAAGACCAACCTTGGCAACATGGTGAAACCCTATCTCTACAAAAATTGAAAAAATTTAGCCAAGTGTGGTGGCATGTGCCTGTAGTCCCAGCCACTCAGGAGGCTGGGAGGTGGGAGGATCACCTGAGTCTGGGAGGTTGAGGCTGCAGTGAGCCATGATTGCACCACTGCACTCCAGCCTGGGCGACAGAGTGAGACCCTGTTTTAAAAAAATAGGCTGGGCACAGTGGCTCACATCTGTAATCCCAGCACTTTGGGAGGCCAAGGCGAGCAGATCACCTGAGGTCAGGAGTTCGAGACCAGCCCCGCCAACATGGTGAAACCCCATCTCTACTAAAAGTACAAAAAAATTAGCCAGGCGTAGTGGTGTGCACCTGTAATCCCAGCTACTCAGGAGGCTGAGGCAGGAGAATCGCTTGAACCTGGGAGGCGAAGGTTACAGTGAGCCGAGATTGCGCCACTGCATTCCAGCCTGGGCGACAAGAGTGAGACTCTGTCTCAAAAATAAAAATAAATAAATAAATAAATAAAGTCCATTTCATTAAAAAATTTTACATTATACTGTGTTTCCGGTTATAAAACATATTTGTATTAAGTATAATCCTATTTTGCACAACAATAGCAAGTATATATGCATTAAAAAGCATTTTTGCATACCATCAGAAATTTTCATAAGCAATTATTTGAGAAGGAACTCCTTTATTTTCTGTTTATATATGTAATACTAAATGATAAAATACCAAATGGTACAAATAGCAGAAACACTGGATATACATGATGTTCTTACACCTCAGAGACCATATTCCTCCAACTCATTTTCTACAAATTCATTAATACAGGTACATCTTTAAATTTCTTAATTTTTTTGAGACAGAGTCTGGCTCTGTTCCCCAGGCTGGCGTGCAGTGGCACGATCTTGGCTCACTGCAACCTCCACCTCCCAGGTTCAAGCAATTCTTCTGCCTCAGCCTCCCAAGTAGCTGGGATTACAGGCGCCCACCACCATGCCAGGCTAATTTTTTTGTATTGTTTAGTAGAGATGGGGATTTCACCATGTAGGCCAGGCTGGTCTCGACTCCTGACCTCAGGTGATCTGCTCACCTCGGCCTCCCAAGGTGCTGGGATTAAAGGCGTAAGCCACCATGCCCAGCCTAAATTTCTTAAATTTTTATTTTTGCAAAAATGATATCTTACTATACTTACTGCTGTGTAGTTTGCTTTTTTTACTTGTAACTTGGCCATCTTCCCACGTTAGTACACATAGATCTGCCTCATCTTTAAAAACAGCTACGTTTAGGCCAGGCGCAGTGACTCACGCCTATAATCCCAGCACTTTGGGAGGCCGAGGTGGGCGGATCACCTGAGGTTGGGAATTCGAGACCAGCCTGACCAACATGGAGAAACCCCATCTCTACTGAAAATACAAAAAAATTAGCTGGATGTGGTGGCGCATGCCTGTAATCCCAGCTACTCAGGGGGCTGAGGCAGGAGAATTGCTTGAACCTGGGAGGCAGAGGTTGTGGTGAGCCGAGATGGTGCCATTGCACTCCAGCCTGGGCAACAAGAGCGAAACGAAAACAAAAACAAACCAGCTACATTTAGTCATTCACTTACTGAATAACTACTGAGCAACTATTCTGCACCCACTGCATCCTGGCCACTAGGGGGCAGCAATGTAATGAGCAGAGGTGCTCCTTGTCCCCTCCTTCCCGCCCCCCGCCCCAACTGCTGATGTTCTAGTGGGGGAAACTGACAGCGTATGATATATTAATATCGTGTTAGGTGAAGCAAGGTAAGGAGATAAAAGTGTCTGGTGCGTGGATGCTGTTTTAGACAAGGTGGTTGGATAACGTTTGAGAAGAGACCTAAAAGGGGTGGGGAATACAGTCCTGAGAAGAGCCACCAGGGAGGGTTTTATGAGGGCAGAAGTTTGACTATTTTCCTTACTTCTGCATCCCCAGCGCCTAGAACCATCTGACACCCAGCTGGTGCGCAGCAAATAATTGCCAAGTGAAAGGATGGATCTGGGGAAGAGTGTTTTCCAAGTAGAGAGCCCATATGTATAAAGACTTGAGGGGAAAAGTGTGGTTGAGGGGAAAAAGTGAGGGGCAGAGAGATCCGAGAGCAGGGCCCACATCCCAGGGCCTCACAGTCACTGCTAAGGAGTGTGGCTGTTATTTTTTATTATTATTTTTTAGTTTTTGAAACAGGGTCTTGCTCTGTCACCGAGGCTGGAGTGCAGTGGTGCAATGCAGTGGTGCCATCTTGGCTCACTGCAACCTCAACCTCCCAGGCTCAAGCAATCCTCCCACCTCAGCTTTCCCAGTAGCTGGGATTACAGGCACGCTCCATCACGCCTGGCTGGTTTTTGTATTTTTGTAGAGGCAGAGTTTTGCCATGTTGGCCAGGCTGGTCTTGAACTCCTCGGCTCAAGCAATCTACCTGCCTCGACCTCCTGAAGTGCTGAGATTACAGGTGTAAGCCACCATGCCTGGCCTTGGCTGTTATTTTTATCGTGCTGCAGAGCCACTGGAAGGTTTTAAGCAAGGAATGTGCCATGATATTTTATTTTATTTTGAGACAGAGTCTCACTGTGTAGCCCAGGCTGGAGTGCAGTGGCACGACCACGGCTCACTGCGACCTCCACCTCCTGGGTTCAAACAATTCCTGTGCCTCAGCCACCCAAATAGCTGGAATTACAGGCGCACACCACCATGCCTGGCTAATTTTTATATTTTTAATAGAGACGGCGTTTTGCCTTGTTTCCATGCTGGTCTTGAACTCCTTGCCTCAAATGATCCATCTCCCTTGGCCCCCCAAAAGTGCTGGGATTACAAGCATTAGCCACCGTGCCCAGCCTGATCAATTTTTTTTCTCTTTTTTACTGAGGTGAAATTTATGTCACATAAAAATAACCACTTTAAGGAGTGCAATTCAGTGGCATTTAGTACATTCACAGTGTTGTGTAATCACTATTGCTATCTAGCTCCAAAACGTTTTCATAACCTCCCATAAAACTCATACCCATTAAGCAGTCGCTCCCCACTCCCTCCCCGCTACCCCAACCCCTGGCAACCACCCATCTTTCTGTCTCCATGGGTTTACCTATTGCAAATATTTCACATAAATGGAATCATCCAATATGCGGTCTTTGTGTATGGCTTCTTTCACTTTGCATGATGTTTCCAACTTTTCAAAGTTCATCCACATCATGGCATATACCAGTACTGCATTCCGTTTTTTTTTTTTTTTTTTTTTTGAGACGGAGTCTTGCTTTCTCGCCCAGGCTGGAGTGCAGTGGCATGATCTCGGTTCACTGCAGCCTCCACCTCATGAGTTCAAGCAGTTCTCCTGCCTCAGCCTCCTGAGTAACTGGGACTACGGGCACACGCCACCACACCCGGCTAATTTTTGTATTTTTAGTAGAGACAGGCTTTCACCATGTTGGCCAGGATGGTCTTGATCTCCTGACCACGTGATCCACCCGCTTCAGCCTCCCAGAGTGCTGGGATTACAGGCGTGAGCCACTGCGCCTGGCCTGCATTCCTTTTTATGGCTGAATAATATTCCATTGTATGCATAGGCCAGCAGGATCTAATTTTTAAATCATTTAAAAATGATTGCACTGGCTGCTGTCTTGAGGAACACCTTAGTGGGACAAGAGTAGAAACTGAATGGTCCATTTAGGAGGCTGTTGGAGGGTGTGGATGAGAGAAGATGTTGCCTTGGTTTGAGTGGCAGCTGTGTCAGGTGTGCAGCCAGCTTGGATGTGCATAAGAGGAAGAGAGGAATCGGGGTGACTATGGGGTTTGGCCAGGGCAGCTGGCGAATGGCGAGGCCAGTTTCCACTATAAGGAGGACATGGGAGGAGCAGTTTGCTGGGGCCGGGAAACAAGAGTTTTCTCTGGTCACGGATCATTTGAGATGCCTGCTTAAAATTCAAGTGAGGATATAAGGATTCCATTGTGTGGCTCAGCATGAATTATTTACCATATCCCCTATTGATGGCTATTTGGATGGCTTCCAGCTTTGCTAGCATAGCCAGTGTCATGATAAACTTGGCCTGTGGATTTGTGGGAGTGTTCCTGAGGGATACATTCCAAGAAGTGAAAGTGCTGGGTCAAAGGGTATAAATTTTTTCTAAGTGTATACTGCCAAATGGCTGTTCAAAAAGGCTTCGCCAATTTATATTCCTACCAAAGTGCATGAGAATGTGAAATTTCCCATACTCTTGCCAACAGTCAGTGTTACCAATCTCTAAAATAAAATCTTTGCCCATCTCAAAGGCCAAATATAATATCATTGTTTTAACCTAAACAGAATGTTACTTGGCTGCATAGTAGTAATTCCATGTGGATGTACCATAATTTATTTAGCCATTTTTCATAACTAGTTGTTTCCAGGTGTTTTTATTGTTTGTGCTCTTATAAATAATCATTAACAAACATCTTTTTTTTATTTTTGAGATTGGCGTCTCACTTAGTTGCCTAGGTTGGAGTGCTGTGGTGCCATCACAGCTCACTGCAGCCTCAACCTCCCCAGGCTCAGGTGCTCCTTCCACCTCAGCCTCCTGAGTAGCTGGGACTACAGGTGTGCACCACCATGCCTGGCTAATTGTTTTGTATTTTGTTGCCCAGGCTGGTCTTGAGTCCCTGGGCTCAAGTGGTTCACCCATTTTGGCCTCCCAAAGTGTTACGATTACAGGCATGGGTTGTTGCACCTGGCCAACAAGCATCTTTATGCACAAAAGCTTTGCCTGCATTGCAGCCTATTTTCTTAGGATTGGTTCTCTGAACAGAATAACTGGGTGGAAGAAGAATACCCTTTTTGTGGCTTTCGTGATATTTTGTTGAATTATTTTCCAGAAAGACTACAACAGTTTCTATATAGGCTCCTTCTCAGCATTGAGTGTTTTTATCGGCTTTTAGCTACTTAGACAACTCCCTGTCATTTTCATGGATGGCATATCATTTTGATTTTTCCTGCTTTGACTGGTAGACCACACAGTGGGACTTATGTGGTCAAGTGATTGGTGGAATCTGAGCCCAGGTTAACTCAGAAGGGGCCTGATGGGGCCATGGTCCCACCCTGTGTTTTCCCAGTTCTTGGTTGTATAACTGGAATAGACACACATGGTAGCTGGCAGAATCCCACGTTGGCGCACTGACCCATGGAGTCAGGGCCATTATGGTAGAAAGAGCCACGTGGAAGCTCCTAGAACTCCCTGTCTTTCCCAGAATAGTAATTCAAAAGCAATTCTCTATCCTTTGTGCAAATTGTGGAAATTAGTGTCACCATTAACGGCTTGGAAGAAGCAGGGGTAGTGATCCCATCTACATTCAGCTGGCCTGTTTGGCCTGTACAGAAGGCAGATGGATTTTGGAAGAATGACTTTGGATTATTGTCAACGTGATCAGGGGTGACTCCAATTGCAGTTGCTGTCCCAAATGAAGTTTCTCTATTGGAGCAAGTCAGCACAGCCCTTGGCAGCTGGTGTGAGCTACTAACCTGGCAGATGCTTTTTTCTCCATACCAATTTCCAAGGGCTACCAGAAGGCAAGGTTCACATCTTCACAGTCTTGCTCAGTGTGACATCAACTTTCCCACTTTCTGTCCTGATTTAGGCTGCAAAGAACTTGAACTCTACAGTCCACATAGCCTCACACTGGTCCCCTACATTGACAACAGTATGCTGATCAGATCTGATGAGCAGGAAGTAGTTGAGTCAGTGCAGTTGGCATTAAACCTGGCAGATGGCAGTCTGGCAGGGTCCAGTCTGGCAGGGTCCAGTCTGGATACAAAACAGCGCCGGTTGCCAGATGCAGTGGCTAATGCCTGTAATCCCAGCACTTTGGAAGGCTAAGGCAGGAGGATTGCTTGAGCTCAGGAGTTCAAGACCAGCCTCAGCAACATAGCAGGACCTTGTCTCTACTAAACATTAAAAAAAAAAAAAATTAGCTGGGCATGGCACATGCCTATAGTCACAGTTACTCGGAAGGCTGAGGTGGGAGGATCACTTGAGCCTGGGAGTTCGAGACTACAGTGAGCTATGATCACGCTGCTGGACTCCAGCCTGGGTGACAGGGCAAGACCCTGTCTGAAAAACAAAAACAAAACCCTGGCTGGGCACGGTGGCTCGCGCCTCTAATACCAGCACTTTGGGAGGCTGAGGTGGGTGGATCACCTGGCCAACACAGTGAAACCCCATCTCTACTAAAAATACAAAAATTAGCCAGACTCAGCGGCACGCACCTTTAATCCCAGCTACTCAGGAAGCTGAGGCACAAGAATCGCTTGAACCCAGGAGGCAGAGGTTGCAGTGAGCCAAGATCGTGCCACTGCACTCCAGCCTGGGCGACAGCGAGACTCTGTCACAAAAACAAAAACAAAAATAAAAACAAAACAAAACCCAGCTCCATTTACTTGAATAGAATCATATCAGTTATTTGAATAGAGAGTATTTAGTATAAAGAATTGTTAACTAAATGTAAAGTTGTTAACCAGCTAACTTAAGGGGTAAAAAGAAAACTAAGAGGTCATGGCAGTAGCAACGGCAGAAAGCAGCTACCACACTTAGTCCTTAAGGGACAAGTAGAAGAGTTTGAAAGATGAAAACTTAGAAGCTTAGAGGAGGGCCCCACAGAGCTGAGACAGACTGCTGAGGAGGGGGTGCTGTTTGGTTGATGATGTGACATTTGGTGGACTTTTTGGATTTTGGTGGCAACTCATACCACATTGGGATGTGCTACTTCAATCCATTTACTTTCCCTACAGCCCGTAAGGCTTTTTTCATCTGGAGTGAGGTCCAGAGCATCAAAGACTCTGCAGCCAGTCCAGGCTGCATGCGAGCTGATCTGCCACCTGGGCCAGATGTAACCAGCAGATCGGGAGATTCATTCGCAAAGTATTGATGGCAAATAGGAATGCTGTATGGAGCCTTGAGCAAGCACCAGTGGCTAGCTCATGGTGCAGACCTCTAGGGTTTTTTTGTTTGTTTTGAGACGAAGTCTCACTCTTGTCCCCCAGGCTGGAGTGCAGTGGCGCGATCTCGGCTCACTGCAACCTCAGCCTCCCAAGTAGCTGGGATTACACAGGCGCCTGCCACCAAGCCTGGCTAATTTTTGTATTTTTAGTAGAGACGGGGTTTCACCATGTTGGCTAGGCTGGTCTCAAACACCTATGCTCAGTTAATTCTTAAAAGTTTTTGTAGCAGCCAGGCTCGGTGGCTCACGCCTGTAATCCCAGCACTGTGGGAGGCTGAGGAGGGCGGATCACGAGGTCAAGAGATCGAGACCATCCTGGCCAACATGGTGAAACGCCGTCTCTACTAAAAATACAAAAATTAGCTGGGCATGGTGGCACACGCCTGTAGTTCCAGCTACTTGGAAGGGTGAGGCAGGAGAATTGCTTGAACCCAGGAGGCGGAGGTTGCAGTGAGCTGAGATTGCGCCACTGCACTCTAGCCCAGCTACAGAGCAAGACTCTGTCTCAAAAAAAAAATTTTTTTTTGTAGAGATGGGGTCTCACTGTGTTGCCCAGGCTAGTCTTGAATTCCTGGGCTCAAGCAATCCTCCTTCTTTGGCTTCTCAAAGTGCTGAGATTATAGACATGGGCCACTGCACTGACCTAGCCAGCTTTTTCTGGCCAAGAGTGTAAGTATTTTCAGCTTTAAGGCCTTACTGTCATAACTCCTTAGCTCTTCTGTTGTATGGAAAGTAGTCATGGACAATATAGTGGGCATCACTGTGTTCCAATAAAACTTTATGTACAAAGGCAGGCAGATGGGCTGGACTTGGCCCAAGGGCCATAGCTTTCCCACCCCTCACTCTCAGGTGTCATGGAGGTATCATGGCAGGAAGTGGCCACATCCCTAGTTCTGAAGGAAGAAAGGGAAGAGCTGAAACTCTTGGAAACTTAGAGGAAGGGCTCTGTGGAGCTGAAAGTCAGACCCTGGGGAGAGGTGCTTACAGCTGGTGCTGGGTTCTGGAGAGAGGCTGGATGAGATGGGTTTGTAGATATTGGGAAGCTGCACACCGGATTCATCTGCTGCCAGGAGAAGAAACGATGCTGCCAGGAGGGGCAGAAGGTGGCTGGGGTGGGAGAGGAGACAGGAAGGAGCAATCCCTCTTCCCTCCTCAGTCTGGCAACCTCCCGCTAGCGCCCCCTATTGGCAGAGCCTGGCAGGGCGCAGCAGGCAAAGCAGGAATATGGTTTACACAGAACAGGGTATACAGGATGGGTTGGGAGCTGAGGGACTATCACAAGTGCTTTGATTGGCTTTGGGCATTTAGATGACACCCCCCCCCCATCATTACAGGTGACTTGTCATTCAAATTCTTCCTGATTTCATTTCAGAGATTAAATAACTGTGAGGGGGCCCGTCAGGGTAGGGGCTAGAGGGTATATGTCAGGGTGGGGAAGTCATCTCTAAGGAATAGGTCTTTTACCATGCATGGTGGCTTACGCCTGTAATCCTAGCACTTTGGGAAGCCAAGGTGGGAGGATTGCTTGAGCCAAGGAGTTCAAGACCAGCCTGGGCAACATAGTAAGACCCCCGTCTCTACAAAAAATGAAAAAATTAGCCAGGCGAGGTGGCACACACCTATAGTCCCAGCTACTCAGGAGGTTGAGGTATAGGAGAATCGCTTGAGCCCAAGAGTTTGAGGCTGCAGTGAGCCATTTTCACACCACTAAACTCCAGCCTGGGTGACAGAGCAAAACCCTGTCTCAAAAACAAAAACAAATAAATAAGCCTTTCTTTTAGAAATGAAAAGTGAGTAGGAGGAGGGAAGGGGGCTCCAAAGGCTCTGGGAGGAGCCTAGGAAGAACTTGCAGCATTTAGGATCCTTCCATCACACCTTCAGATGAGACCCAAATCTCACTGTCTCTCTCCACCACCAGTGCTGCCACTCAGTCCTGCCCCCAGCACTGTGATGGGCATCTGCAGTTGGCTCCCTGGTTCCCACATCCACTCTTGTGCCTGTGGTCTGATAATGTCACCCTCTGTTCACACCTTCCTATATGACATCCTCATGCAATGTCCTCCATTGCCCAAGGTGCAGAATCCAGTTACCTTACTGTGGCCCGCAAGGCCCTGCCAGGCTCTTGGCCCCACTCTGCTGCCTTCCCAGGCCCTCCTATTCTGCTCCAGCCTTGCTGGATGCTGCAAGTCTCTTCCCACCTTAGGGACTGAACCCGCTGATCACTCAGCCTGGAACCTTCCCCCTAGGTCTTCTCCTGCCTTTTCTGTACTTCCTTCATGTTGCTATTCAAATAAGACCCCCCTTGCAACAGTGGGGAGCAGATCCAAAACAGCATCTCCCTCGAGTCTCTCTCTTGCTGCCTGCTTGATTTTTCATCACAGCACTTGTCACTACCTGACGTTGTATGTTTCTATTCACCGCCGTATCCCCAAAGCTAGAATTGTGCTGGGCTAGTGGAGGGCGCTATACAAATATTTGTCAGGCAGGTAAATAAATGAAAGAATGAACAAATGGAAAGGGCAGTGTGGCTGCAATGTGGGACACAGGGCAAGATGGTAGGGGATGAGGCTGTGGGGGTTGGATGGTGCGGGACGTTTTGGGGCCAGGTGTAAGACAGAGTCTCATAAGGGGAACAGGCATGGCACATAGTCTTATTGAGGTGATAGGTGTAGTTAGGGCCTCATTGGGTCGGGTGAGGCATTTGGATGACAGTTTAAGAACAAGGTGGCTGGGTGCAGTGGCTCATGTCTGTAATCCCAGCACTTTGGGAGGCTGAGGCAGGTGGATCACCTGAGGTCAGGAGTTCAAGACCAGCCTGGGCAACATGGCGAAACCCCTTCTCTACTAAAATACAAAAATTAGCTGGGCATGGTGGCATTCACCTGTAATCCCAGCTACTCGGGAGGCTGAGGCAGGATAATTGCTTGAGCCCGGGAGGTGGAGGTTGCACTGAGCCATGATTGCACCACTGCACTCCAGCCTGGGTGACAAGTGAGACTCCGTCTCCAAAAATAATGATAATAATAATAATAATAAATAGGGCCGGGTGCGGTGGCTCATGCCTGTAATCCCAGCACTTTGGGAGGCTGAGGCAGGCGGATTACCTGAGGTCAGGAGTTCGAGATTAACCTGGCCAACGTGGTGAAACCCCATCTCTACTAAAAAAATATTAGACAGGTGTGGTGGCATCTGCCTGTAGTCCCAGCTACTCGGGAGACTGAGGCAGGAGAATTGCTGAAACCCAGGAGGCAGAGGTTGAGCTACAGAGCAAGACTTGGTCTAAAAAATAATAATAATAATAAAAAGAACAAGGCGCTGTGTCTCATGCCTGTAATCCAAGCACTTTGGGAGGCTGAGGCAGGAGGATCACTTGAGCCCAGCAGTTCGAGACCAGCCTGGGGAACATAGCCAGACCCTGGTCTTTCTAAGAAATAAACAAAATTAGTCAGGCGTAGTGGCTCGCACCTGTGGTCCCAGCTACTCAGGAGGCTGAGGTGGGAGGATCACTTGAGGAGTTCAAGGCTGCAGTGACTTATGATTGCACCACTGTGTTCCAGCCTAGTTAACAAAGCAAGACACTGTCTCTAAAAAGAAAAATACAAACAAGCAGAGTCATTGCAGAATTTATTTATTTATTTTTAGTTTTAGTAGAGATGGGGTCTTGCTACATTACCCTGGCTGATCTTGAACTTTTGGCTCAAGCAATCCTCCTGACGGCCTCTCAAAGTGCTGGGTTAACAGGCATAAGCCACTGTGCCCAGCCCGTTGCAGAATCTAAGCAGGAAAATACTGTGACCAGACTGTCATATGTTGGTATCTCTGGGGCTGCAGGCTGTGTGTCCTGGGAGGCAGAGACCAGCTATTCAGTCAGAGATGGTGGCCTGGGCGGGTGTGGGCAGTGGAGGCAGAGGGCAGTGACTCCGTTCCGGAGGTGTTTAGGGGTCAAAATCAGGAGGCTTGAGGATGGATGCAGTGAGGGGTGAGGGAGAGGCTGTGTACAGGACAACCCCCATGTTTCTGTCTGGGATGGTGCTGGCTGGAAGACTGGATGTGGAGCAGTGTCAGGGAGAGGTGGAGGCTGCTGCCGCCGCCATATTGGCCAGAGGTTCAAGGACTCACTGACTCCTCCCATCAGTCAGCCCTCATTTCTTGAACTCCCTGGGATCCAGGGAGGAGTCACTCACCTGGGCCAGACCTCAGACACCCCCAGCCATGGAGCGACCAGGGCAGCAGGCAGATAAAGCCCCTAGGAGGGGAGTGGTTCCGAATCCAAGGGTCAACTGTGGCAAGAGGCTTAGTCTCTGTGCCTCAGTTTCCTCATGCGTAGAATGGTAGAAATGGAGGTCCCTCTGCATTGGGTTGCTCTGGGGACCAGTCTACTCTGGGGAAAACCCTGGGACAGTGGCTGCATGGGGTAAGTGCTGTGTGCATGCAAGCGTCTGACTGCGTGAGGTTTCATTGTGGCACCAGGGAAGAAGAGGTCTCTGCATCTGGGAGGGCCCCAGAGGAAGCAGCAACATTCCTGGGTTTCAGCGGAGGAGGATGGGACATGAGACACAGCAGATCCTGCTCTAAGCTGGCCCCTGAGCAGTGCCAGAAACACATGACATGTCCAGCTGGCCTTGCTTCTGAAACGCCTGTGGTTTAGCAGCAGAGGCAGAGAAGAGACAGATATTTTCCAAATTGAGCAAGTTGTTGAGATCAAGTGGTGTCCAGGGAGTGGGGGTCCATGAATGGCTTCCCAGAGGAGTGAAGGTGTGAGGAGCCCTGGAGGGATGGATGGGATCCAGCTCTACAGAGTGGACAGGCGCCTCAGGCGTAGCCAGAAAGAAGCTGGCACGAGAGAGAGGGGTGGCGAGTGGCCCAGGAATGCGGTGGGGGAGCCGTCGGCTGCCTGGAATGCCAGTCAGAGAGGCTGTACTCGGTCAAACCCGAGCAGGATCTGTTGGGAACCTGCTCTCTGCGGGCTCTGGGCTGCCTCACTGAGCCAGACAGGCAAGGAACCTGTATGGAGTGAAGACAGCCTATTACCAAGCACCTGAGTAAGGCCATCTCCAGTCGTGCTAAGAACAGGACAATGAGGCCAGGCGCGGTGGCTCACGCCTGTAATCCCAACACTTTGGGAGGCTGAGGTGGGCAGGTCACCTGAGGTCAGGAGTTCAAGACCAGCCTAACCAATATGGTGAAACCCCGTCTCTACAAAAAATACAAAAATCAGCCGGGCATGGTGGCATGCCCCTGTAATCCCAGCTACTCGGGAGGCTGAGGCAGGAGAATTGCTTGAACCCAGGAGGCAGAAGTTGCAGTGACCTGAGATTGCACCAGTGCACTCCAGCCTGGGTGACAGAGTGAGACTCCATCTCAAAAAAAAAAAAAAAAGGGCCAATGGGGAATGTGAGAGAGACCCTAGAGTGGGAGTGAGGTGGGGTCTGGAGGCTGCTTTGGGGAGGGCTGAAGGGGTGGGTGTGATGGGAGCCTGGAACGGGGAAGAAGAGCTTGGGGGAGAGCATGTGCAAAGGCTCTGAGGCGGGCATGAGCCTGCTGCATTGAGGAAAGAACGGGCCATCATGGCTGGAGCACAGCTGGCAAGACAGAAGATATGAGGGGAGGCTGGCAGGGCAGCTGAGCCCTAGGTCGCCAGGGCCTCTTGGCCATGAGAAGGTTTTGTCTTAAGTGCTGGGGGAAGCCATGGCAGGTTTTAAACAGGAGACTGTCCTCTTGGCTTATATGTGAGGAATGGACTGGGAGGTTATGAGTGGCGGCAGGGGGCGCCGATGAGGCGGCCAGTGCTGTAGTCAGGAGTGAGATACCAGTGGCCCAGGCCCGGGTGGTGGAGTTGTAGAGAAATGGACAGATCTGAGGAGTGTTTCGGGAGCAGAGCCCCTGTCCTTGCCCAGCCCAGCAAGAGGCAGGTGTCTGGCCCGAGGCATGGCCCCAGGAATGAGTGAGGAGAAGGCCAGTGTGGGAACAAAGGATGGGGGCCCTTAGGCTTTCAGGAGGAAGTGGGGTCTTGAGCTCCTGGCCCCAGGACTGGAGCCCACCTGAAAGGCCATTGCTTCCTCCTCTCTGAAATGAGGATGTGGCCACCATGCAGGGCCTTGCTAGGACAGACCCCCAGTGGGTGCTTAAAATAATTGGAGTCCTATATTAGCTGTGATGATTTCCACGACAATTCACGTATTAGTCATAAAAGTGGCAAGTGTACAACAAAGGGGATGGAAGCTCCCTATGCTCAACACCCAGGAATTCCCAGAGAGATTCTCCGAATCCACATTCTGGGCCCCTGCCACACTGCCGCCTCTGGATGATGCTTCAGGGCTGTGCTGTCTCACTCTGCTCCTCGGTTTTATCGAGGCTGGTGCCATCTCTCCCGTACCCGGCTTTAGCTGTTTAGCCTGCGCCATCTCCCTCTCTGCTTGGGGTCATCTTTGGGGTCTGTGTCCTTTCTCCCCGACCCTGGATTTCACAGTGGGCCTGTCTGCTCTCTCTTTGACCGTGGATTTTGTTTTCAGCCTGTGCCACCTCTCTCTACCTGGTGGTTATCATTTGTGCCTGTGCCATCTCTCACCAACCTTGGGTTTGTATCTGGGTCCTGTGCCATCTATTTCTGATTCCAGCTGAAGTTTTGGGCCTGGGCCATCCCTCCTTCATCCAGGGTTGTGCTTTGGTACCAGTGTCGTCTCCTGACCAGGATGCTGTTTGGGGCTTGTGCCCTATCTCCCTGACTATACACTGGGCCGGGGCCTGGGTTATGTCTCCACTGGCTGTGGGCACATGCTGACCTGCACCCTTCCTCCCCACCCGGGGTCATTTCTGGGCCCTGCCTCCTCTCTCCCTGCTCTGTGTTCTGTCCGGGCCTGTATTATCTCGAGTGCTGTCAGTCTCAGCCCCTTCAGGACCTTGGCTCTTTTATGGCCCTAGGGAGAAGTTGCTGCTTGAATTGGAGTTTGGGGAACCCCTCCATCCCCAGCCCTTGATGCTGGGACACAGTTGAGGCCTAGGGGACGGAGTCAGTGTGTCTGGAGACGTGAGATGATGAGGATGGACATGCGATGAGGGTCCGATTTCAGGCCCAAGGTGGGCTCCTGGAGTCAGTCCATGCTCCTGGCCCCTCCCCCTCCCTACCTCTCTCTCTCTCGCCTCCCTCAGTTGCTCACTCTCCGTGCATTTCTCTCTAACTGTCCACTTCTGTCTTCCCCTCTGTCCCCCTCCACCCCTGCCCGGCTTCCCCTCCAGCAGAAGGCAGACCTGGCTGTGGCCGCCTTCACCATCACAGCTGAGCGGGAGAAGGTCATCGACTTTTCCAAGCCCTTTATGACCCTGGGGATCAGCATCCTCTACCGAGTGCACATGGTATGGTTCCCCTGGAGACCATGGGCTGCTTGCCTGGCATGGAGGCTCAGGGCCTGCGAGTGGGAGCCAGACAGCCCCAGGACCTCAGATGGGCCGGTCAGGCTCCCAGGTCCCTGGTAGGGCAGGGGCTGGGTGTGAGGCTCAGGCCAGGGGTGTCTCCGGGTCTCACTCCCTCTCCCCACAGGGCCGCAAGCCTGGCTACTTCTCCTTCCTGGACCCCTTCTCCCCTGCTGTGTGGCTCTTCATGCTTCTTGCCTACCTGGCTGTCAGCTGCGTCCTGTTTCTGGCTGCCAGGTGAGTCCACTGCCTACTGGGAAGGAAGGGGCTGGAGGAGGCACGAGCCGAGGCCTCTGGGACCGACCTGCCTCTTCTCTCTCGGAACTGTCCTTGGCCTCCCCTTTGGGGCCTCGGATTCCCTGTGCCCTCCTTTCTCAGTTTTGTGCCCTGTGTCTGAGTCTCATTCTTCCCCTTGTGGCTCTGACTGTGCTCTGTGGTTCTCTGTTCAGGTCTCTCCCCTTCCCGCCTCTCCCTTTTTTGCCTCCTCCCTTCTCTATTTCTCTCTGAGTATCTCTGTGTCTCTCTCTGCCTCTTCTGTCTCCATCTCTGTGCATCTCTCTCTGCCTTTTCTCTGTGTGCTTCTGTCCATCTTGCTCCTTTTTCCATCTCTCCCCCTTTCTTCTGATCACTGTGACTTTCCTTTGCTTCTTTCCTTTTCCTCCCCACCTGGGCTCTGGGCCCCATCCACACGCTGCACGTCTCTCCACAGGCTGAGCCCCTATGAGTGGTATAACCCACACCCATGCCTGCGGGCACGCCCCCACATCCTGGAGAACCAGTACACGCTGGGCAACAGCCTGTGGTTTCCCGTGGGGGGCTTCATGCAGCAGGGCTCGGAGATCATGCCCCGGGCGCTGTCCACGCGCTGTGTCAGCGGAGTCTGGTGAGAAGCTTTCTATCTGCCTCTGCCCGGGGCGAGGGAGGGACCCATCTGAGGCCTGGATGGGGTTGGGGCTGTGGCATCTCCTGGAAGATTTGATTCCCCGTTTTCCCTTGCAGAGCTGTGTGACGAGGAATGGGGTGGGGAGAGCTGAGCTCCAGCTCTGCCGCTTACTGGCTATGTGAGCTTGGCCAGACCGCAACCCTCCCTTTGCCTCAGTGACCTCCCTGAAAGATGGGGAGAAAGATGCCCATGTCTCAGGGTTGTGAGGATTCAGTGAGGCTGCTAAGGAATAAAAGAATGGCTACTCCAATTGCTTGAACTCAGGAGGCGGAGGTTGTAGTGAGCTGAGAACTCCCCACTGCACTCCAGCCTGGGCAACAGAGCAAGACTCTGTCTCAATAAATAAATAAATAAAAGAATGACTACTCCAAAGACAGAGCAGCCCTGAGGGCTGCTGGTTGCCCATTTTTATGGTTATTTCTTGATGACATGCTAAACAAGGGGTGGATTATTCATGCCTCCCCCTTTTAGACCATATAGGTTAACTTCCTGACGTTGCCATGGCATTTGTAAACTGTCATGGCGCTGGTGGGAGTGTAGCAGTGAGGATGACTGGAGGTCACTCTTGTGGCCGTCTTAGTTTTGGTGGGTTTTAGCTGGCTTCTTTACTGCAACCCCTTTTATCAGCAAGGTCTTTATGACCTGTATCTTGTGCCAACCTCCTATCTCATCCTGTGACTTAGAATGCCTTAAACGTCTGGGAATGCAGCCCAGTAGGTTTCAGCCTCATTTTACCCAGCTCCTATTCAAGATGGAGTTGCTCTGGTTCACACGCCTCTAACAATTTCACAGATGCCTGTTGAGCCTGTCCATGTGCCAGGCACTCAGGTGAGGAATCAGCCCCATTCCTGTCCTGGAGAGGCAGAGGAGCTGAGAATAAACAAGTAAACAGATAAATCAACACTGGACATCCTATTTTATTCAAAGAATAGGTCCCAAAGATATTATTTAATTTGTGCCTTTTTCAAGTCAAGACTAACCTTAATAGGTGGCAGGTTTTTCCCTTCTCCTAACTAAGTAGAACTAACTGTGGTATGGCAGGCATTAGCAATTCACTTGGTCCACTGGCTTGGACACTTGCGAGTCTTGATGGCTTTTTTAAATGGTTTTGGATGGGTATCATTTCAAATTATAACCCTGTAGAGGATTGTTTGAGCCTGGGATGTTGAGGCTACAGTGAGCTGTGATCGTGCCACGGCACTCCAGCCTGGATGACAGAGTGAGACTGTCTCAAATGAAAAAAAAAAAAAAAACCCCCAAAAAAACCCAATGAAAGCTCTGTTTGTTTCCTATTGCTACTGCAAAAAGTTACCACAAATTTGGTAGCTTAAAACAATACACATTATCCTATAGTTCTGGAGGTCAGAAGTCTGAAATAGATCTCAATGGCGTAAAATCAAGTTCCTGGCAGGGCTAGTTCCTTCTGGAGGCTCCAGGGGGAGAATCTGTTTCCTTACCTTTTCCAGCATTTAGAAGCCACTTGCATTCCTTGGTTTGTGGCCCCTTCCTCCATCTTCAGAACCAGCAGCATAGGATCCACAAATCTCTCTCTCTAACTTCCTTCTTCCACTCCTAAGGACCCTTGTGATTCCTTTGGGCCTTCCTGGATAATCCAGAGTAATCCCCCCATATCCAGATCCTTAACTTAATCACAGCTGCAAAGTCTCTTTTGCTGAGTAAGGTCACATCTTCATGTGTTCTGGGGATTAGGATAGAGACTTCTTTGGTGCTGGTGGGCGGGGCCTATTCTGCCGGCCACACAGTCCAAGTGAAATGTACTAATATTTTCCATATAATGATGTTGCAGATGCACATAAAATGTGCTATTGAGGAACCAAACAGGATACAGTAAGAGAACAGTAGAGCATGGGGGCAGTCAGAGAAGGGTCCCCTGAGGAGGTGAACTGGGTTGAGTCCTAAAGGCAGAAACAGAGTCGTCCATGCCAAGGAGAGGGAGGAGCATTTTAGACAGAGGGAGAGGGCCAGGTGTGTGAGGTGCTGGGAGGGCGCCTAGGAGACCTGCCATGACAAATCTAGTGGCGTCCTCACAGGAGGGTTGGGGGAGACCAGTGCCCTCATCTCTGCTGGCCACTGTTTCTGCCGCCCAGCCAGGGGCCCTCTTCCTGAGAGTCACACTCTCTAGCCAGCTGTTTTCTGCCCCTTCCCATCGCTGTCACCCAGACAGCCCCCACTCATGTTCCCTCCCTCATCGGAGCCTTTGGCCCTGGGGCCCACTCTCTTCTGCACCCAAAGTCCTCCCACACATTCACTCATTCAGCAGATGTTTGAGAATCTTCAGATGTGACTTAGCACCATGATTCAGCAGGCCAGTCCCCGCCCTCGTGGGACTCAGGGTCCAGTGTAGGGGGTGAGATTTGGTGCCATCACCCTCGAGGACTTGCCTGGTAGCTGATCTGCAGCAGCCTGGCCACAGCCCACTACCTGGGCCCCTCCTCTCCAGGGCCCCCTCAGCCCACAGCCTCCTGCAGCCACACCTGAGGGCTTGTCACTATTCAGGACAGCTCTGCCTCAGGAGTTAACGTTTCTTTTCCTCCCCCCCCCCCCCCCCCCCGCTTTTTTTTGAGACAGAGTCTTGCTTTGTTGCTCAGGCTGGAGTGCTGTGGCACGATCTCAGCTCACTGCAATCTCCACCTCCCGGGATCAAGTGATTCTCCTGCCACAGCCTCCCAAGTAGCTGGGATTACAGGCGTGCACCACCTTGCTTCACTAATTTTTGTATTTTTAGTAAAGATGGGGTGTTGCCGTGTTGGCCAGGATGATCTCTAACTCCTGACCTTAAGTGATCCACTCACCTGGGTCGGCCTCCCAAAGTGCTGGGATTACAGGTGTGAGCCACGGCACCTGGCTGAGAAGCAACATTTCTTTATTTCTTTTCTTTTCTTTTCTTTTTTTTTTTGAGACAGAGTCTCGCTCTGTCGCCCAGCGTGGAGTGTGGTGGTGCGATCCCGGCTCACTGCAAGCTCCACCTCCCGGGTCCACACCATTCTCCTGCCTCAGCTTCCCGAGTAGCTGGGACTACAGGCGCCCAACACCATGCCTGGCTGATTTTTTTTTTTTTTTTTTTTTTTTTAGTAGAGATGGGGTTTCACCATGTTAGCCAGGGTGGTCTCGATCTCCTGACTTCGTGATCCACCCGCCTTGGCCTCCCAAAGTGCAGGGATTACAGGCGTGAGCCACCACGCCCAGCCGGGAGTCAGTATTTCTAAGGTTTCACTCTGACCATGGCCCCCATCCCTCCCAACTCTCCCTTGGTCACTTGGTGCGATGAGTCCTCTGACCTCCCTGTTTCCATTCTCTGAGCCCTTCCTGCTTTCACTCGTCCATCTCCAGGTGGCTCCTAGGCTGTCTCTGCAGCCATTGTCCTCAACTTTTCCCTAGGTCCTCCTTTCCTCACGCCCTCCTGGCCAGAAAACCACAAAACCTCAGATCTAGCCAGTAGCTTGGCTTTGCCTGCCTTCCCCCAACCCCAGCTGCACCAGGCGCACATGCGACCCCTTATCCATGCCTCCAGCCTCTGTCTTACCTCCAGGCAGCATTCGCCCGGTTAGCCACCCTTCTAGAAACTCTCTTCTTGCTTCTAGGCTCTGTGTCCTCCTGGTTTCCTCCAACCTCTCTGGTCCTGTTTCATTTGCTGTGGGTTCCTTTTGCCTTTGCCACCCCTCAAATGGGGCTTCTCACTCACACTAGTGAGTTTTCAGTGCTTGCAGACCCAACACCCTCTTTTTATAACAAATATTTTTTAATACGTCCTTTTCCACACTGAGCTGAAATTCAAGGGTAATATATCTTCCTACACACATAATTTGTAAAAAATCAATTTAACGCCATAATTGCAATATGAAGGGGAAAAAGCAGGGAAGTGACTTCCAATAAAATAATATTATGGCAATACACAAATGCCTGGGTGTGGCTATGCCAGAAGACAGAATGCGACAGTCGGCGCCTGCTTAGAATGAGTAAGTGGCATGATGAGAAGTAAGATCATTTAACAGAATTATGTTGCCACTTGATATCTGACACATCGAAATAGTTGACAAATGAGTATGTTTGTGCAAATACAAGTCACTGTGAACGTGATGATTTGCTAATGCAGCTGGTGCAAGGGTCTTGACTTGGGTCTTGAGTTCGAGTGGAGTTGCTGTCAGAGACAGATGATTTCCCCCAACGGTGAGCAGCTCTCAGCAAAGTTCCAAACAAAACAACATCCAGTCATCCCTCGATTAAAACAAGAGGTGCATTTCTGGAGATTTTGGTTTATATTATAATCATGCAAAAAAAAAAAACTTGGGTTTTTAATGTACCAAGGAGTTAGGCTCAGATAATCACAGAACAGGTATTCCCCATTGTTCAGACCAGGCCTCGAATTATCCGGCTGTCCTACGCTGAGCACCAGTGGCCCACACTTTACCAAACACCTCCCAGGGTGCCCTCCCTGCCAGAGACCACTGTTCCATACACCTTGTCAGGGGCCATCTCACCTGCTGCTGGACTTCCCATGCTATGCGCATACTAACACTTCCGAAGTCATCTCTAGACCCCTCCATGTGTCCAGCCCCCTGGGATTGCTCCTCTTGGGAGCTCAACAGGCATCTCCAAACTCACCTTGTGCAAAACAGAGCTCATGTCTTTACTCCCAAATCTGACTCCCAGTCTGTGTTCCCTCTGCTGCCTTAGTGAGTGGCCCCATCACCACCACCAGTCATCCACACTGTGTCCTCAGGGGCCAGAGGGTGCATGGTGTGTACCAGGCACTGAGTAATTTTTGTTGTTGTTGTTTTGTTTTTATTTTTTTATTTTTGAGATGGAGTTTTGCTCTTGTTGCCCAGGCTAGAGTGCAGTGGCACGATCTCGGCTCACTGCAACCTCCACCTTCCGGGTTCAAGCGATTCTCCTGGCTCAGCCTCCCGAGTAGCTGGGATTACAGGTGCCAGCCACCACGTCTGGCTAATTTTTTGTATTTTTAGTAGAGACGGGGTTTCATCATGTTGGCCAGGCTGGTCTTGAACTCCTGACCTCAGATGATCCACCCACCTCGGCCTTCCAAAGTGCTGGGATACAGGCGTGAGCCACTGTGCCTGGCCAAATAATTTTGTTTTGCATGAATGGCAGCATTGACCTGTAAGATGGGTTTGGAGAGACTTGGTTTCTGGAGAGGTTGAGTCAGTCCCTGGGTCTTTGTGTCTTGGGGTTTTGGTTTTATTTTTCAGGAGGCTGTTTAATTCATGTCTCTCTATCAAGCCCTCACTCCATCCCCATCCCAGTGCCTAGCATAGCTTTGCACATGTGTTCTGTGGAGGACATTGCTGTTTTCATTATTACGTGCTGGGAATGTGAGGGTGGGAGGTCTGGGAGGCCCTTTTCAGCATCTCCTCTGCCTTCAGGCCCCTCAGATCTATATGGTCTACAGGGACCCTGGCCATTCTTACTTGCCAGGAGGGAGGACAGAGGGGGCCACGGTAAGACAAGTGGTTGCTCTGGGGTCCTGCAGCCAGGCTGGTGGGAGCCTATTCTCCCGGGTCGGTCCTGTGTCACCAAGACAATGAGAGAAAACACTTGCATAGCACTTGCTGTGTGCCGGATGAACTCAGTCACTCTTCACAAAACCCAGTGAGGAAGGGCCTACAATTGTACTAACTTCACAGGTGAGGAAACTGCAGCACACTTCCAAGGTCACGCAGCAAGGCATTGATGGAGAAGACAGGATTTGGGGATTTTCCAGAGATCTTTCTATGATTGATTTCTAATTTAGCTCCATCGTGGTCAGAGAACATTCTCTAGAGGACTTTAATCCTTTTAAATTTATTGAGACTTGCTTTAGAGCTCAGCATATGGTCTGTCCTGGTAACTGTTCTATGTGGAGTTGCACTGAATGTGTTTCTGCTGTTGGTGGTGCAGTGTTCTATAAGGGTCCATTGGGGCCAGTAGGTTGATCATGTTATTCAAGTCTTCTCTATCCTTACTGATTTTCTACTTGTTCCATCAATTATTGAGAGGAGTTTTGAAATCTCACCCTGTAATTGCAGGAAATTTATCCGTTTCTCTTCAATTCTATCCATTTTTGCCTCATGCATGTTGAAGCTTTGTAATTAGGCGCACAAATGTTTAGGACTCTTATGTCCTCTAGGTGAATTGACCCATGTCATTATATAATGTCTCTCCTTATTCCTGGTAACATTCTGTGTTCTGAAGTTAACATTTTTTGATACTAATATAGGCACTCTGGCTTTCTGAGGCTTAATGTTTGCATAGCATATCTTTTCCCCATTCTTTTAGTCTCGGCCCATCTAGATTATTATATTTAAAGAGCATTCCTTTTCTTTTCTTTTAAATAGAGATAGGGTCTCACTTTGTTGCCCAGGCAGGTTTCCAACTCCTGGGCTCAAGTGATTCTCCCATCTTGGCCTCCCAAAGTGCTGGGATTACAGCTATGAGCCACCACACCTGACCAAGTGTGTGGTGAGTATTGGGGAGTGCAATGGTGTGATCTCAGCTCACTGCAACCTCCACCTCCTGGGTTCAGGTGGTTCTCCTGCCTCAGCCTCCCAAGCAGCTGGGACTACAGGTTCATGCCACCACACCCAGCTAATTTTTATATTTTTAGTAGAGGCAGGGTTTCACCATGTTGGCAAGGCTGGTCTCAAACTCCTGACCTCAAGTGATCCACCTGCCTCTGCCTCCCAAAGTGCTGGGATTACAGGCATGAGCCACCATGCCCAGCCCCAAGTGTGTTTCTTATAAACAGTGTATACTTAGGCCTTGGAGCAAGGTTTGGCCAATTTTTTCTGCATTGGGCCAGATAGTAAAATTTTTTTTTTTTTGAGATGGAGTTTTGACCTGTTGCCTAGGCTGGAGTGCAGTGGTGCAACAGCACGATCTCAGCTCACTGCAACCTCTGCCTCCCAGGTTCAAGCAATTCTCCTGCCTCAGCCTCCCAAGTAGCTGGGACTACAAGCGCACGCCAGCACGCCTGGCTAATTTTTTGTATTTTAGTAGAGATGGGGTTTCACCATGTTGCCCAGGCTGGTCTTGAACTCTGGAGCTCAGGCAATCCACCCGCCTCAGACTCCCAAAGTGCTGGGATTACAGGTGTGAGCCACCGTGTCTGGCCAGTAATTTTTCTTTTAAATTTTATTTATATGTAATAGTTGTACATATTTTTGGGAGTACAGGTGATTTTTTTTTTTTTTTTTTGAGATGGAGTCTTGTTCTGTCACTCAGACTGGAGTGCAGTAGTGTGATCACAGGTCACTGCAGCCTCAACCTCCCAGGCTCAAGTGATCCTCCCACTTTAGCCTCCTGTGTATCTGGGATCACAGGTGTGCGACGCCACACCCGGCTAAATTTTTTTATTTTTGGTAGAGACGAAGTCTCACTGTGTTGCCCAGGCTGGTCTCAAACTCTTGGGCTCAAGCAGTCCTCCCACCTCAGCATCCTGAAATGCTGGGATCAGGGTAATTGGGAAATCCATCACCTCAAACATTTATGTTTTCTCTAAGTAAAGATGCTTTTAGGCCGGGCGCGGTGGCTCACGCCTGTAAGCCCAGCACTTTGGGAGGCCGAGGTGGGCGGATCACGAGGTCAGAGGATCGAGACCGTCCTGGCTAACATGGTGAAACCCTGTCTCTACTAAAAGATACAAAAAATTAGCCGGGTGCGGTGGCGGGTGCCTGTAGTCCCAGCTACTCCGGAGGCTGAGGCAGGAGAATGGCGCGAACCTGGGAGGCGGAGCTTGCAGTGAGCCGAGATCGCCCCACTGCATTCCAGCCTGGGCGACAGAGCAAGACTCCATCTCAAAAAAAAAAAAAAAAAAAGAAAAGAAAAAAAGAAAAAAAAAGATGTTTTTAAATATTTATCTTTATTTTTATTTTTTTAAAGACAGGATCTTGCTCTGTCTCTAGGCTGGAGTGCTGTGTGTTTATAGCTCCCTACAGCCTCAAACTCCTGGGCTCAAGGGATCTTCCTGCCTCCGCCTACTGAGTAGCTAGGACTACGTGCCTGGCTAATTTTTTATTATTTTCATTTTTTTTTTTTTGTAGAGAGTTCTTACTTTGTTGCCCAGGCTGGTCTTGAACTCCTGGCCTCAAGCGATCTTCCTGCCTCAGCCTCCCAAAGTGCCGCGATTACAGGCATGAGCCACTGCTCTGGCCCTAAGTAAATATTTTGTACTTTGTTGATCATATGGTCTTTGTTCCAGCTACTCAATCTTCCATTGTAGTATAGAAGCTGTTGTAGATGATACATTAAATGAATGAGTGTGGCTGTGTTCCAATAAAACTTTATTTATGGATACTGACACTGAAATTTGAATTTTATATAAGTCATGTGTCATAAAATATTCCTTTTTTTTTTTTTTGAGGCAATATCTCACTCTGTTGCCCAGGCTGGAGTACAGTGGTACAATCTTGGCTCACTGCAGCCTCAACCTCCCAGGCTTAAGGAATCCTCCCACCTCAGCCTCTTGAGTAGCTGGAACCACAGGCACGTGCCACCCAGTCTGGCTAACTTTTTGTAGAGATAGGGTTTCGCCATGTTGCCCAGGCTAGTCTCAATTCCTGGGCTCAAGCGATCCACCCACCTTGGCCTCCCAAAGTGCTCGGATTATAGGTGTGAACCACTGCGCCCAGCCTGTTCTTCTGATTTCATTTTAACCATTTAAAAATGTGAAAACTGGCCGGGCGTGGTGGCTCATGCCTGTAATCCTAGCACTTTGGGAGGCCGATGCGGGCGGATTGCCTGAGCTCAGGGGTTCTAGACCTACCTGGGCAACAAGGTGAAACCCCATCTCTACTAAAATACAAAAAATTAGCCAGGCGTGGCAGTGTGCGCCTGTAGTTCCAGCTACTCGGGAGGCTGAGGCAGGAGAATTGCTTGAACCTGGGAGGCAGAGGTTGCAGTAAGCTGAGATCGTGCCACTGCACTCCAACCTGGGCAACAGAGAGAGACTCTGTCTCCAAATAAATAAATACATACATACATACATACATACATACATACACATACATGTATATATACATATACATATATGTATATGTAAAAGCCATTCTTAGCTTATGGGGCTGTACAAAAATAGACAGCAGGTCAGATTTGGCCTGTGGGCCATAGTTAGCCAGCCGCTGGTTCAAACCAATTACCCTTAATGTAATTACTGATATGGTTAGGTTTAAATCTACCAACCTGCTATTTGTCCCATCTGTTCTTTGTTCCCCTTTTCCTCTTTTTCTACCTTTAGGGGGTTACTGGGACTTTTCTTTTCTTTTCTTTTTGAGACAGGGTCTCACTCTGTCACCCACGCTGGAGTGCAGTGGCACGAACACGACTCCTGGGCTCAAGCCATCCTCCTGCCTCAGCCTCCTGTGTAGCTAGGACCATAGGTGCGCTCTACCATGCCCAGCTAATTTTTTAAATTTTTTGTAGAGACCGGATCTCACTTCATTGCCCAGGCTGGTCTCAAACTCCTGAGCTCAAGCAATTTGCCCACCTTGGCCTCCCAAAGTGATGGAATTACAGCGTGAGCCACTGTGCCTGGCCTGTTGGGATTTTCAAGATTCTGCTTATCTCTACTCTTGACTTGTTAACTGTACTTCTTTGTTTTATTTTTCTTAGTGGTTTTCTGGGTTTGCAATATGGATCTTTAATTTATTACAAAATACTTTTTTTTTTTTTTTTTGAGACGGAGTCTCGCTCTGTCCCCCAGGCTGGAGTGCAGTGGCGCGATCTCGGCTCACTGCAAGCTCCGCCTCCCGGGTTCATGCCATTCTTCTGCCTCAGCCTCCCGAGTAGCTGGGACCACAGGCGCCCGCTACCACGCCTGGCTAATTTTTTTGTATTTTTAGTAGAGACGGGGTTTCACCATGTTAGCCAGGATGGTCTCGATCTCCTGACCTCGTGATCCTCCTGCCTCGGCCTCCCAAAGTGCTGGGATTACAGGCGTAAACCACCGCACCCAGCCACAAAATACTTTCAAGTAACATTATACCATTTCACGTAAGATATAAGACCTTGACAACATGATATGTTCCTCTCACCCTCCCGTCCTTTGAGCTCTGCATATCTTATGAACCCCACAATACATTAGGGGTGTGTGTGTGTGTGTGTGTGTGTGTTAGATAGTAAATGCTGGGTGTGGTGCTCACGCCTGTAATCCCAACACTTTGGGAGGCCGAGGCTGGAGGATTCCTTGAACCCAGGCGTCCAACACCAGCCTGGCCAACATAGCGAGACCTCATCTCTACAAAAACTAAGAAACATTAGCCAGGCATGGTGATGCATGCCTGTGGTCCCAGCTCCGTGGGAGGCTGAGGTGGGAGAATTGCTTGGGTCCAGGAGGTTGAGGCTGCAGTGAGCTGTGTTCACGCCTCTCCACCCTAGAGCAGGACCCTGTCTCAAAAACAAAACCAAACCACTAAATGCTTCGTAAGGAAATTTGAAAGTGAGGAATATATCTTTTCTATTTACCCACAAATCTACCATTTGAAGAGGGTGCCCTTCACCCCTTCTGGTACATCCACGTTTCTATCTGGTGTTGTGTTTCTTTTACCTGCAGAACTTCCTTTAATATTTCTTGCTGTGCGGGTCTGCTGGCAATTAATTCTCCCAGCTTTGGTTTTGTATGAAAAATGTGTTAGTGTGTCTTCTTTGAGGGATATTTTTGCCTGCTGTGGAATTCTAGGTTGACAGTTTGTTTTGATTTTTCTTTCAGCATGTTGCATCATCTTTGGGCTTGCACACTCTCTGACAAGAAGTCGACTGGCACTGTTATCTTTGATTCTCTGAATGTAATATGTTTCCCCCCTTCTAGCTGCTTTTAAGATGTTTCTCTTTATTGCTGGTTTTCAGCAATTGATTATAATGTGTCTTGGTGCGTTTTATAAATATGTGTGTTTAGCCTACCTGGGGTTTATGGAGCTTACATCTGCAAGTTTATGGTTTTCATCAAATTTGAAAAGTTGTAGGCCATTACTTCATCAGACTTTTTTTTGGTTATCCCTTTCTCTCCTCTCTTTCTGGAACTCCAGTCACATAGGTAAAGCCACTTATTTCTCAGGCCATTGAGGCTCTGTGCTCATTTTCATCACTTTTTCCTTTCTGTGCTTTATTTTGGATAGATTCTATTGCAGTTCTTCAAATTCTCTAATCTTTTTTTTTTTTTTTTTGAGATGGAGTTCCACTCTTGTTGCCCAGGCTGGAGTGCAGTGGCGTGATCTCAGCTCACAGCAACCTCCACCTCCTGGGATCAAGCAGTTGTCCTGTCTCAGCCTCCCAAGTAGCTGGGATTACAGGCGTGCACCACCATGCTCGGCTAATTTTGTATTTTTAGTAGAGATGGGGTTTCTCCATGTTGGTCAGGCTGGTCTAGAACCCCTGAGCTCAGGCAATCCGCCCCCATCGGCCTCCGAAAGTGCTAGAATTACAGGCCTGAGCCACTGTGCCTGGCTTTTTTTTTTTTTTTTTTGAGACAAAGTCTTACTCTGTTGCCCAGGCTGGAGTGCGGTGGCACAATCTGAGCTCACTGCAACCTCTACCTCCCAGGTTCAGGCAATTCTCCTGCCTCAGCCTCCTGAGTAACTGGGATTACAGGCATGCACCACCACACTTGGCTAATTTTTGTATTTCTAGTAGAGAAGGGTTTTCGCCATGTTAGTCAGGCTGGTCGCAAACTCCTGAACTCAGGTTATCCTCCCTCCTTGGCCTCCCAAAGTGCTGGGATTACAGGCGTGAGCCACCGCGCCCAGCCTTTTTTTTTTTTTTTAAAGATAAGGTCTCAGCCTGGCCAACGTGGCAAAACCCCATCTCTACAAAAAATACAAAAATTATCTGGGCATGGTGGCGGGTGCCTGTAATCCCAGCTATTCAGGAGGCTGAGGCAGGAGAATCGCTTGAACCCGGGAAGCGGAGGTTGCAGTGAGTCGAGATCGCGCCATTGCACTCCAGCTTCAGCTTGGGACAGAGCGAGACTCTATCTCAAAAATAAATAAATAAATAAAATAAAAAAATAACGATAAGGTCTCACTTAGTCATTCAGACTAGAGTGCAGTGACGACCAGGCTCAGTGTAGACTTAAACTTCTGGCCTCAAGTGATCCTCCCACCTCAGCCTCTCAAGTTGCTGGGACTGTAGGCAGGCACCACCACACCCATCTAATTTTTTTATTTTTCTGTAGAGACAGGGTCTGGCTATGTTGACCAGGCTTATCTCAAAGTCCCAGCCTCAAGTGATCCTCCTGCCTCGGCCTCCCAGTGTGCTAGGATTACAGGCATGAGCTACTGTGCCTGGCCCAAATTCCCTCATCTTTTCTGCTGCCGGTGTCTAATCTGTGTAATCCCTTTCAGTAAAATTTTTCTTTCAGATATGTGTATATCATTCTCTAAAAGTTCTGTTCACTTCTTTTTATATCTTCTGTTCCTTTCATTACGTTCATGTTTTTCTTTATACTCTTGAGCATTCTGAATGTATTTATAATAGCTGTTTTCATGTCCTTGTCTGCTAATTCCGTCATCATCTATGTCAATTCTGGGTCTGTTTCAATTGAGTGATTTTTCTCTTGGTTATAGGTCACATTTTCCTGCACCTTTGTTTACCTGGTCCTTTTTTTTTGAGGCAAGAGTCTTGCTTTGTTGCCCAGGCCAGAGTGCAGTGGTGATCTCGGTTCACTGCGACCTCCACCTCCTGGATTCCAACGATTCTCGTGCCTCAGCCTCCCAAGTAGCTGGGATCACAGGCGTGTGCTATCACACCCAGCTAATTTTTGTATTTTTAGTAGAGACGGGGTATTGCCATGTTGGCCAGGTTGTCCTTGAACTCCTGGCCTCAAGCAATCCGCCCACCTCAGCCTCCTAAAATGCTGGGATTACAGGTGTGAGCCACCGTGCCCAACCTGGTATTTTTTTAAAAAATTATGTAATAGGCCGGGCACAGTGGCTCATGCCTGTAATCCCAGCACCTTGGGTGGGCGAGGTGGGCAGGTCACCTGAGGTCAGGAGTTCAAGGCCAACCTGCCAACGTGGTGAAACCTCATCTCTACTAAAAATACAAACATTAGTCAGGCGTGCTGGCAGGTGCCTGTAATCCCAACTACTCAGGAAGCTGAGGCGGGAGAATCACTTGAACCCGGGAGTGGCCAAGATCACACCACTGCACTCCAGCCTGGGTGACAGAGTGAGACTCTGTCTCAAGAAAAAAAAAAAAATTACATAACAGACATTGTTTACATTGCTGAATATATTTTTTTACAGAGTATTTATAAACTTTTTCTGGAATCTAGTTAGGTTACTTGTGAATTACTTTGATACTTCTAGGCCTGTTTTTAAGCTTTTTTAGTGCAGCTTTAGCATTGCCTTTATTCTAGGGCTAACTTAATCCTATTTCTAGTATGTTACACTTTTGGGTCTCTACTGAATGTCTCATGTATTCAATGAAATCTTTCTACTCTGGCTGCAGGGAGCTCAAAAGACTCTCAGCCCTGTGTCAACTCTAAGAATTGTTTTCTCCTTGAAAGTTGCTCTTGTCCAGCCCCACAGAGTTTCACCCCATGCATGCACAGATTGATATTCAGCCAAAGACTCAAGGGGACCACCGGTTTCTGAATCCTCCCTCTCTTTGCAGCTCCCTCCTCTCAGGCACTCTATCCCCCAAATTCCAGCCATGTTGGCCTGCCTGATCACCAGTCTCCGTCTCTGCAACTCAGCAGGATTGCTGGGCTGTTTGGGCTTCCCTTCCTATAAATTAAATCCAGCCAAGCAGCCTGGACAATAAGACTCATTTTGTTTCTCTTCTCAGGGATCACAGTTCTATGATGTCTCTTGTCCTATGTTTTAAATAGTTTCCTGGCCGGGCGTGGTCGCTCACTCCTGTAATCCCAGCACTTTGGGAGGCTGAGGCAGGTGGATCACCTGAGGTCAGGAGTTCGAGACCAGCCTGGCCAACATGGTGAAACCCCGTCTCTGCTAAAAATACAAAAATTAGCCGGGCGTGATGGTGGGCACCTGTAATCTCAGCTACTTGGGAGGCTGAGGCAGGAGAATCACTTGAACCCCAAAGGTAGAGGTTGCAGTGAGCTGAGATCGTGCCACTGCACTCCATCCTGGCTGACAAAGCAAGATCTGTCTCAAAAAAAAAAAAAAAAGAAAAAAGTTTCCTGTATTCTATCCAGCTCTTTAGCTGTTTATGGTGGGAGGGTATTTCCAGACCATCTTACTCTTTTATATCTGGAAGTAGAAGTCTCCGGATGCAATATTTACAACCAGGAAGTCTGGCTTCAGAATCCACACTCCCCGCTTCTGCACCCAGCAGTCACTGAGTCTTCCAGATGCTGGGGTCACTTGGGAGGGGCACCACCAATGGGGGGCATGGCCACGGGGGCAGGTCAGCAGGGGTGACTCCAGCCCGTGACTCACCCCTCCCACCCTTCAGGTGGGCCTTCACCTTGATCATCATCTCCTCCTACACGGCCAACCTGGCCGCCTTCCTCACCGTGCAGCGCATGGAGGTGCCTGTGGAGTCGGCCGATGACCTGGCAGATCAGACCAACATCGAGTATGGCACCATCCACGCCGGCTCCACCATGACCTTCTTCCAGGTGGGGCCACCAGAACCTCTCAGGCGTGGTGTTGGGATCCCTGCCATGCAAAGCAGCTCAGGATGGGTCTGGGCAGGGTCTCCTGGGTCAGAGGGACTGATTGTCAGTGACAGCCTGGAGGCTGGGGAGCAGAAAACACACATGTGCTGTCATGGGGCTCGCAGCTGGCTGGCTAGGGAACTGGGGAATGAGGGCAGGGAGGCATATGTGGTATCAAATGTCAATGTCATATGGGCCAAATGGGATCAAGGAGGCTGCTGGAAGGGTCGGGACCAGGAATATGGGCTGACAGAGAGAAGGGAAGGCCCTTCAAGGTGAAAAGTGCTTGATCTTTTGTATTTTGGGGTGGTGGGAAGGAAAGAAGAGGAAAGCAAGCTTGGCAGGGAGGTCCTAGTGGTCTAAAGGAGGCCTGAGTTGGGCAGCGGCCACCGGCTGGAGGGTTAAGGGGAAGGAGGTGGAGGTGCACTCACCGGGCCCCCCAGGTGGGTGGTGGGCACAGTGGCTGTGGGGATGACTTGGACCTGGCCTGGACAGTTTGTCCATCTCCTCTCTCTCCTCTACCTTTGGCTCTGTCTTCCTTTGATCACCTTGCATTCTCCTGGGTTGAGGGAGACTTCCTGGAGGATGGGAAGGGCTCGGGGAAAGGAAGCGGCTGGAAAGACCCTCCCATCTTCCCCTTGTGATCCTCCTGCCCAGAATTCACGGTACCAAACGTACCAGCGCATGTGGAACTACATGCAGTCGAAGCAGCCCAGCGTGTTCGTCAAGAGCACAGAAGAGGGCATTGCCCGCGTCCTCAACTCCCGCTACGCCTTCCTGCTCGAGTCCACCATGAACGAATACCACCGGCGCCTCAACTGCAACCTCACCCAGATCGGGGGACTCCTCGACACCAAGGGCTACGGCATTGGCATGCCGCTGGGTACGGCACAGCACGGTGTGGAACACAGCAGGGCCGTGGGCATCCAAAACCACCTGTGAGCAGGCCCAGGACCGGGCCAGGCACCCCCGAGGCAGGCTGGGTGTGTTGCATGTGGCCTCCTGGCTGTATGGTCTTGGGCAGGCGACATCACCGTCCTGAGCCTCTGTACCCCCAACCTGCAAAACCAGGCCTAGCAGCAATCCAGCCCTCCCAGAGCTGTTGGGAGAATTCAGTGAGACTGTGTATACAATTCAGTATATGTGGGTGGTGGGGCTTGCTGTCTTCCCCCAAGGGCCCTGTGGGGGTGAGGACCTGGTCTTGTTTCCTATTTCTTGGAAAAATCCTATAGCCTGGCTCAGAGCAGGTGCTTGAAAAATGCTTGTAAGATGGATGGGAAGGATGGAATGATCTGGTAGGGAGACTTGTATGTGCCTATTTATATTTCAGGACAAGTTTGGTGTTTTGTTTTTTTTTTTTTTTTTTTTGAGACGGAGTCTTGCTCTGTCGCCCGCCTTGGCCTCCCAAAGTGTTGGGATTACAGGTATGAGCCACCTCGCATGGCCCAGGACATGTTTTTCCAGGACTCAGTGGTGGAACTCACGACCAAATTGTCACCAAATTTTGGCATTTTGGCTTTTAAAATCATTTATGTACTGATGACACCTGTATTAGTTATCTATTACTGCATAGCAAATTGCCCCAGATCTTAGCAGCTTTGTAGGTGAGTCGGTGCCAGGGAGGCAGTGTAGCTTGGTGCTTGGAGGACAGGCTCAGGAGTCACACCGACCTGGATTCAAATCCCAGTTCCGGCTGGCCACTGTGGTTTATGCCTATGATTCCAGTGCTTTGGGAGGCCAAGCCGGAAGGATCACTTGAACCTAAGAGTTTTGAGACCAGCTTGGGCAATATAGCAAGACCCTGTCTTTACAAAAAATTAAAAAATTAGCCAGGTGTGGTATGCACCTGTAGTCTCAGCTACAGGCTGAAGTAGGAGGATCGCTTGAGCCCAGGAAGTGGAGGTGGCAGTGAACAATGATCATGCCACTGTATGCCAGCCTGGGTAACCAAGTGAGATTCTGTCAAAAGAAAGGAAGAAATCTCAGTTTCCTCCCTGACTCAGTGCACAGTCTTAAGCAAGTGTATCACTTTCGTCATTCAGAAACACTTGCCTCAGGTGGGATACCTGTCCCACAGGATCATCATAAGACCTGAATAAACCCAGGGTCTGGCACACAGTTGGTGCCTGGTAGATATTAATCACTTTCATCTGCCCGTGTCTCTGGTTCTGTGGTAGTTGGTCGGGAAGTATCTTAGTCAATGAAGAAATAAGTATAGAATAGGGTGTGTGGGGTGTTGAAGCCCAAGGATGGCTTAAGGGCAGGATGTGAGGTTGGGGAGGAGAGGTGGTCCAGGGAGAGGTGTGGATGGGGATTCGTCTGGTGTCCAACTGCATGCCAAGTCCCGCACTGGATGCAGACGAAAGATGATAAACACATAGCCATATAATACAGTGTTAGGTGGTGACAGCTGCTCCAAAGTAAATTAAAGGGAAGACACTGACAGGGAGTGGGGCGCTTGGTGCCATTTTAAATAAAGTCATCAGAATAGACTCCCTGGGGAGCCAGCATGTGGGCAGAGACCTGGATGAAGTGCGGAGAGGGACATTCCAGGCAGAGGCAAAGGTCCTAAGACAGGACTGTGTGTGATGAATTTGGGGAGCAGCCAGGAGGCTGATGAGGCTGGAGCTGAGAGCCGTGGGGGTGAGGGTGTCTGAGAGTGGCCGAGGGGAGGAGCTTGCAACAGGAAGCCATGGAGAGTCCTGAGCACAGGAAAGGTATGGCCTCTGACTCTTCCTAACACTGTCTCTCTGGCTGCTGTGTTGAGAGGAGACTGGGCTGGGGGTGAGGAGAGGCTGCAGGGAAGACCCTGGGCACGTGGTAGAGGCGGGGGAAGGCCGTGGTGAGGGCACAGTTTGGGGTTTGGGGCGGTCAGGGCTGCAGGGCCCGATGGCTGGTCCAGCCCCTCGTGTGCCTGCCCAGGCTCCCCGTTCCGGGATGAGATCACACTGGCCATCCTGCAGCTTCAGGAGAACAACCGGCTGGAGATCCTGAAGCGCAAGTGGTGGGAGGGGGGCCGGTGCCCCAAGGAGGAGGACCATCGAGCTAAAGGTCAGTTCCCGCGTATGGTGTCCCCTTCCCATAGCCCCCTCCCAGCCCCCTTCCCACACAGCCCCAACTCCCTTTGCCCCCCAACTCCCTTCGCCCTCCAGGTTTGGGCATGGAGAACATTGGTGGCATTTTTATCGTGCTCATCTGTGGCCTCATCATTGCTGTCTTCGTGGCGGTCATGGAATTCATATGGTCCACACGGAGGTCAGCTGAGTCCGAGGAGGTGAGGAGGCTGGGGGTGGGGGTGGGCAGGAACAGGGACCCCCAGGGGCTGAGGTGCGTGAAGATTGTGGCATTGGGAGCCATACCTGGAGGGTGGTGGGGATCGCGAGAAGGGGGCAGAGGAATGCAGGAGGTGGGGAAGTAAGAGAGCTGATGGGGCCAGAGAATCAGCGCGTGAGGAAGAACAGGAGGGAAAGTAGGCACAGGGAGCAATGAGGATGCAGGGAGAGGAGGTGAGGGACAGGATGTGGGGA
This sequence comes from Homo sapiens, assembly GCF_000001405.40. NCBI lineage: Eukaryota > Metazoa > Chordata > Mammalia > Primates > Hominidae > Homo > Homo sapiens. The sequence continues at coordinate 42,003,078 of NC_000019.10, read as the reverse complement.
GCCACAGAGGCAGAAAAGCAAGAAGAAATAAGAAGAGAAACAGGGCCAAGTGCAGTGGCTCACACCTGTAATCCCAGCACTTTGGGAGGCCGAGGCTGGCGGATCACCTGAGGTCAGGAGTTCAAGATCAGCCTGGCCAACATGGTGAAACCCCATCTCTACTAAAAATACAAAAATTAGCCGGGCATGGTGGTGCACACCTGTAATCCCAGCTACTCGGGAGGCTGAGATGGGAGGATCGCTTGAACCCGGGAGGTGGAGATTGCAGTAAGCTGAGATTGCACCACTGCACTCCAGCCTGGGTGACAGAGGGAACCAGAAGAGGACACAGCCCTGGACTGGTCCCACACTGTGTTCAGGAGGGCTGCTTCCATGTCCCTGGGGGCCGCCCAGCCACACCCCTGCATTTCCAGACCCATTCGTGCTCTTGCACCCCTGGACTGCTGGTTCCCTGCTTCCCCTCTCTCTGTCAGCCTCCAGCCCTTCCTCCCCCTCCTCACATCCAGCGGCTGACCTTACATCTACTCCCCAGACCCCAGCTCTGCATCCAGCTGCCTGCCAGTGTTCTGCACTTGGCCCAAGGACTCCTCTGAAGGAGCCGTCCATGCTGCTAGTAAAGGTGCCCTCCACCCGTGTCCAGGTTGCCTTCTCAAGGACATCCCTCCGGCAAGTCTGTCCTTTCCTCCTGCAGCATCAGTTGTCCTCTCTTTATTGGATTCAGGCCACCAACGTACAAATATGCTGTCATTTCTCCAGTCTTAAACCCTCTCCTGACCTCACTTTCCCTCCCAGCCACCGCCCACTTTCTTCCCTTCTCTTTACAGCCTTGGCAGCAGTGGGGGGTCTCCCTGATGCTTCCAGTTTCTTCTTTCCTCCCATTTCCTCTTGCCCCCCACTCCAGTCTGGCATCGGTCCCTGCCACTCCACTGAAGCCACTCTTGTCACCAGCAACTTCCATGTCTGAAATTCCCGGTCTCAGGCCTCATGTATATGAGGTAGCAGTGGGCTTCGGCACAGCCAGTCACTCTCAATCCTCAAAGCCCCTTCTTCCCCTTCTCCCACTTCTCCGGTCACTCCTTCCCAGGCTCCCTCGTTGGGTTTCTCTTTCTCCCCAGGCTCTGTTTGTTGTGGGGCTCCAGGGCTCAGTCCTTAGACTGCTTCTCTTCTCGGTCTTTCTCCACTACTTGAATGATCCCACCAGCCAAATGGCTCTTAAGACCCACTATGTGCTGGTGATTCTTGTGTTAGTTATCTATTGCTATCATAACAAATGACCTTAACAGCTTTTAAAAAGCCAGCTTCCATTGGTTCACAGTTTCTGTGGGTCCAGAGCCTCGGAGCAGCTTAGCTGGATGTTTCTGGCTGCCATGGGTCTCTGATGAGGTCATAGTCATGTTTTTTGGCCAGACTGCTGTGGTCTGAAGGCTCAACAAAGGGTGGAGGGTTCCGTTCTAAGATGGCTCACTGTCCCAAATGTCCCCATGGGATTTTAGTTTCTGGAGGTGGCCAAGTGACAACATGGAGACCAATTTCATTGAAAGATGATTTTTGCCCAGGTGTGGTGGCTCACGCCTGTAATCCAAGCACTTTGGGAGGCTGAGGAGGGCAGATCACATGAGGCCAGGAGTTCAAGACCAGCATGGCCAACATGGTGAAACCCTGTCTCTACTGAAAACACAAAAATTAGCCAGATATGGTGGTGGACACCTGTAGTCCCAACTACTCAGGAGGCTGAGACAGGAGAATTACTTGAATCTGGGAGGTGGAGGTTGCAGTGAGCCGAGATTGCACCACTGCCCTCCAGCCTGGGTGACAGAGTGAGACTGTCTCAAAAAGAAACAGAAAGAAAAATGATTTTTATTCTTTAACATTTCCCAGGAGAAGGGGAAACAGCTTACGATTCACCAGTTTGGATAATGTCAGTGGACTCTGGGCTATAGGGGCTGTCCCTACTTATCTGGTACCTGGCCCCGGGTTGATTTAGGTCAGGAAGAATATTGGCTTGGTATGTGAGAGTTAGGTAAAGGGGGAGGTTGGGGGTATAGATTGGTTGGTTTGCACATGAAAGGCAGCTGAGCCCTCTGCTATCTCTAAGGCTTGGCTAGTTCTGGGAGGGGTAGTCTCTCCCCAGCCTGCAAGATGTTTAAAGTGTCAAAACATCCTAAGACACAGAAAATAAAAAACATGATGAATACACTCACATGGCAGTTGGCAGGAGGCCTCAGTTCCTCAGACAAGGACCTCTCCAAGGACTGCTTGAGTGTCCTCACACCATGGCAGCTGAGATCCCCCAGGGCGAGTGATCAGAGAGAGCAAGGCGGAAGCAGAATGTGCAATGGCTGAAACTTATTCTGTTGGTCACACAGACCAGCTCTGACACAGTGTCAGAGGGGATTACACAGGGGCGTGGACGCGGGAGGTGGGATCTTGAAGGCTGCCTGCCTTAACCCACAAATATGTGTCTCCCCTGAAGCCAAGGTCTGCAACTTCAGCTCCACACTTGGTATCTCCACTTGGATATCTGATAGGTGTGCACGTGATGCGATGTGTCCAACATTGGGCTTCTGCCCACCTGTGAGGCAATTTGGTCCTTCCAGTTGCTCGGGCCAAAATATTGGAGCTTTCTTTCACTATTCTCTCTCTTCCATGCCCCGTATCTGATCTCTTAGCAGATCCTATTGGCTCCACCTTCAGAATATATCCAGAATCCAGACCTTTCTCAGGTCGCTCTGGTCCAGCCATCCCTATCTCCTGCCCGGGTTATTGTCATAGCTTCCTCCATGAGCTCCCTGCTCTTGCCTTGGCCTCCCTACAATCTGTTCTCAACACAGAGTGATCCTATGAAAACACAGCACTCCTCTACCTAAAGCTCCCCAGTGATTCCCGTCTGACTCTCATTCTGATTTTCAGAATGAAAGCCAAAAATCCTTCCAGTGGTTTATGGGCCTTACCAGAGCTGGCCGCCACTGCTCCTTTGACCTCATTTTTCTGTCTTCCCTGTGCACGCCCCCCTCCAGCCATGCTGACCTGCTTGCAGTGCCTCAGACGTGCCAAGTCACTCCCACCTGGGCATTTCGGCCCTGCCCGGTTATCTGTCCAGCAGGCTGGCTTCCCAGGTCTCCAGTGGCTCACCCTGTCTTTATTTAAGGATCCTTCTCTCAGTGAGGTCTTCCTTGACTGTCCTGTCTCAGAATTCATCGTCACTCCCTACCCATACACCTTAGGCCTCTTCCCGATTTTCTTTCTTTCCAAAGCACTCACCACGCCTAACACACTACATACATGTCTGTTATCTTCTGTCTCTGCACACTTGAGCATAACCTCCACGAGGGCTGGGACTTCTGTCTGTTTCCTTCTCTGCCATATCCCCAGTGCTCAGAACAGTGCCGGGCACACAGCAGGCCACAGGTAAATATGCCTTGCAATAATGAACGCATGGATGAGGGGCAGAAGATGGGAAATCAGGAAGGAAGAACTGGAGAAAATTTAGAGACAGTGAAAAGACCAGAGGAAAGAGAGGAGCTTAGGTGGAAGGTGAAGGGCAGATTCAGGAACAAACGCAGAGTAGAATGGAGACATTGAAGATAAGTGGGGAGAGGTGGAGAGGGGAGGCAGAAAACACGGGGGAGATAAAGGGAAGAGAAGTGGGAAGGGAAGCGAGGGCAGAAGGAAGAAAGACCCGGGCGAGGAAAGGAGGAGGAGGAGTGGGATGTGGAGAGGGGCTGGGGGAGGCGGGAGGCGGACTGCGCCGGGACGGTGACCGCCCGCGCCACCCCCAGGTGTCGGTGTGCCAGGAGATGCTGCAGGAGCTGCGCCACGCCGTTTCTTGCCGCAAGACGTCGCGTTCCCGCCGGCGCCGACGCCCGGGCGGCCCGAGCCGGGCCCTGCTGTCACTGCGCGCGGTCCGCGAGATGCGCCTCAGCAACGGCAAGCTCTACTCGGCCGGCGCGGGCGGGGATGCGGGCAGCGCGCACGGGGGCCCGCAGCGCCTCCTGGACGACCCGGGGCCCCCCAGCGGAGCCCGACCCGCCGCCCCCACCCCCTGCACCCACGTGCGCGTCTGCCAGGAGTGCCGGCGCATCCAGGCGCTGCGGGCCTCGGGGGCCGGCGCGCCTCCGCGTGGCCTGGGCGTCCCCGCCGAAGCCACCAGCCCGCCCCGGCCGCGGCCTGGCCCCGCCGGCCCCCGGGAGCTGGCGGAGCACGAGTGACCACGGGCGGGGCTGTGCGGGCGCCCGGACTGACCGAAGGGACGGGGCCCGCCCCAGGCCCCAGCAGTCTCCGCTCCCGCAGCGGGCGCGGGACAGGACTTGTGCGCCGGCGCCCCGGACGCCGCGATTTTGCCTTTGGTTCCCCGCGAAGTCCGAGGCCTGGCTCTGGAGCCCGCCTGCGCCCCCCAGTGGACTCGCGAGAGGGTGCCGCGGGCGAGAAGGGCGCAGGAACCGAGGACTCCAGGGGCTGGGGACTTCGGGGGCGGCTCTGGGAAGCGGAAAGCAGTCAGCGGAGAGGACCCCATTCTGGGACTGCTCAGGCTCCCCAAGACTTGACGCAGCCCCCCACGCTTCTGGAGGTGGGGAGGGCCTCTGGACAGATGGGTGTCCCCTGGTGCCCCTCCACTCTTCTCTTCCTCTCTTTTTTGGGGGGAGAAACCTCGGAATTTCTATGAGACCTCCCCCAGGGAGGGGGTCAGTTGGGCCCCCATCCCTCCCCTTGCCACATCGCAGCCCCTGTTGGAATAAAAAAAAGAACAAAACCCCAGAACTGGGGATACCGTCTCTCATTTCCTGGGGGTGTGAGGGCTTTGGAGGCTTGGGTCCCCGGGGCACCTGCTGAGAATCAGAGTGAGCCTCGATGGTTACTTCCATGCTCTCTCCACCCTCAGCCCTGCCTACAGGCTGCAGGCCAGCCCGGGTCCCAGCAGCTGGCCCCTCTCCACTGACCTTCTCTCAGGACAGAGGGAGGCTGCGACAGAGACCCTGAGACAGATGGAGAGATGCAGGGATCTGGAGACGCGGAGACACCGGAAGCGGAGACACAGAAAGACAGAAAACAGATGGGGCTGGGGGAGGGGAGGGCCAGTGAGCTGTTGAGTGTGGCCGTGCCTGGGGTGGCGAGTGTGTGCCTGGGCCGGGGTGATTCAGTGACGTTGTGATCGTGTGTGCACGCATCTGCGAGGCCATCTTCAACTGTCTGTGGCTGTGATCCCGTGTTTCTGTTGAAAATGTACCTCCCCAACCCCCAAGAGAGGAAGTGAGGAATCCCAGTAGACTGGGGGGTGGGTGGGCGGGCAGGGGTGGGAGAGGCTGAAGGGCTGATGGCGCAGGAGAAAGGTGGGTCCGCCTTCTGTCCCCGCCCTCCCTGCCCCGCCGGAGGTTTCTGTGGAAACTGCAGCTGAGGAAGGACGAGTGAAGGTCACACAGCAAGAGCCAAAACGAGGCCGAGCAGAAAGGGAGAGATGGAGGGATGGCGAGAGACAGAGATGGGGAGAGACAACGAAGGGGGCAGAGTGGGCGGGAGGGGGATGGGGAGAGAGAGCTAGAGGACACAGAGCCGGCGAGACAGGGAGAGAGGCTGGGTGAGGTGAGAGAAGACTGGAGAAAGAATAGAGGGCTGAGACCAGAGGTGAAGCGGGAGGGTAAGATACACCCGGAGTTGGGGTGAGAGACAGGAAGCCATAAAAAACTAAATGGAACCTGGAGGGGACTGGAACGGAAAGGAAAGCCTGACTGGAAAGGTCCCAGAGAGAGCGAGGCTGCGCCCGTTCCTGGGCGGCGGCCCGGGGCTTGGGAGCTGTCCGTTCAGCACCCAGTTGGCCAGCCTGAGCCCAGAGCGCCCGACTTCCCTCCAGGGCCCGCCTGCCCAGCGCAGTCCTGGCAGGCCGGCCACACCCTGGGAGACCCCTCCCCGCACACAGCGCCCCCCGTCGCCACCCGTCCCCTTCTGCGTCTCAGACCCTGGTTGCGTGCCCCTCGGACAGGTGTGGGGGCAGGCACCAGCCTCTCTCTGTTGTCTCGCATCTCTATCTCCACGTCTCTTACACACTCCAATCAATGTCTCTGCCCTTGGGTCGGACTCTTTGTCGAGGTGACTAGAACATGATTACAGACATTTCTGGTTTCTCCCCCTTCTCTGTCCCAATGCCTCGAGGCCAATTCCCTCTGGGGTCTCCCCCATTTCTGAGTCCCCGGTCCCCTACCAGGTTTCTGCTCAGTCTCCCCCTGGCCTTTATCTCTGAGTCTCCCTGGTTTACCAAGCCTGTCTCTGCCTGGCTGTCTACGTCTCTCTGTCTCTGTCACCTTCACTGAACTCTTCCGTTGCTCTGTCTCCGTGTTCTCATCTCTGCATCTGCCAATCTCTGTCTGTCTTTTTCAATCTGTTTGTATCCGCCTCTCTCTGGTTCTGGGCTGCCTGTTTCTCCCTCTGTGTCTCTCCTTCCGCCTCTCACATCTAGCTCCCCTATTCCCCTTTATCCCTGTGACCTTCCCAGGTCTTTCCTTCTCACCGCCCCCCCTACTTCTGCAGAGCCTCACCAGGAGCACGATGCACAGTCATCAGTCTCATCAGGCTCGTGCCTGAGGAGAGAGTGCATGAGGGGGGACGTGAGCTTGTGTCTGAGGTGGGATGGGAAGGGCTCAAGGCCTCCCCCGGCCCAGCTGGAGAGCAAGAGCAGACAGAGCCTAGAATCTCCTGGAATCCAGGCCTCCCCCACCTCCCCAGGCTTCCCCATCTCCCCAGTCCCATTCTCCATGGTCCAGGCCCATGCCTCTAGGCCAAGGTGTCAAGAGAAGGAAAGGAGGATATGTTGATAGGCTCTCCCTCCCCTAGGAAGAGGGCAGAGTTGGGGAGGGGGCGTCTGGGGGTGAGGCATCTGGGTTAAAAGATGTGGCTCCTCCCCCTTTCCCAGTCTCCATGGCAACAGCCCAGTCTGCAGGCCCAACCTCCTTTGCTGCAGAAGCAGCTCCCTGTTACCATGGCAACAAAGGACAGCGAGAAAGATGGGGACGGGTCAGAGGACAGGATTGGGATGGGGCTCTGGGCACTGGGGAAAGCCTCCATTCACTCTCTGGCCTTGTCTCTGTCCATATGCTGTGGCTCTGAATCTCTGTGTTTCTGTGCCTCTCTCTGGCCTTCAGCCTTTCACACATTTCCCTGCACCAGGTCCTCGACCTTCACCCACCCACCCTCATACACCAAGCTCACTCCCTGTCCCTTGCCTGCGTCCCCCACATCTCCTATCCCATAGGTGGAGAGGATACCCACATTCTGAGAAAACTACAAGGTCAAATGCTCTCTGTCTCTCTCTCTCTCTCTTCCCCTTCTACCATCCCCAGGGAGAGTCTGGGGTGTTCCTCATAGAACAAAGTGGTGTTGGAGTGAGTGGGGAGGCCTCAACTTCTTGGGCTCCAGTGGGGTGGCTGATGGGGTGTTGTGTGTCGGCAGCAGGCCTGGGGTGTGGGTGCCGGCTGTGCATCTGTGTGTGTACATATACTGTGACGAGCTCTGTGTGTCATGTGGGTGAGGGCGTTGGGGTGTGTTTGGAGGTGCAACAAAGATGTCTGCGATAGTGCTGCAATAACGTGATGTGTGTATGTGTGGGAGGTGTGTGGGTGTCGCGTGACTTGTGTTTGAATTATTGTGCTATGTGTAAGTGTGTGCACCTTTTTGTCTGTCATTCACAGTTAGCATTGGCAACTTTGCACTGTGGGCCGTTGCTCATGCCCAAACACACTGGGGAGCAGTGTGTGTGAGGATGTGTGCGACATCGTGGGATCATGCAACGATGTCCACAAAGGCTGATGTAGTGTGTCTGGAGGCAGTGTGAGGCCTGTGCGTGTGTGATGGTGCTGAGTGCAGGTGTGTGTTGGTTTATGGGTTGCACGATGTGGGTTTCTATGTGAGATGGTGGGAGGTCAGGTGTGGTAGAGTGTGTGATGTGTGAGTCTGCGATTTTCTGAGTGTCGGTGTTAGTCCGCACAGCACTTTGTGGCTGTGATTATGAGTCTCTTGTGGTGTGATGGGTGTGTAAGGTGTGTGCCCTATGTGTGTTTCACTCTATGTTTGAGACTCTGTGTGTGGTGGGGTGGTGTTGTGTGTGTGAGGGTACATGCTGGCCTATGGTGGAATATGAGTGCAACCCTGTGGTGTGTGCGTGTCCCCAGCATCTGGGCTATCAGTGTGATGGTCCTGTGTAACTGTGACGCTGGGCATTTTCTGGGCCTCCTGGGGCCATCCTCCACCGTGTTGTGTCTCCCGTGTACCCTGTGTGGTTGTGGCTCATTGGATAGCTCAGGCGTAGTGGGGGGGCACCCACAGTGAGGGAATCTCAGGGCTCCTCCCGCCAGCACCCCTCCTCAATTGCAAGGCCTTTCTTGCTCTCTTGTGTTCCCTTCCAACTTCCCCTCCTGCAGGGCCCTCTCCCTGAACAGCACTACCCCCCGCCGTCTCCAGGGTCCCTGGTGCCACACTGCAGTGATTCACCGGGCTTCCCTCCCACCCCGTGTCACTACCCGCCCCCCCTCCCCCAGCGTACCCTTCTCGGTGATGGCACACCCCCACAATGAGAGGATTTCCGGGGTTTTCTTTCCCTGAGCGCCCCTTCTTGGAGGCCCTACTCCATATTGAGGGGGTCTCCAAGTCCCCTATTGCGGAGGTCTCTGGGAATCCCCCCACCCCCGCAGCGCTCCCCCTTCGCGGCCGCGCCGCCACTTTGCGGAGCCCAAGGGGAGGACAGCTGCAGTACCAGGGGCGGGGCCGCGGGCCGTCCGTCAGCACGGCGGCGCCCCTGATTGGCCAGCGCCGCCCCCCTCCCGCGGACGCGGGCATATGAGGAGGCGGAGGCGGCGGCCGCCGCAGCCTCTGTGCGGTGGGACCAACGGACGGACGGACGGACGCGCGCACCTACCGAGGCGCGGGCGCTGCAGAGGCTCCCAGCCCAAGCCTGAGCCTGAGCCCGCCCCGAGGTCCCCGCCCCGCCCGCCTGGCTCTCTCGCCGCGGAGCCGCCAAGATGGGGGTAGGTGCTGAGCCGGCTGGGCGCCGCTTCCGTGTGACATTGTGGGGCCGGTGACATTGGGTGTGCGCGGGGGGCGGGGGCACCGGGACCCCTGCGCTCCGGGGCCAGGCCTGCGAGACCCGGGGAGCCGGCTGACCCAGCCAATCCATGTGGTCGTGGGGCCGCAGGGGGCGGCGGGGGGTCTGTGGCGCACGTTGGCATGGCTTTGTGTGCGGAGATCCGCGAGGTTGTGGGCCAGCCCTCAGCATCTCCGCCTGACCTTGTGCGGTTGCATGTGCACAGTTGCATGTGCGTATGAGAGCTGCTGGCTCTGTCAGGCCCTGGCAGCGAGTGTGTGGGCCCCGTGGTGTCTGAAAGTCTGCGATCGCGTCTGGGTGTGTCTGTGAGAGCTCGTGTTAGTGCGTCTGGGGTTATTGAGGCCCCCCTGCTTCCCTGGCAGGGTGCGGATAGGTCCACGTTGTGGGATGGACACCAGATGACCTCTCTTTCTCCTTCCAGGCCTGGATGGGGGGACTCCGCAGTGTGTGTGTGTGTGTGTGTGTGTGTGTGTGTGTGTGTGTGTGTGTGTGCAGGCTCCGCAGTGTCGCAGCCTGGGGCTGCAGTGTGTGTGTGTGCAGCCCCTCATGTAGGGGAGCAGGCATGGGAGGCTGGGAGGAGGAGAGGAACAGGAGAGCCACGGTGGGGAGACTGAGTGCACAGCTGAGGGTGTGCGTGTGCAACTGTGTAGTGGGGAGCGTGCATGCCTGGCTGTGTCCTTGCCTCTGTGTCCGTGTGTCCTTGTCTGTCTGTGAGTCTCTCCAGCAGATGCCGCCTCCCTCCCTGGCTGACCACCTGACCCTTGCTGCAGCCCTGGATTCCTCCCTGTGTGTCTGGGGCGGGGCTGAAGGGAGGGGGAATCAGGAGAGGAGGGGGTGGGTGGGGGTAGGTGGGATGAAGAGGGCGGGAGAGGCCAGTGGAGGGAGAATAGGAGGGCTGGGGAGAAAGATGGCGGATAAAGGCTGATGGGCCCAGGGATGGAGGTGGGGGATGGGGCTGCAGATCTGTGGGGTGGGGCAGGGTGGGCCGGGGGGCTGGGAAGGAGGATTGGGTTGGGGCAGGACTAGGGGAGAGAAGGGAGAAAGGGGTAGTCAGTGATGGCTGTCAGGTAAGTGGGATGGAGGGAGGGAAGCTGTGGATGGATTGGGAGAAGACTGATGCTAAAAGCCCTAGAGAAGGAAGTTAGAGGGAGGTGGTCTTAGGAAACGGAGTGGGGACGAGAGGAGAAATGAAGGCAGCTTAGACATGGGAAGGAAAGACAGAGACACATGGAAAGACAGAGATGCTCTGAAAGAGACAGAGAAAGAGACATGGACATAGAGACAAAGAGACAGAGACAAGCAGAGAGACATGGCTGAGACACATGGAGAGACATTGAGAGAGAAAATGAGAAACTGAGGCTCAGAGGAAGAGACACAAGGACAGATATTTCCTATCTAGCGGCAACCACAGTCAGCCTGAGGGACAGGAAGAGGAGGCAGAGGGCAAAGGGGGAGGTCAAGGGAGGGATGGTCAGAGATGTGGGCCAGGTCCCCTGCGAGGGGGAAGGGAGGCCGGCCCAGGCGCAGAGGCTGCGGGAGCTGGCACCAGATCAGGGAGAGGCGGACAGCATGGAAAATGGCAAGGAGCTGCAGAGGCGGCCACAGCGAGACAGGCATGGTCCCCACCCTTGGAGGTGCTCCCACCCCGCAGCGCGCCCATCTGGGCCTCCTGCCTTGACTGGGAAAGCCTCAGCTGTGCACTCCAACAGATGGGAGCCTGCTCCCCAAGGGGGTCTGGCTGTGTCAAGGGCAAGCAGGAGCCAAGGCCAGGGCCAGGGTGAGCCAGGAGTCCCAGGGTCCCGGTCCCTCCTCCCTCAGACCAGGAGTCCAGGCCCCAGCCCCTCCTCCCTCAGATCCAGGAGTCCAGGCCCCAGCCCCTCTTCCCTCAGACCAGGAGTCCAGGCCCCAGCCCCTCCTCCCTCAGACCAGGAGTCCAGGCCCCAGCCCCTCCTCCCTCAGATCCAGGAGTCCAGGCCCCAGCCCCTCCTCCCTCAGATCCAGGAGTCCAGGCCCCAGCCCCTCTTCCCTCAGACCAGGAATCCAGGCCCCAGCCCCTCCTCCCTCAGACCCAGGGGTCCAGGCCCAGCCCCTCCTCCCTCAGACCCAAGGGTCCAGCCCCAGCCCCTCCTCCCTCAGACCCAGGAGTCCAGGCCCTGGCCCCTCCTCCCTCAGACCCAGGATTCCAGGCTCCCAGTCCTTCCTCCCTCAGACCCAGGGGTCCAGACCCCTGCCCCTCCTCCCTCAGACCCAGGGATCCAGGACCCCAGCCTCTCTCAGTATCTGAGAGTCCGGCCCAGCCCTTAGCATTTATGGGGCCCCGAGCATCAGCTCCCAGCCTTCAACTAAGGTTTCTGGGTGGGCAGCTGATTTTCTCCCTCTCTCTCTCCTGACCCCCATCTCACCCCTCTCCTGGCCTCCTGCACAGGACTTGACCCCAGGCCTTTGTAGCTCCACATCTCTCCATCTCTCCATGTCTCTCCATCCTGGGTCTACCCCATCGGGCAAAGCTGAGACCACCCCGGCACTGTAGGGCAGTAGGAAAGATGGTCTCCCCGTCCCCCAAGCCTCTGTGCCTCCGCATCTGAGACGCAGTGCTGCTGCAGGGCTGGCGTGGGGCCAAGCCTCCCTCCCACCCCCTGCACCCCTTCTTGAGGCTCCCAGATCTCCAGGCTGCTGCCCCTCCCTGCACACCCCCACCCTCCGACTCAGCCTCTGGGTCTGGGGGCAGACAGCAGGCAGCTCAGGCCCTCTACAAGGTCACGAGGAGATTAGCGCTGAGCCGCGCTGAGCCTCCGATCCCAGCTTGGCCCTGGGCCTGCGGGACCTGTCAGCGGCCCCTGCAGCACCCAGCCTCGCCCCACCCCTCCCACCAGCCTCGGACACTGCCCTCCCCATCCGCCCAGGCTCCCAAACTGGAACTTCAGGGACTCACACCATGCGCAGTTCAAGCCAGGACTAGGGCTTCTGCCTCTAACTCTCCTGCTCTGTCCTCCAGGAACCTGGCCATGCCCAGCCTCTGTTAAGGACGCTCCATGGGCCCAACACATGGAAGATCCCAGAGAGAGGCAGAGACAGAGATAGAGGAAGGTACCAGAGGGAGACAGTGAGAGAGACAGAGACAGAGAGACATAGACAGAGATAGAGAGGCAGATTCCAGAGACAGAGAGAGGAGATCTCAGAGAGACAGAAATAGAGAATAAGATCCCAGAGAGAAAGTGAGAGAAAGAGACAGAGAGAGAGAGGAAGATCCCAGAGACAGACAGCGAAAGAGAGAGGAAGATCCTACAAAAAGAGACAGATATATATATATATATATATGGACAGAGAGAGAGAGAAAGAGAGAGAGAGATTGAGGAGAGCCCAGAGAGAGACAGTGGGAGAAAGAGAGACAGAGAGGAAAATTCCAGGATGAGGTAGTAAGAGAGAGAAAGAGAATGAGAGATATATGGGGAAGGAGGGGGACGGAAGATTTGAGAGAGACAGAGAGAGGGAGAGAGAGAAAGAGAATGAGAGATATATGGGGAAGGAGGGGGACGGAAGATTTGAGAGAGACAGAGAGAGGGAGAGAGAGAAAGAGAATGAGAGATATATGGGGAAGGAGGGGGACGGAAGATTTGAGAGAGACAGAGAGAGGGAGAGAGAGAGAGAGAAAGAGAAAGAGAGGAGATCTTAGTGATAGTGAGAGAGAAAGAGAGATTCAGAGATAGAGAGGAGATCCCAGAGAGAGAGAGTGGGAGAGAGACAGAGATAGGCAGATCCCAGAGAGAGATATTAGAGAGACAGAGAGAGAGACAGAGAGAGGTTGAAACAGGAAAAGAGACAGGTAGGGAGAGATGTGAGCATCCCAGAGGAGACAGCTTGAGAGATGAAGATAGAGACACAATGACAGAGAGAGACAGACCGAAAGACGGAAAAAGACAGAGACAGAAAGTACTGATCCTTGAGACGCCAACTCAGAGGGAAATAAGAACCCAGAGAGACAGAAACTCAGCCAGACCTGGGGAGACACAGCCAAGAGATGGAGACAGACATCATGCAAGGCAGAGAGACAAAGAACCAGAGATCAGAGAGAGACAAAATCATAGAAAGACACATGCAGAGAGACCCAGAGACTGGGATCAGGATAGAGAATGACAGAGACAACATAAAGAGATCAGAGCGATAGAGAGAGAGAGAGAGCTATCAAGAGAGAGAAACAGCCTTGCAAAGACAGAGATACAGAGATGGAGAGATAAAGAGACAGGAGACAGAGAGATGATGAAACAAAGCAATAAGACCAAGAGCCAAAAACAGACCTGGAGATACACATCAAGGGAGACAGACAGAGGAGAAAGAGATGGAGATACACGTGGAGACATAGAAAAGACAGATACGAGGCCGGGCACGGTGGCTCACGCCTGTAATCCCAGCACTTTGGGAGGCCGAGACGGGCGGATCACGAGGTCAGGAGATTGCGACCATCCTGGCTAACACAGTGAAACCCTGTCTCTACTAAAAATACAAAAAAATGAGCCGGGCGTAGTGGCGGGCGCCTGTAGTCCCAGCTACTCGGGAGGCTGAGGCAGGAGAATGGCGTGAACCTGGGAGGCGGAGCTTGCAGTGAGCTGAGATCATGCCACTGCACTCCAGCCTAGGCGACTAAGCGAGACTCCGTCTCAAAAAAAAAAAAAAAAAAAAGACAGATATGTAGGAAGGTTGGACAGGGCCAGGGAGAGGGAAGAAGAGACAGAAGCAGAGTTAAAATGTCACATAGAGGTGGGGCACGGTGGCTTATTCCTATAATCCCAACAGTTTGGGAGGCTAAAGCAGGAGGATCGCTTGAGTCCAGGAGTTAGAGACCAGCCTGGGCAGTGTAGTGAGACCCCATTTCTAGAAAAAAATTAAAAATTAGCCGGGCGTGGTGGCACACACCTGTAGTCCCAGCTACACAGGAGGCGGAGGCGGGAGGATCACCTGAGCCTCAGAAGTCGAGGCTGCAGTGAGCTGTGATTGCTGCACTCCAGCCTGGGCATCAGAGTGAGACATTGTTTCAAAAAACGAAAACAAAGTCACATAGACACAGAACACAAAAGGGGAGAGCCCCGCAAAGATGGGCACAGAAACAGAGAGAGACTGAAACACAGGCAGAAGCCAGACAGGGACCTTCGGGGACAGAGACTCAGAGACACACAGAACCAGAGACAGGGAAGCTGATTGCAGCAGATGAGACTCACGAGGCCTGAGAGTCACCAGAGGCAGAAGGGAGGTGAAGTCACCCAGAGGCTCCGGGAGACACAGGGAGACCCCGAGAGGCAGACAGAGACCCCCCACCCAGAGATGCAGGGGCACCGGCCAGGAGGATAGCTGGGGCATGGAGGGCCGGTGTCCTCCTGGAACCCCTTCTCGCCCGCAGTCTGGTGGCTCTGACAGCTATCGTATCGCCACCTCGCAGGACAAGAAAGATGACAAGGACTCACCCAAGAAGAACAAGGGCAAGGAGCGCCGGGACCTGGATGACCTCAAGAAGGAGGTGGCTATGGTAAGCCTCGCCCTCTGCCCGCACACCCTCCCAGAGAACCTCGCCAGTTCTTGGCTGGCCTAGGCACTCACCGTCTCCCCCAAACTCCTGTTCCTCAGACAGAGCACAAGATGTCAGTGGAAGAGGTCTGCCGGAAATACAACACAGACTGTGTGCAGGTGTGGCCAGGCTGTGGGCTGGGACCCTGGGAACTAGGGAGGAGGAGCTGGGGGCTAGGACCCCTGGGTCTGAGGGAGGAGGGGCTGTGGCTGGTGTCTTAAGTTCTGGGGGTCTGGTGAAGGCCTGGGGTGCCAGGGTTGCCCAGGGAGGGTTCTGTGTGAGTCCTCTGTCCCTCAGGGTTTGACCCACAGCAAAGCCCAGGAGATCCTGGCCCGGGATGGGCCTAACGCACTCACGCCACCGCCTACCACCCCAGAGTGGGTCAAGTTTTGCCGGCAGCTCTTCGGGGGCTTCTCCATCCTGCTGTGGATCGGGGCTATCCTCTGCTTCCTGGCCTACGGTATCCAGGCGGGCACCGAGGACGACCCCTCTGGTGACAACGTGAGTGCCTGGACCCTGCCCTGTGCAAGGCTCTGCACATTTATTTACGGACACCGCACCCCAACTTCTTCCCATCCCTCTAAGCTTTTCACAGCCCACTCTCCCCCTTTTTCCCATCTAACTCACAATCACCCAGCAAGAGAACCAGATCAAATACAAGGCAAACTGAGGCTCAGAAAAGCCAGGCTACTTGTCCAAGGCCCCACAGCAGGATGTGTGAGCCGGGGCTCTGTCCCAAGGCTGTGTGACCTCAGCGGCCTTGAGAACAGACACCAGCAGGTGGTCATGGCTTGACAGATACCCAGAGTGAGTGTCACATAGAGACCCAGGCACACCCCGCTGCTGATACATCAGGGCCCATCCCCATAACACAGGGACACATTCGAGATGCAGCCTCAGATCCCATGCGCATAACACAGACCACACACCAGCCACACAGAGCTGCTCACCTGGGTAGGCGTGTGTGCACACACACGCATGTGCACGGAGGGTCAACGCAGATGCCACACCAGGATGTGGTTTCAAACATGGCCACCTAATTCAGAAACACAGACACAGACTCAGATATACACTGACAGAGAAACTCACACACACACTGACACGCACACACACACACAGCAATGCAGGCATAACCTGGTGACAGAGAGACATGAGAGTCAGGCACAGAGAGTGTCCTCAGATGTTCAAATCTAAACAGTCTTAGACATAAGCTCTCACAGAGAGGCAGAGCTGGAGACACAGAGACAGAGATCCACACACAGAGAACCAAAGAAGCTGCCTTGTAGAATGTAAAGTCAGGCATGCAGCCAGTCAGACAGACACATGGACAGACAGCCGCATCCCAGACTCAACATGTGCAGGAGGACAGACACACACACAAAACAGATGGACAAGTCGGGCATGGTGGCTCACGCCTGTCATCCCAGCACCTTGGGAGGCCAAGGCAGGAGGGTAACTTGAGACCAGGAGTTCCAGTAGCCTGAGTAACATACCCAGACAGACCCAGCCTCTAAAAAAACACAAAACATAGCCGGGCCTGGTGGCGCACACCTGTAGTCCTAGCTACTCCGGAGGCTGAGGAGGGAGGATTGCTTGAATCTGGGAGGTTGAGGCTACAGTGAACTGAGATTGTGCCACTGTACTCCATCCTAGGCAGCAGAGCGAGACCCTGTCTCAAAAAAAAAAAAAAAAAAAAATGCCAGGAAAGATGGCTCACACCTGTAATCCCAGCACTTTGGGAGGCCAAGGTGATAGATCACAAGGTCAGGAGATCAAGACCATCCTAGCCAACATGGTGAAGCCCCATCTCTACTAAAAATACACAAAATTAGCCAGGTGTGGTGGCATGCACCTGTAGTCCCAGCTACTCAGGAGGCTGAGGCAGGAGGATCGCTTGAACCAGGAGGCGGAGATTGCAGTGAGCCAAGATCATGCCATTGCACTCCAGCCTGGGCGACAGAGTGAGACTCTGTCTCAAAAAAAAAATCGACAGACCCTTAGATTCAAACACAACCATTACAGAAAGAGGGACTCAAGCACAAACAGGGGAGACTCAGACACACCAACCCTCATAACCAACCTAGGGTCAGACACACAAATACAGACCCCCACTGACACAAAGCTCCCTTCCCAGACTCCAGGCGAGCAGGGACTGGTGGAGAGTGGCTTGGGCGGCCCCTGATCAACATCCCCACATCTCCCCACAGCTGTACCTGGGCATCGTGCTGGCGGCCGTGGTGATCATCACTGGCTGCTTCTCCTACTACCAGGAGGCCAAGAGCTCCAAGATCATGGAGTCCTTCAAGAACATGGTGCCCCAGGTGAAGGGTGCCCAGCAAGGGGCCAGACGGGGGTGTTAGTGTATGGGCTGGGGGCCGGGCCCAGTGACCCCCAGGCAGAGGGAGTCTGGGAGGTGACATTACTCCATCCCACCTCAGCAAGCCCTGGTGATCCGGGAAGGTGAGAAGATGCAGGTGAACGCTGAGGAGGTGGTGGTCGGGGACCTGGTGGAGATCAAGGGTGGAGACCGAGTGCCAGCTGACCTGCGGATCATCTCAGCCCACGGCTGCAAGGTGGGCCTGGGCCTAGGGCCCGGCTTTACCCTCCCTCGGGCTGCCCAGGAGCTCAGGCCCAGCCCCTCCTCCCTCACACTCAGGAGTCCAGGTCCCAACCCCTCCTCCCTCAGACCCAGGAGTCCAGGCCCCCAGGCCCTCCTCCCTCAGACCCAGGAGTTTAGGCCCTGGGCCACCTCCTCACCCAACAGTCAGGAGTCCAGGCCCAGCCCTCACCTTTCGGAGATCCTTAGGGACCCTAGACCTTGGCCAGCAGCACTGTGCCTTCCCCACCTTCAAGATCCCAGCCTCTGGCCTCCCACACACCACTCACCCACTGGGCACCCAGGCTTCTAGCTGTGATCTCCAGGCACACAGGCTTCAGCCCCAAGCCCTGTACACAAATACCCTCCTGTCCCAGGCCCTGGACTGAACCCTCTCTCTGCTGCACCTACCCCCAGGTGGACAACTCCTCCCTGACTGGCGAATCCGAGCCCCAGACTCGCTCTCCCGACTGCACTCACGACAACCCCTTGGAGACTCGGAACATCACCTTCTTTTCCACCAACTGTGTGGAAGGTGAGGCGGGTGCAGAGAAGACACACAGCTGGGGCAGACACAGGGATGTGTCCCAGGGGGTCAGGCCTCCAGAACCTCCCTGAGCCACCCCACCTCAGCCTAACCCCTCTGGCCTGCAGGCACGGCTCGGGGCGTGGTGGTGGCCACGGGCGACCGCACTGTCATGGGCCGTATCGCCACCCTGGCATCAGGGCTGGAGGTGGGCAAGACGCCCATCGCCATCGAGATTGAGCACTTCATCCAGCTCATCACCGGCGTGGCTGTCTTCCTGGGTGTCTCCTTCTTCATCCTCTCCCTCATTCTCGGATACACCTGGCTTGAGGCTGTCATCTTCCTCATCGGCATCATCGTGGCCAATGTCCCAGAGGGTCTGCTGGCCACTGTCACTGTAAGGCCAGGCTCCTGGGTCTGGGTGGGGAGGGCCTGGGGGTCTGGGCTCCTGGGTCTGAGGGAGGAGGGGCTGGGATCCTGGACCCCTGAGTCTGAGGGAGGAGGGGCTAGAGGCCTGGACCCGTGTGTCTGGGGGAGGAGGGGCTGGGATCTGGACCCCTGGGTCCGGAGAAGGGGCTGGGGGCCTGGATCACAGTATTCTTGTGAAAGACAACTTGGGCCTGACTCAGAGGGCCTCATTAACAAAGCAAACAATCAAAGAAAGAAACAAACAAAAATCTTGAGAAACACTGGCAAGCCGTAAAGAGCCAACAATCCTATTGCAAAATTAAGAAGTGCACGCTCATGATGAAAAGTTGAAGAGTACATCAAGTTAAAAAATAAAATAATGAGGCTGGGTGCACTGGCTCACGCTGTAATCCCAGCACTTTGGGGGGCCAAGGCGGGCAGATCAGCTGAGGTCAGGAGTTCAAGACTAGCCTGGCCAACATGGTGAAACCCTGTCTCTACTGAAAATACAAAATTAGTGGGGCGTGGTGGCACATGCCTGTAATCCCAGCTACTCAGGAGGCTGAGGCAGGAGAATCGCTTGAACCTGGGAGGCGGAGGTTGCAGTGAGCCAAGATCACGCCATTGCACTCCAGCCTGGGTGACAAGAGTGAAACTCCATCTCAAAAATAAATAAATAAATAAATAAAATAAAATAATAAGCCTGGCGCAGTGGCTCACGCCTTTAATCCCAACAGTTTGGGAGGCTGAGGCAGGAGGACTGCTTGAGGTCAGGAGTTTGAGACAAGCCTGGACAACATAGTAAGAACCCATCTCTACCAAAAAATGTGAAGGCTGGGCGCAGTGGCTCATGCCTGTAGTCCCAAGACTTTGGGAGGCCGAGGCGGGTGGATCACCTGAGGTCAGGAGTTCGAGACCAGACTGGCCAACATGGCAAAACCCCATCTCTACTAAAAGTATAAAAATTAGCCAGGCGTGGTGATGGGTGCCTGGAATCCCAGCTACTCAGGAGGCTGAGACAGGAGAATAGCTTGAGCCTAGGAGGCAGAGCTTGCAGTGAGCCGAGATCGTGCCACCTCACTCCAGCCTGGGCGACAAAAGCGAGATTCTGTCTCAAAAAAAAAAAAAAAAAAAAAAAAATTTTTTTAAATTAGCCAGGCGTGGTGGTACATGTCTGTAGTTCCAGCTATTTGGGAGGCTGACCCGGGAGGTTGAGGCTGTAGTGGGCCATGATTGAACCACTGCACTCTAGCCTGTGTGACAGAGGGAGACTCCATCTCAAGAAAATAATAATAATAATAATTATTATAATAATAATAATTATTATTATTATTTTTAAAAATTTTTTCTCTGGCTGCTTTGCTGCCAGCTTCACCCCAGAAGTCCATTCTCTGTGAGGTTCCGCCTGACAGCTGTGAGCATATTGACTAAATGCTGTCTTCAAGGTGCATGGCAGGGACTATCTTAGAAATACCATTCTCCTCTTTCATTCTTTGACTTAATGTTTTATGTGAAGTTTTCCATATTAGGGCCGGGCAGGGTGGCTCACGCCTGTAATCCCAGCACTTTGGGAATCCGAGGTGGGTGGATCACTTGAGGTCAGGAGTTCAAGACCAGCCTGGCCAACATGGCAAAACCCCATCTCTACTAAAAATACAAAAATTAGCCAGGCGTGATGGTGGGCGCCTGTAATCCCAGCTACTTGGGAGGCTGAGGCACAAGAATTGCTTGAACCTGGGAGGTGGAGGTTGCAGTGAGCTGAGATCGAGCCACTGCACTCCAGCCTGGACGACAGAGCAAGACTGTGTCTCAAAAAAAAAAAAAGTTTACTGTTTTCCATATTAGCAATGTTGAATGCTACCCTATGTCAAATGGATTTTTATACGCAAAGGATTAAGCATATTGTGAGCACATAGTCTGATGATTTGGGGCAAACTGAACAGAATCACGTCAGCTGCAACGAGACTGCGTCTCCCTGAAGCCCCCTCAAGACCTTATTTAGCCCCTGCCCCCCAACCCAAGGGTAACCCCTGATCTGGCTGCTAACAGCATAGATTAACTTTGCCTGTGTTCAAACTTCCTATTAACGGAATAATTCAGTATGAACTCATTTCTGGCTCTTTTTGGCTGAACATGTTTTTGACGTTCACCCATGCAGGTGCAGGCAGCAGTAATGTATTTGTTTTTATCAATGTTAGTATTCCATTGTCCACAATTTATCTTTTCTGCTGTTAGTGGACATTTGAGTAGTTTGCAGTTTTGGACAATTTTTTTTTTTTTTGAGTTGGAGTCTCACTCTGTTGCCCAGGCTGGAGTGCAGTGTCACGATTTCGGATCACTGCAACCTCCACCTCCTGGGTTCAAGGGGTTCTCGTGCCTCAGCTTCCCAAGTAGCTGGGATGACAGGAGTGTACCATCATGCCCTGCTAATTTCTGTATTTTTAGTAGGGATGGGGTTTCACCATGTTAGCCAGGCTGGTCTCGAACTCCTGATCTCAAGTGATGCGCCTACCTCGGCCTCCCAAAGTGCTGGGATTACAGGCGTGAGCCACTGCACCTGGCTGTTTTGCACTATTATGCATGTGGCTGCTATGAGCATTCTAGTCCCTGTCTTTGGGTGTCTCTGCCCTGTTTCTATTGGTCTGAATTGGGGGTGGCATTGCTGGGTGCTGCCTCATTCTTTTCCAGGCCCTCAGGATTCTCTGGGGGCTGGGCAGCTGGGCTGTGGCCCTCGTGTCGCTCATCCAACCCTGCTGCCGGGCTTGTCCCTGTAACTTGCCTGCCCTTGCTCGTCCTCCAGGTGTGTCTGACGCTGACCGCCAAGCGCATGGCCCGGAAGAACTGCCTGGTGAAGAACCTGGAGGCTGTAGAAACCCTGGGCTCCACGTCCACCATCTGCTCAGATAAGACAGGGACCCTCACTCAGAACCGCATGACAGTCGCCCACATGTGGTTTGACAACCAGATCCACGAGGCTGACACCACTGAGGACCAGTCAGGTGAGCGCAGGCCCCGGGTGAGGACCATGGGGGCCTGGCTCCAGGAGTCCCTGGCCCTCACACATGCCTCCCCCAGGGACCTCATTTGACAAGAGTTCGCACACCTGGGTGGCCCTGTCTCACATCGCTGGGCTCTGCAATCGCGCTGTCTTCAAGGGTGGTCAGGACAACATCCCTGTGCTCAAGGTGGGTTCAGCTACTGGCCTCACCTCGGCCCTGCCTGTGTCCTCCCCTCAGCTGTCCCTGTTCTGACAACCCTTTCTCCTTGCAGAGGGATGTGGCTGGGGATGCGTCTGAGTCTGCCCTGCTCAAGTGCATCGAGCTGTCCTCTGGCTCCGTGAAGCTGATGCGTGAACGCAACAAGAAAGTGGCTGAGATTCCCTTCAATTCCACCAACAAATACCAGGTACTCTGGGCTTTCCGGGAGAGCCAGCCTGGACCTCAGGTTCCTTATGACGCCTGTAAAGAGGTGTCATAGAGCCTTGATTTTCCCGTCTGTAAAATGGGAATGATAATACCCGCCTGGTGGGGAGAGGAACAGGGAGAGCTTGAGAGTGGGAGCCGGATCTCTGTTGGAGTGAGACGCTGAGGAGTAAAGATCTTCCTGCAGGCCAGGCGCGGTGGCTCACACCTTTAACACCAGAACTTTGGGAGGCTGAGGTGGGGGGATCACTTGAGGCCAGGAGTTCGAGACGAGCCTGGGCAAGATGGCAAAACCCCATCTGTACGAAATTTTTTTTTTAATTAGCCAGGTGTGGTGGTATGTGCCTGTGGTCTCAGCGATTTGGGAGTCTGAGGCAGGAGGATTGCCTGAGCCGGGGAGGTTGGGGCTGCAGAGAGCCTACATCACGCACTGTACTCCAGCCTGGGTGACAGAGCAAGACCCTGACTCAAAAAAAAAAAAAAAGTTTTCCTACAGCAGAGAGTGGGAACAAGCAGGAGACCTCTTGGGGCAGAGCAGCAACTTTAAATTATTCAGCAAACTTTTTTTTTTTTTGAGACAGAGTTTCGCTCTGTCACCCAGGCTGGAGTGCAGTGGCGCGATCTCAGCTCACTGCAAGCTCCACCTCCCGGGTTCACACCATTCTCCTGCCTCAGCCTCCAGAATAGCTGGGACTACAGGCGCCCGCCACCATGCCCAGCTAATTTTTTGTATTTTTAGTAGAGACGGGGTTTCACCGTGTTAGCCAGGATGGTCTCGATCTCCTGACCTCGTGATCTGCCCGCCTCAGCCTCCCAAAGTGCTGGGATTACAGGCATGAGCCACCGCGCCCGGCCTCAGTAAACTTTTTTTTGAGATGGAGTCTTGCTCTGTCGCCCAGGCTAAAAGGCAGTGGTGTGATCTTGGCTCACTGCAACCTCTGTCTCTGGGTTCAAGTGATTCTCATATCTCAGCCTCCCGAGTAGCTGGAATTAGAGGCGTGCACCACCACACCCAGCTAGTTTTTGTATTTTTAGTATTGATGGGGTTTCATCATGTTGGCCAGGCTGGTCTTGAACTCCTGACCTCAAGTGATCCACCCACCTCGGCCTCCCAAAGTGCTGGGATTACAGGCATAAGCCATCATGCCCGGCCCATTCAGTATACATTTTTTGACCAGCCACCACATGTTAGGCCCTGTTTTGGGTGCTGGGTGTACACACAGTAGTGAGTGACATGGTGAAGTCACCCCTCTCTGAGACTTACGCTCTGGTTCTAGAAGACAGACAATAACAAAGGCATGAGGAGGTAATCGTAGTGGTTGTGGTGCTGAGGGAGGGAACCCTGCAGGTGTCTGGGGGAAGAGCGCTCCGGTAGCAGGCACAGCCTGTGCAAAGGCCCAGAGGCGGGAGTGTGCTGACGCATCTGAACACCAGCCAGCCAGCCAGTGCAGAGGGGCTGGGAGCCAGGGAGCGTGGTGGGGGTGGTGGGTGCTGGCCAGATCCTGTCAGGCCCCACGGGCATGGAGAGGACTTGGCTGTGACTCTGAGGAGCACACAAGCCTCCAGGGGGCTCTCAGCCAAAGAGAGACAGGAGTTGACTCAGAGCTTTTAAAATAACTTTATTAAGATATAATTAACATACCATAGCTCGTCCCTCTAAGTGTATAATTTAATAGTTTTAGTATATTCGCAGATATAGGCAGCCATCCACATAGTCAATTTTAGAGCATTTTCATCACCTCCAAAAAGAAACCCCACATCTCTCAGCTGTCACCCGCCCCCTCCTCCCCGACACTCCCAGCCCTAAGCAACCACTAACCTACTTTCTGTCCGTATGGTTTTGCCTATTCTGGACATTTCATAAAAATGGAAGCATACAGCTGGGTGTGGTGGCTCACGCCTGTAATCCCAGCACTTTGGGAGACCGAGGCAGGAGGATCGCTTGAACTCAGGAGATGGAGACCAGCGTGGGCAACATAGGGAGAGCATGTCTCTATAAAAAATTAGCCAGGCATGGTGGTGTGGACCTGTGGTCCCAGCTACGTGGGAGACCGAAGCGGGAGGATCGCATGAGCCTGGGAGATCAAGGCTGCAGTGAGCTGTGATCTCGCCACTGTTCTCCAGCCTGGGTGACAGAGTGAGACCCTGTCTTAAAAAAAAAAAACAGGGTGGGAGGAGGGGAGCACAGACGTGGTGGCTTATGCCTGTTATCCCAGCACTTTGAGAGGCCGATGAGGGCAGATCACTTGAGGCCAGGAGTTCAAGACCAGCCTGGCCAACATGGCAAAATCCCGTCTCTACTAAAAATACAAAAGTTAGCTGGGTGTGGTGGTGGTGCCTGTAATCCCAAGCTACTCCGGAGGCTGAGGCAGGAGAATTGCTTGAACCCAGGAGGTGGAGGTTGCAGTGAGCTGAGATCGTGCCACTGCACTCCAGCCTGGGCAACAGAGCGAGACTCTGTCTCAAAAAAAAAAGAAAAAAGAAAAAAAGAAAAAGAAAAAGAAATATATATCCATGACATAGACAGAGCGGACAGGAATGAGCAGAGGTCTCTGTGAGAGAGTGTGGGGGAGCCCTGGTGTGGGCCTATCCTGGCACCCGTGGCTCTGGACAGGGGACAGGATGGGGCAGGGAGCTTCCTGGTGTCTGCGTGGCTCAGGCACGCCACCCTCTGATCGGTCCCCAGCTCTCCATCCATGAGACCGAGGACCCCAACGACAACCGATACCTGCTGGTGATGAAGGGTGCCCCCGAGCGCATCCTGGACCGCTGCTCCACCATCCTGCTACAGGGCAAGGAGCAGCCTCTGGACGAGGAAATGAAGGAGGCCTTCCAGAATGCCTACCTTGAGCTCGGTGGCCTGGGCGAGCGCGTGCTTGGTGCGAGGCTGCCGGGCGGGCTCTGGGGTCCCTGGAGGGCAAGGAGGGTTGTGATGCTGCCCAAAGCCTGTCTCAGCCCAGGGCCTCCCAGAATATACTGTAAATGAATGAATGAATGAATGAATGGATGGATGAGAGGGGAAGGTATCCTAGGAAATGAATGCTGACTGGCCGTCTTGCTGATGGGGAGATGGAATGCGGGCGATGCAGACATCTAGGGGCATGGGGCGGAGGTTCCGAGGCTGGGACCCTCACACCCCAACCCTTCCCTGCCACTAGGTTTCTGCCATTATTACCTGCCCGAGGAGCAGTTCCCCAAGGGCTTTGCCTTCGACTGTGATGACGTGAACTTCACCACGGACAACCTCTGCTTTGTGGGCCTCATGTCCATGATCGACCCACCCCGGGCAGCCGTCCCTGACGCGGTGGGCAAGTGTCGCAGCGCAGGCATCAAGGTGTGGCTTGGGGTGGCTGGGGGAGGCAAAGCCAGGCGTGGGGCGGGAGAGGCCATCCCTAAAAAACAATGCCTGCAGGTCATCATGGTCACCGGCGATCACCCCATCACGGCCAAGGCCATTGCCAAGGGTGTGGGCATCATCTCTGAGGGCAACGAGACTGTGGAGGACATCGCCGCCCGGCTCAACATTCCCGTCAGCCAGGTTAACCCCCGGTGAGCCACCCATCCCAGCCAGGGCCCTGGACATCCCTCTAGGGTGTTGACACAGGGGGACCGCTTCCCCCCAACCTCCCTCTGCACTGCCTGTCCCATTCTTTCTGGGACTCCTCCATGGACCAGGCCCTGGGTCTGGCCCTCCCTCCGGTGTGGGGACATTGCAGCCACAGAGGTAGCCAGGCATAGGTTTGCATCCCAGCCTTTATTTTATTTTATTTATTTATTTATGTTTTTGAGATGGAGTCTTGCTCTGTCGCCCAGGCTGGAGTGCAGTGGGGCAACCTCAGCTCACTGCAGCCTCCGCCTCCCGGGTTCAAGCAATTATCTGCCTCAGCCTCTTGAGTAGCTGGGATTACAGGGGCCCTCCACCATGCCCCGCTAATTTTTTTTTTTTTTTTTTGTATTTTTAGTAGAGACGGGGGTTTCACTATGTTGGCCAGGCTGGTCTCGAACTCCTGACCTCAGGTGGTCCACCTGCCTTGGCCTCCCAAAGTGCTGGGATTACAGGCGTGAGCCACTGCGCCCGGCCTGCATTCCAGCTTATACCGCTCACAAGCTGTGTGACATTGGGCAAGTCCTTTAGCATCCATGAACTTCAGTTTGCCCATCTCTAAAATGGGCTACTAATAATTCCTATCTCAGAGGATTCAGTAGAATCCAGTACTTCTGTGTCTGTCTCTCTTTTTTCCTGTCTGTCTGTCATTGTCTCTCTTTTCTGTTCTGTTTTTCTGACTTCTTCAACTTTCCCATCCTCATACCTATCTCTGACTCTGCCTTCCTTCAGCTTGTCCATTTATCTCCGTTCCTCTGAATCCACTGTGTCTTGGCTGGGCGCAGTGGCTCACGCCTGTAATCCCAGCATTTTGGGAGGCCGAGGTGGGTGGATCACTTGAGGTCAGGAGTTCGAGAGCAGCCTGGCCAACATGGCAAAACCCCATCTGCACTAAAAATTAAAAAAAAATTAGCCAGGCGTGGTGGTGGGCACCTGTAATCCTATCTACTAGGGAGGCTGAGACAGGAAAATCACTTGAACCCAAGAAGCAAAGGTTGCAGTGAGCCGAGATTGCGCCACTGCACTCCAGCTTGGGTGACAGAGCGAGACTCCATCTCAAAAATAAATAAATAAATAATAAATAAATAAATAAATAAATCCACTGCCCCAAAGTCCTTCCTCAGGTCTGCCCGCACGCCCTGCTGCAGTAGCCCCCTTCTCCCCTGCTTCTCCCAGAGGCCTCTTCCCCCAGCCCCTGGTCCTCTGGCTCTCCTGGTTGTGGGGCTGGCCCCTCTGTTTCTCTGTCTTTCAGGGATCACTTTGCCACTCCTCACACACCCTGACCTCAGCCATCGCTCTCTCTGCTCTTCCCAGGGATGCCAAGGCCTGCGTGATCCACGGCACCGACCTCAAGGACTTCACCTCCGAGCAAATCGACGAGATCCTGCAGAATCACACCGAGATCGTCTTCGCCCGCACATCCCCCCAGCAGAAGCTCATCATTGTGGAGGGCTGTCAGAGACAGGTGGGCTGCGCTCCCGCAGAGGAGGGGACGGGGCCTTGACTCCTGGGTCCTCACTGAGGCCGGGGCCTGGTTTCCTGGGTCTGAGGGAGGAGGGGCTGGGGGTCTGGACCCCTGGGTCTGAGAGAGGAGGGTCTGGGGGCCTGGACTCCTGGGTCTGAGGGAGGAGGGGGCTGGGGACCTGGACCCTTGGGTCTGAGGGAGGGGGCCTGGACTTCTGGGTATGAGGGAAGAGGGGATAGGGGCCTGAACTCCTGGGTCTGAGGGAGGAGGGGGTGGGGGCCTGGACCCTTGGGTCTGAGGGAGGAGGGGCTGGGGGCCTGGACCCCTGGGTCTGAGGGAGGAGGGTCTGGGGGCCTGGACTGCTGAGTCTGAGGGAGAAGGAGGCTGGGGGCCTGGACCTCTGGGTCTGAGGGAGGAGGGTCTGGGGGTCTGGACCCCTGGGTCTGAGGGAGGAAGGTCTGGAGGCCTGAACTCCTAGGTCTGAGGGGAAGAGGAGGTTGGGGACCTGAACTTCTAGGTCTGAAGGAGGAGGGGGCTGGGGTCCTGGGCTTCTGGATCTGAGGGAGGGGACTCTGGGGACTGGCCTCTGGGTGTCATCCTTACCCTCTCTCCCTCCAGGGTGCAATTGTGGCTGTGACCGGGGATGGTGTGAACGACTCCCCCGCTCTGAAGAAGGCCGACATTGGGGTGGCCATGGGCATCGCTGGCTCTGACGTCTCCAAGCAGGCAGCTGACATGATCCTGCTGGACGACAACTTTGCCTCCATCGTCACAGGGGTGGAGGAGGGTGAGTTGGCCAGGGGTGGCCCTGGAGACCAGGGTCACTACCGGAGGCCTGAGACCAGCAAGGGGAACTGGCCAGGGCTGCAGGGGGATGTGTGGCAGAGACCACAGGCCCCCTGGCCCTGGAGGAGCCTGAGCCTGTCCTTTTCTGTCTTCCTCCCCTGTGGGGTCGGGAGCTCCCCTGGGCAGGACTGAGCTGACACACTTCAGGGTCCCTGCGTCATCCAGCCCAGGCCCCATCTGGTGGGTGAAGCTGACTTGGAGGCTTTTTAAAGATATTCTCAGCCAGGGGCGGCAGCCACGCCTGTAATCCCAGCACTTTGGAAGGCTGAAGCAGGCAGATCATGAGGTCAGAAGATCGAGACCATCCTGGCTAACATGGTGAAACCCCGTCTCTACTAAAAATACAAAAAATTAGCCGGGCATTGTGGCGGTTGCCTGTAGTCCCAGCTACTCGGGAGGCTGAGGCAGGAGAATTGCTTGAACCCAGGAGGTGGAGGTTGCAGTGAGCTGAGATTGCGCCACAGCACTCCAGCCTGGGGGACAGAGCGAGACTCCGTCTCAAAAAAAAAAAAAAATTCTCAAGCCCAACCAGGGGGAAGCCAGGGACCCTGGGGGATACCCCCTCTGCCAGCCTGGGCTGGGGGTCAAGGGAGCTTCCCAGAGTGGACAGGGATGGCTGAGCCAAGTCAGGGGCCATGCTGTGACGTCCACATAGACTAGTGCCAGGGAGTCGCAGGCAGAGGAACCGGTACACAGGCAAGGCGGTGTGAGGGGCTGGGTCTGAGGCTGGTGCTGCTGAGCCGACAGGCACCACCTCCTGACAGGCCCAGACAAGGCCACAGAAGGGTTGGTTCACATTCAGATTTATTTTGATCATCAAATTAATTCATGATAATCATAGACAAATGCAGAAAAGCATTCAGGAAAAAAGTAGAATCACCCGTAACCTCGCCATCCAGAAATAATCACGGTTCATGCCTTGGTGGATTTTCTTCCAATTTCTCTCTCCTATTTGAAATGTCTCTGGTGTAAAAAGTAGTTCATGGTAAAAGAGAATTCAAACGGCAAAGCCGAGCCCAGAGTAACAGATTAAATGTCCTCAGCCCTTGTCTCCTATATCCCAGAGGAAACCATGGTTAACACCTTCTTATCTCCCAAGAGACATCTTTTTTTGGGGGCTGGGGGCGGGGATAGAGTCTCAATCTGTCACCCAGGATGGAGTGCAGTGGCACAATCACGGCTAACTGCAGCCTCCACCTCCGGGACTTAATCGATCCTCCTGCCTCAGGCCCCTAAGTAGCTGAGACTACAGGTATGCACCATCACACCTGGCTGATTTTTAAGATTTTGTAGAGATGGGGTTTCGCCATGTTGCCCAGACTAGTCTTTCTTTTTTTTTGAGACAGAGTCTTGCTCTGTCACCCAGGCTGGAGTACAGGCATGCAATCTCGGCTTACTGTAGCCTCCACCTCCTGGGTTCAAGCAATTCTCCTGCTTCAGCCTCCCGAGTAGCTAGAATTACAGGTGCATGCCACCACACCAGGCTAATTTTTGTATTTTTAGTAGAGATGGGGTTTCACCATGTTAGCCAGGCTGGTCTTGATCTCCTGACCTGAAGTGATCCCCGCACCTTGGCCTCCCAAAGTGCTGGGATTGCAGGGGTGAGCCACCTCGCCCAGCGAGGTCTTCAACTCCTGGGCTCAAGCAATCCTCCCACCTTGGCCTCCCAATTTGCTGGGATTACAGGCATGAGCCACCACGCCTGGCCTCCCCAAGACATCTATGCATACACAGTACACACACTGTCTCAGATACAGCCGTCTGCTCCTTCCGAATCTTGTGCATCATGCTGGAAGCCTGGGAGGCAGCTGTGAGCAGAGCAGACACCATCCCTGTTCTCACAGGGCTGGAGAGACAGCCTTAAACAAGTTAACAGATATGTAATTACAAATTGTGATATATGCCCCGAAGAAAGCAGGCCGCTGTGATAGATAATAGTGAGGGTCCTGCCCAGATGGGGTGGACAGGGAAGGCCTCTCTGAAGTGAGGGAAGAAATACCTAACTTCCGTCAGGGGCCAGGCACGGGGGCTCACGCCTGTAATCCCAGCACTTTGGGAGACCAAGGCGGGAGGATCGCTTGAGCCCAGGAGTTCAAGACCTGCCTGTACAACAAATTAAGACCTCAAAGATCAAAAAATTTTAAAAATTAGCAGGGCGTGGTGTTGCACACCTGTAGTCTCAGAGACTTGGGGGGCTGAGGCAGGAGGATCACTTGAGCCTGGGTGGTCGAGGCTGCCATGAACCATGATGGTGCCACTGCACTCCAGCCTGGGATAGAGCGAGATCCGAGACCCTGTCTCAAACAAACAAACAAAATAACTTCCAACGGGGGCATTCCAGATATACCCAAAAGTAAAGCAAAGGCACAGTGGGCCCCTGCGCCTCCATCCCACCTGCAGCGGCAGTCAGCGCACGGCACACCTTGTTTCTTCCCCACCACCTGGAACACACACTGGATTATGCTGATGCACATTTGTCACCATTTCATCCATAAATAGTTTAGGATGAGAAACCCCTAGTTTGTGGAGAAGAGCACAATGCAGGGAACGAGAATATCAGGTGGGAGCGGCCCAGGCCCTTATTGCTATGCAAGAGACATCAAAGCAATCAAAGAAGCCACACCACAGGCAGCCTGCTTCACCTTCCCTTCCCTCCCTCCCTCCCTTCCTCCCTCCCTCCGTCCCTGCCTGCCTGCCTTCCTTCCTTCTTTCCTTCCTTCCTTCCTTCCTTCCTTCCTTCCTTCCTTCCTTCCTTCCTTCCTTCCCCTTCCTTCCTTCCTTCCCCCTCCCCTCCCCTCCCCTTTTTTTGATGGAGTCTTGCTCTGTTGCCAGGCTGGAGTGCAGTGGCGTGATGTTGGCTCACTGCAACCTCCACCTCCCAGCTTCAAGCGATTCTTCTGCCTCAGCTTCCCACATAGCTGGAACTACAGGCACACACCACCACTCCCAGCTAATTTTTTGTGTTTTAGTAGAGATGGGGTTTCACCATGTTGGCCAGGATAGTCTCGATCTCCTGACCTCGTGATCCACCCGCCTCAGCCTCCCAAAGTGCTGGGATTACAGGTGTTTGCCACCGTGCCCGCCTGTTCTTTCTTAATGATTGACCTCATTGTTCATGGGCTAATCTTTTTACTTATTTATTTATTTAGAGACAAGGTCTCACTCTGTTGCCCAGGCTGGAGCGCAGTGCTGCAATCATCAGTCACTGCAACCTCGACCTCCTCAAGTGATCCTCCCACCTCAGCCTCCCAAGTAGCTGCGACCACAGGCTCGAGCCACCGTGCCTGACTAATGTTTATTTTATTTTATTTTATTTTTTTGAGATGGAGTCTTGCTCTGTTGCCCAGGCTGGAGTGCAATGGCACAATTGCGGCTCACTGCAACGTCTGCCTCTGAGGTTCAAATGATTCTCCTGCCTCAGCCTCCCAAGTAGCTGGGGTTACAGGTGCCCACCACCACGCCCAGCTAATTTTTGTATTTTTAGTAGAGATGGGGTTTCATCATGTTGGCCAGGCTGGTCTTGAACTCTTGATCTCAGGCAATCCTCCTGCTTCGGTCTCCCAAAGTGTTGGGATTACAGGTGTGAGCCCCAGCGCCTGGCCTGGATTAATCTTTATTTTGTTTACTTTAGACAACCTGTACTGGTTGAATATTTATTGAGATATGGCATGCATACAGTGAGTTGGGCATATTATATCTCATTAAAATATTCAACCAGACAGGGTGTATAAATTTTTACACATGTACACAGCCATGCAACCACCAGACCCCAGTCAAGATAGAAAACCATTCCAGCCCCCCATTTAGGTTTTGTCTGCTCTCTTCCAGTCTATATCCCTCCTCCTAGACATAACCATTATCCTGACTTTTAGCCCAGAGACGGGTGCTGAGCCTGCTCCAGTTGGAGTTGGATGCTAAGAATGCTTTTGTGTCTGGCTCGTGTCACTCAGCACGGGATCCAAGGTCCAGCTGTGGAGTTGTGTCCGTAGCTCGCCCCTTCTTGCTGTGTAGTATTTGACTGCATGGATGTACCGTGGTTTATTCATCCCTCACCTGTTGATGGACATGGGGTTGACTCTGGCTTTTGGCTCTGATGAGTGGTGCTATGGTGAACATTCTCGTACTTGCTTTTCGCTGGGCATAAACAGTCCTCCTCTCTTTTGGGTATAAAACCTAGGAGTCGGATTACTCGGTCGGTGGGGTGGGGGATGTTTGATAGCAACTCCGAAACCATCTTCCAAAGTGGTTATTTCAAGAATGTTTCCACAAAGGCGATGTGGTTGGATGTTTATGTGGAAAGGTAGGTGGGTGAGGGGCCAGGTGTGGAGACTTATGCCTGTAATCCCAGCACTTCGGGAGGCTGAGATGGAATCACAGCCCAGAAATTAGACAAGCCTAGGAAAAGTGGTGAGACTCTGTCTCTACTAAAAATACAAAAATTAGCTGGACGTGGTGGCGCGTGACTGTAGTCTCAGCTACATGGGAGGCTGAGGCAGGAGGATCACTTGAGCCTGGGAGTCGAGGTTGCAGTGAGCCGTGATCATGCCACTGCACTGCAGCCTGGGCAACAGAGTGAGACCCTGTCCCAAAAAGAAAATAATGGTGGGTGGGCTGGGGGGTAGAAAAGGACGCTGGACAGGCCGGGCGCGGTGGCTCACGCCTGTAATCCCAGCACTTCAGGAGGCCGAGGAGGGCAGATCACGAGGTCAGGAGATTGAGACCATGCAGGCTAACACAGTGAAACCCCGTCTCTAATAAAAATACAAAAAAATTAGCCGGGCGTGGTGGCAGGTGCCTGTAGTGCCAGCTACTCGGGAGGCTGAGGCAGGAGAATGGCGTGAACCCGGGAGGCGGAGCCTGCAGTGAGCCGAGATCGCACCACTGCACTCCAGCCTGGGCAACACAGCGAGACTCTGTCTCAAAAAAAAAAAAAAAAAAAAAAAGGACGTTGGATGAGGGCAGAGGAGGGGCAGAGGGAGTGGGGCTCCCTGGCATGGGCGCCTGCTCTGAGCCTGCCTGTGCCACAGGCCGCCTGATCTTCGACAACCTAAAGAAGTCCATTGCCTACACCCTGACCAGCAATATCCCGGAGATCACGCCCTTCCTGCTGTTCATCATGGCCAACATCCCGCTGCCCCTGGGCACCATCACCATCCTCTGCATCGATCTGGGCACTGACATGGTGAGCCCTGGCAGCCACCCTTGGGGCCCAGGAGGGTGGAGTCCTCCCCTCTCCGGCTCACCCGGCCTCCTCCGCCTAGGTCCCTGCCATCTCACTGGCGTACGAGGCTGCCGAAAGCGACATCATGAAGAGACAGCCCAGGAACCCGCGGACGGACAAATTGGTCAATGAGAGACTCATCAGCATGGCCTACGGGCAGATTGGTGAGGCACCGGGGACTCCATCTCCTTACCACCCAGTGCCGGGCCTAGAGCAGTGCCTGGCCCACCGTGGGTGCTTGGGACCCTGGCATTGACTCAGGGGAGCAGACGTGGGCAGGACCAACCAGTGAGCTATCTGTGGGGGGGGTCTGCACCCCATCCTTCTCCACCTCCTCCTCTCTGCTGTTGATGTGTGCGGATCCCCAGAGGAGTGGAGCAGCCACCCTTGGGGGCTGTCCCAGCAAGCAGAGACTTCATGGCAGTGGTTCCAGGCCCAGGGAGGTCATTCCTGCGTAGGGAGCTCAAGCTGGGGATCCCCCAAGAATTCATGATGTTTAGGTGGCCTAGGTCAGGTGAGAGAGGGGCTCCAGGTTATCCCTCTGGGAGAGCCCTCTCTCCAAAGCCCCTGTCCCAGGTGGCCCACCCATCTCAGGGCCTCACCACCAAGTGAGACCTCAGGTCACCCTCTGGGAACCAATGTCCAGATAACAGGGCCAGGAGGGCATACTCCCCTCTCCAAGGAGGCCTCCGGGCCCTCTGAGGTGCCCTGGGTTGGCTGCTGGCCCCAATCTGAGCCTCTCCTCGGCTTCCTCTCTCCTCCTTCCAGGAATGATCCAGGCTCTCGGTGGCTTCTTCTCTTACTTTGTGATCCTGGCAGAAAATGGCTTCTTGCCCGGCAACCTGGTGGGCATCCGGCTGAACTGGGATGACCGCACCGTCAATGACCTGGAAGACAGTTACGGGCAGCAGTGGGTGAGTAGGGCAGGGTGCTGTGTCTCTGCCCACCGTAAGATCCCCGGGGTGAGCTGTTCCAGCCATGCATGGCCACTTCCTACGATGGCCCCCTCAGTCTCCCATGGCAGCATCAAGGCCTTTGCTGGGCACCTGGGGCTTCCTGGATGCCCTTGGCCCAGCCCATCTGGAGCCTTGTGTCCCACTGCTGGAGCTCTCTGCCCTGCCAGGCCTTCTTCCCCACCTCTGTCTGTCCCTTCAAAGCCCAGTTGCTGTCTGTCCTCCTTGGGAGGCCCACAGGGTCCTTATCCTCCTCCCTGGCCCCTGGTGGATGGTGAGATCACCATTAACCTTTCTTCTTCCTTGTACGTCTCCTGACTCCTCCCTCGGGACTATGAGCCCGCAGAAGGAAGACACACCTGAGGCCCTGAGGACCCCATGCAGGATGGGGCGGGGCAAAGAGCACCGGAACGTCGGGGTGGCGGCTAGGGCTGCAGTGCCACTAACTGACGTCCCGTGCCCTGGTCACCGCTCCTGCAGACATACGAGCAGAGGAAGGTGGTGGAGTTCACCTGCCACACGGCCTTCTTTGTGAGCATCGTTGTCGTCCAGTGGGCCGATCTGATCATCTGCAAGACCCGGAGGAACTCGGTCTTCCAGCAGGGCATGAAGTGAGGGCCGGGGGCACATGGTGACTGGACAGCCATCTGTCCTGTCCGAGTGTCTGTCTGTCTGTGTACTTCCTCTTGTGTCCTTGCTTTGGTTTTTTGTTGTTTTGTTGAGGCAGGGTCTCACTCTGTCACCCAGACTGGAGTTCAGTGGTGTAATCATAGCTCACTGCAGCCTCGACCTCCTGGGCTCAAGTGACCCACCCACCTCAGCCTCCTGAGTAGCTGAGACTACAGGTGTGCACCATCATATATGGCTAATTTTTATTTATTTATTTAGAGACAGAGTCTTGCTCTGTTGCCCAGGCTGGAGTGCAGTGGCACAATCTTGGCTCACTGCAACCTCCGCCTCCCGGGTTCAAGCGATTCTCATGCCTCAGCCTCCCAAGTAGCTGGGATTACAGGTACGCACCACCAGGCTCGGCTAATTTTTCGTATTTTTAGTAGAGTTTCACCATGTTGCCCAGGCTGGTCTCAAACTCCTGAGCTCAGGCAATCTTCCTGCCTCAGCCTCCCAGAGTGCTAGGATTACAGGTGTGAGCCACCATGCCCAGCCCATTTTGGGTTTTGCCACTGCACTGATTTTCTCTCAAGGGGTCCTGTGTGTCCTAGATTCTCTCTCAGCCTCTGTGTGTGTGGTGGAGGTGCCCCTGGCCTTTTCTTTTTATACCAGTGCCTCTCTGTGTCTGTCCCTGTCTCTGTGTCTG
Source organism: Homo sapiens (assembly GCF_000001405.40). NCBI lineage: Eukaryota > Metazoa > Chordata > Mammalia > Primates > Hominidae > Homo > Homo sapiens. Next base: position 41,968,080 of record NC_000019.10, on the reverse strand, counting down.
TTTCTGTCCCTGTCTCTGTGTCTGTCCCTGTGTCTGTCTCTCTGTCTGTCCCTGTCTGTCTCTGTGTCTGTCCCTGTCTCTGTGTCTGTCCCTGTCTTTTGTCTCTTTCTGTGTCACCATCGCTCTGCCTCTATCTTTGTCTCTCTCTGTCGGGGCATGTCTCCCCATCTCTGTCTCTCCCTATGTCTCTGCCTCTCTGTCTCTGTGTCTGTGCTGCTGTCTCTGGGTGTCTGCACTGTGCCTCCCCCTGTCTCTGCGGGGTGGCAGGTGCAGGGTGGGTGCTCTCTGGGCCCAGCCCTGCCCTTCTGTGCCTCCAGGAACAAGATCCTGATCTTCGGGCTGTTTGAGGAGACGGCCCTGGCTGCCTTCCTGTCCTACTGCCCCGGCATGGACGTGGCCCTGCGCATGTACCCTCTCAAGTGAGTGCCCCGCTGCCCCCAGCCCTGCCCACACCAGCGCCTGCCATGGAGCCTTCCCTTAGACTCAGCCTGAACCTCAGGCCCCACCTCCCCTGGTGTCCCCACTGCAGTCCCCATTCTGATGCCCCCGAGCCTCCCCCATAGGCTGCTCCCACCACGGATTACTCCGAAGACCCCAGGCCCCAGCCCCGCCCAGGGCACCCTCCACCTGTGAGCACGAAGGATCCTGGGAGACTGCCCCTCTGCGTCCCCTCCAGTCCCCTGAAACTCTGCCTCTCGTTAGGGCCCCGCACTCAAGCCCTCCTGCTCTCCCCTCTGCAGGCCCAGCTGGTGGTTCTGTGCCTTCCCCTACAGTTTCCTCATCTTCGTCTACGACGAAATCCGCAAACTCATCCTGCGCAGGAACCCAGGGGGTGAGGGAGCTCGGCAAGGCAGCCGAGGGGGGCGGGGGGCAGCAGGGTCTCAGGCAGCTGGTCCCAGGCTCCCCTCGCCCTGCTGGATGGCTCTGCCACCTGGTTCCCACTCTTCTCTCTCTTCCCATCTCTCCGGGCACCCACTCTGTCTTCTCACGGGTCTCTGTCTGTGTGGTTTCCTTGTCTCTCTCCCTCTCTGTCCCTCTCTCTGCTGGGCGGCTCGCCTTGCCTGTCTCTCTCCATCTCTTACTCTGTCTCTTTCTTTCCTTCTTTGTCTCTCCAGGTTGGGTGGAGAAGGAAACCTACTACTGACCTCAGCCCCACCACATCGCCCATCTCTTCCCCGTCCCCCAGGCCCAGGACCGCCCCTGTCAGTCCCCCCAATTTTGTATTCTGGGGGGAGGAGCCCTCTCTTCCTGTGGCCCCACCTTGGCCCCCACCCCCTCCACTATCTCCTGCCGCCCCCACTCTGGCTGGCTTCTCTCCCCTGCCCCAAACCTCTCTCCTCTCTCTTTTCTGTGTCAGTTTCTCTCCCTCTCCTCACCCCTCTATCCATTCCTCCCGCCCCAGCCACCTCCCTGGGCTCTTTTTTACTCCCCTTCAGCCCCCCGGCTGATGCCATCTCTGGTTCTGGACAATTATCAAATATATCAGTGGGGAGAGAGAAGCGGTGTGTGTGTTGTGCCTGCTTTCCAGACGGGGACTGCGGCTGGGACAGCATCCCCTCTGTTGGGGCGCGCTGCCAGGCGACTCTCGAAACTGCAGGAACTTAGCCTGGCACTGGCTTGGAAGTCACGGAATCTCAGAGCCATCTAATCACGGAGTTTTCAACTCCACGAAAGTCAGAGCAGCTTGAATTCACCAGGCGATGGCATTGTGGAATCAGAACAGGGGAGAGGGAGGGAAGCAGACGTGGGATGGTGACTGGGAGCCTCTCCTATAGGAGTAGGACCCAGGGGACACAATGACGATGATGATGGTGATGACAGTGATTCACTGAGTGCCTGCTATGTGCTCTGCCCACTTCTAAGTGTGCATTAAATGTGCACAGAGAGAAGAAGTGATTTGCACACAGCTAAGAAGAGACAAATCTGGGATTTGAACCAAGGCTGTCCAAAGTTCTAGGTCACTACGCTATTCTCTCTTTTTATTGAGATAAACTTTCATACAGTGAAGTGCACGCATCTTAAGGGTATAGCTCAATGATTTTAAAAATTGCATCTGCAGGCCAAGCGCGGTGGCTCCCGCCTGTAATCCCAGCACTTTGGGAGGCCCAGGCGGGCGGGTCACTTGAGGTCAGGAGTACGAGACCAGCCTGGCCAACATGGCGAAACCCCATCTCTACGAAAAATACAAAAAAAAAAAAAAAAAAAAACTGGGCGCAGTGGCTCACACCTGTAATCCCAGCACTTTGGAAGGCCGAGGCGGGCAGATCACAAGGCCAGGAGATCGAGACTATCCTGGCTAACATGGTGAAACCCCGTCTCCACTAAAAATTAAAAAAAAATTAGCCTGGCGTGGCGGCACTCATCTGTAATCCCAGCTACTTGGGAGGCTGAGGCAGGAGAATGGCATGAACCTGGGAGGCGGAGCTTGCAGTGAGCCAAGATCCCACTACTGCACTCCAGCCTGGGTGACAAAGCGAGACTCCGTCTCAAAAACAAAAAAACAAAAAAACAAAAAACTTAGCTGGGCATGGTGGTGCATGCCTGTAATCCCAGCTACTCAGGAGGCTGAAGCAGGAGAATTGCTTGAACCCGGGAGGCAGAGGTTGCAGTAATCCGAGATCATGCCACTGCACTCCAGCCTGGGCAACAGCGAGAACCCGTCTCAAAAAAAAAAAAAAAGTTGCATCTGCAAAGCTACCACCCACATCAAGGCATAGAACCTTTCCCTCCACCCAGAAAGTTCACTGGAGCCCCTCCAGTCGCCTCCCCTCCAGAGGCAAGAGCTGATCTGGTTTCTGTTACCACACATCAGTTGTGCCTGTTCTTGAGCTTCATACAAATGAAATCTTACAGCATGTGATCTCTGTGTCTGGCTCCTTGTTCTCAGCATTATGTCTATAGGAGTCATCCATATTGTCACCTGCATCTGTGGCCCCTTCCTTTTCATCCCATTGTGGGACTATAACACAATTTGTCTATTCTCCTGTTGGGGGACTTAGGGGTTTCCAGTTTGGGGCTATTACAATTGGTGCTGCTAGGGACAGGAACATCCTAGTCATGTCTTTTTTTTTTTTTTTTTTTGAAATGGAGTCTTGCTTTGTCACCCAGGTTAGAGTGCAGTGGCACCATCTCAGCTCACTGCAACCTTCACCTCCTGGGTTCAAGCGATTCTCCTGCCTCAGCCTCCCAAGTAGCTGGGATTACAGGCACCTGCCAACATGCCCGGCTAGTTTTTGTATTTTTATTAGAGACTGGGTTTTGCCATGTTGGCCAGGCTGGTCTCAAACTCCTGACCTCAAGTGATCCGCCCACCAACATGGTGAAACGCCGTCTCTACTAAAAATACAAAAACTAGCTGGGCGTGGTGGCATGTGCTTGTAATCCCAGCTACTCACAGGGCTGAGGCAGGAGAATCACTGGAACCTGGGAGGTGGAGGTTGCAGTGAGCCGAGGTCACGCCACTGCACTTCAGCTTGGGTGACAGAGTGAGACCCCATCTAAAAAGAAAAACAAAAAACAGGCACGGTGGCTCACGCCTATAATCCCAGCACTTTGGGAGGCTGAGGCAGGCAGATCACCTGAGGTCGGGAGTTCGAGACCAGCCTGACCAACATGGAGAAACCCCCATCTCTACTAAAAATACAAAATTATCCGGGCATGGTGGCACACTCCTCTAATCCCAGCTACTTGGGAGGCTGGGGCAGGAGAATTGCTTGAACCCGGGAGGCGGAGGTTCCAGTGAGCTGAGATCGAGCCGTTGCACTCCAGCCTGGGCAACAAGAGTGAAACTCCATCTCAACAACAACAAAAAAAAAGTGATCCACCCACCTCAGCCTCCTAAAGTGCTGAGATTACAGGCACGAGCCACTGCACCCAGCCCTCTAGTTATGTCTTTTTTTTTTTTTTTTTTTTTGAGACGGAGTCTCGCTCTGTCGCCCAGGCTAGAATGCAGTGGTGCGATCTCGGCTCACTGCAAGCTCCGCCTCCCGGGTTGACACCATTCTCCTGCCTCAGCCTCCCGAGTAGCTGGGACTACAGGCGCCCGCCGCTACGCCCGGCTAATTTTTTGTATGTTTAGTAGAGACGAGGTTTCACCGTGTTAGCCAGGATGGTCTCAATCTCCTGACCTCGTGATCCACCCGCCTCGGCCTCCCAAAGTGCTGGGATTACAGGCGTGAGCCACCGCGCCCGGCCTTTCTTTTTTTTTTTTTTTTTTAAGACGGAGTCTCGCTCTGTCACCAGGCTGGAGTGCACTGGCACGATCTTGGCTCACTGCAATCTCCACCTCCCGGGTTCAAGTGATTCCTCTGCCTCAGCCTCCCGAGTAGCTGGGACTACAGGCGTGCACCACCACGCCCAGCTAATTTTTGTGTTTTTAGTACAGACGGGGTTTCACCATGTTGGTCAGGTTGGTCTCGAACTCCTGACCTTGTGATCTGCCCACCTCGGCCTCCCAAAGTGCTGGGATTACAGGCCTGAGCCACCGCGCCCAGCCCTCTAGTTGTGTCTTTTAATGACAGATGTGCACTCTGTTGGGTACACGCGTGCCTGGGAGTGGAATTGCTGGTTCATGGGATAGACCATGTTTAGCTTTCATGGACGTTGCCAGACCCTTTCCAAAGTTCGAGTGCCATTCTGCATCCAACAGTGTAAGGAAGCAGCAGCTGCTCCACATCCTTCCTCCACTGGGAGTTGTCAGTCCTTTTCATTTTTGCCACCTTGGTGGGGCAGTGAATCCATTTCCCTCGAGGCAGCCTTCCTAACACAGCTCAGGGAGGCAAGTCAGAGGAGGGGCTGGGGCCAGGCCTGGGCCTGCCTGCCTCCCAATGCCAGTGTCTGTGGCCAGGATGCTGAGAGTGAGTGTGAGTGGGTGAGTGTGCAAGTGCATGTACACACCCACTGCACAAGACAATGGATGAGGGAGAAACTCCCGAATCTGAGGGGGAAAGGCAGTTGGAGGGCAGGGGCCATGTGCGCTGGGCACCCCTGGTGACCCCAGAGTACAGCCTGGTCCTGGTAGGGGCTACATGAGCCCAGACCTCTCCTAGGAAACCCACACATACTGTTTAATTTTTCTGGTGCAGGGGAAGAGACGCTCCCATAGACAGGTGGGGAGACTGAGGCCCAGAGACGGGAGGGCTTTCCTTGAGGTCACACAGCAGGGACAGTGACCCACATTTCTGGCTGAATGTGCTAAGGTCTTCCTGCTTTCCCAGCACCGCTTCCTTGGGGATCCCAGGAGGGAGGGAGGAGTCCTCAGGCTGGAGGCACCCATCTTTTTCTTTTTTTTTTTTTTTTTTTTGAGATAGGGTCTCGTACAGTGGCACAGTCTCAGCTCACTGCAACCTCTGCCTCCTGGGTTCAAGCGATTCTCTTGACTCAGCCTCCTGAGTAGCTGGGATTACAGGCGTGCACCATCACGCCGAGCTAATTTTTTTTTGTATGTTTAGTAAAGATGGGGTTTCACCATGTTGGGCAGGCTGGTCTCGAACTCCTGGCCTTAAGTGATCCGCCCATCTTGGCCTCCCAAAGTGCTGAGATTACAGGCGTGAGCCACACCTGGCCTGGGACTCACAATCTTCTCAGGTGCCCCCTCATCTCCCAGCACACCAACCCCCTACCCCCCTAATTCAGGGCCCATCTGCCAAAGGCCCCTTCCCTCAGGGACCCCATTTCTCACCATCTCATGATGTCTCTGCCTCAGGCCCTCCTCTCCCACATTACCCCTGTGTCCAGGTCCCATCTCCTGAAATTCCCTTATTCAAAGTCCCCCCCCACCCTCCCACTCCTAGGACCCCTCCTGCAATGTCCTTGCCCCTCAGACTCCACTGTCCCCCTCCCCGTCTCTTGCCATGGCCTGCGCTGTTCGACACCTCCAGGCCTCTGCCTCTATGTTCTCTGCTCAGAACAAAGACCAGTGGGTTTTGGAATGAAATTGCTTTCATTCAGTTCCTATAAGGAAACCCAACAGCTCTCATAACAAAAGTCCATCCTGAATCTCCTACGGCCTGCCACCAAAGAGGCAGCTGGAGCTCTGTCCCAATTCTATTCCCCAAGCTCTGTCTTTCGGTGGAGGTTCTTCCAAGGGCTACCTCTGCTGCTTTGGCCCTTTGAATTCAGATGCTGCTCCCCTATTCCTGCTCGGGGCTAATTGTGCTATTGCACTCCTCCTTTGGTGTTTTCTGTTTTGTTTTGTTTTGTTTTTTTCTGAGACAGGGTCTCATTCTGTCGCCCAGGCTGGAGTGCGATAGCACACTCTTGGCTCACTGCAACCTCCGCCTCCTGGGTTCAAGTGATTCTCCTGCCTCAGCCTCCCGAGTAGCTGGGATTACAGGCATGTGTATTTTTTTTTTTAGTAGAGATGGGCTTTTGCCATGTTGGCCAGGCTGGTGTTGAACTCCTGACCTCAAGTGATCCACCCTCCTGAGCCTCCCATAAGTGCTGGGATTACAGGACCACGCCCAGCCCCGCAGTCCTCCTTTGATTTTCAAGTTTGAATCCTATTTAGAAAACCTGATTCCAGGCCAGGTGTGATGGGTCACGCCTGTAATCCCAGCACTTTGGGAGGCTGAGGTGGGCAGATCACGAGGTCAGAGTTTGAGACCAGCCTGACCAACATGGTGAAACCCCGTCTCTATTAAAAATACACAAATTAGCTGGGCATGGTGGTGCACACCTGTAATCCCAGCTACTCAGGAGGCTGAGGCAGGAGAATCGCTTGAACCCGAGAGGCGGAGGTTGCAGTGAGTAGACATTGTGCCACTGTACTCCAGCCTGAGCAACAGAGTGAAACTCCATCTCAAAAAAAAAAAAAAAAAAAAAGGAAACCTGATTCCACTAAAAGCCTGGGGGTGACAAAGAGGAAATAAACAGTAACTAGCCAATCTGATCTTCAAAGTGTAACTCTTCCATCTTCAGTGTGGGGCCCTTGCAAAGGGCTTCCCTGCCTATTGCGCCACCAGCCCCTCAGACAGGGCCATCTTCCTCCCACCTCCTGGGAACACCTTCCAGCAGGCCTCAAAGCACAAACCCTAAACTGCTGTAGATCTTGGAAGACAAGAGCTGGGCCTAAAAGAGTCACTTGGGGCCAGGCGCAGTGGCTCACACCTGTAATCCCAGCACTTTGGGAGGCCGAGGCGGGCAAATCACAAAGTCAGGAGTTCGAGACCAGCCTGGCCAACATGGTGAAACCCCATCTTTACTAAAAATACAAAAAATTAGCTGGGCATAGTGGCGGGCGCCTGTAATCCCAGCTACTCGGGAGGCTGAGGCAGGAGAATCGCTTGAACCCAGGAGGAGGTGGAGGTTGCAGTGAGCCAAGATTGTGCCACTGCACTCCAGCCCTGGCGACAGAGTGAGACTCCGTCTCAAAAAAAAAAAAAAGTCACTTGAACCTGGGCATGGTGGCTCACACCTGTAATCCCAATACTTGGGAAGGCCAGGCAGAAGGATCGCTTGAGTCCAGGAGTTTGAGACCTACTGGGCCAACACAGCAAAATCCCTTATCTACTTAAAAAAATTTTCAAAAAAAAAAAGGTCACCTGGTTATCCCATATAGATATTTTCCTTCCAGCCCCACCCAGCTGCTTTGGAAAATTAGGATCCCAGTCTGCTTAAGGGAGCCCAGGCTTCCCTATACTTCCACACACATTTCTTGAGGCCCTGTTCTGGTTCACCCCATTAGAATTCAATTAGAATTCCAGCCCTGTGGGCCAGGCACAATGGCTCACGCCTGTAATCCCAGCACTTTGAGAGGCTGAGACAGGAAGATCACGAGGTCAGGAGTACGAGACCAGCCTGGCCAACATGGTGAAACCCCGTCTCTACTAAAAAAATACAAAAATTAGCTGGGCGTGGTGGCGGGCGCCTGTAATCCCAGCTACTCTGGAGGCTGAGGCAGGAGAATCGCTTGAACCCAGGAGGCAGAGGTTGCAGTGAGCCGAGATTGCGCCATTGCACTCCAGCCTGGGCAACAAGAGCGAGACTCCATTTCAAAAAAGCCCACAAAACTTCTCAACCTTTTGTCTTTCCCAACTTCACTCCCTTCTCTCCAAAGGTGTGTGTGGCGGGGTCGGAGGTGTCCCTAGCCCCAACTCATTCATCTTTGGGACTCCACAAGGTGGGGCAGGGGGCAACCTCAGATACCCCTCCAGCAACCATGGCCCCCTCACTAGCCTCAATCTCTTGAGGAAGGAATCAATTCCCACAAATTATCTAAATCTTTCTACTCAAAATGTAGTCCATGGACCAGGGGCATCAGCATCACCTGGGAACTCAGAAATGGAAATTATGGGCTCCACCCCAGACTTGCTGAATGAAAACATCTGGGCTAGGGCCCAGGAATCTGTTTTAGCAAGCCCTCCAGGTGTTTTTTTATGCCCTCTAGAGTCAGAAGGACAGCTCTGCACGGTCCCCATTGTGCCTTCCCTGGGAGAGTACACAACGCCCGCTTCTGCCGTTAGAGTTCCCATAACGCCCTCGCTCCTGACAGCCCACATGCACCCTCCTGAAACTACAACTCCTATAATACCCAGAGGCGCGCGCCGTCACTTTCTGGGATTATATCTCCCAAGGTGTTTTGCGAGTCAGACCGCCATCATAGCGCCCATCCTCTTAGTCACCGTCAGGACTACAACTCCCACAATACTCGGCGGCAGAACTACAGTCCCCAGCTGCTCCGGGGCTGCGCCACGTCGACTCCGCTGGGTGGGGCCGGCGTCGGGCGGGGCCGGCGGGGTCTTCAGGGTACCGGGCTGGTTACAGCAGCTCTACCCCTCACGACGCAGACATGGCAGCGCAGAAGGACCAGCAGAAAGATGCCGAGGCGGAAGGGCTGAGCGGCACGTGAGCGAGCTGGCTCTAGGCCCTCGGACCAGAGACCCGGGAGTCCGGGCCCCCGGCCCCCTCCTCCCTCCTCCCTCGAGAGCCTGGAGTCCCAGCCCCGAGCCGCAGAAGTGTTGGCCCCGGTCTCCTCTAATGGGACCCTGGAGTCTGGGCCCCTAGTCCCCTCCCTGCCTGCTGTACAGGAATCTGGGGTCCCGGGAGGGAGTCCAGGCACCCTTAGTCCCCTTCTTTTGCGGGGGTCTGGGGCTCCATCCCGGTCCACCACTGACCCGGCCCCACCCCCCGCAGGACCCTGCTGCCGAAGCTGATTCCCTCCGGTGCAGGCCGGGAGTGGCTGGAGCGGCGCCGCGCGACCATCCGGCCCTGGAGCACCTTCGTGGACCAGCAGCGCTTCTCACGGCCCCGCAACCTGGGAGAGCTGTGCCAGCGCCTCGTACGCAACGTGGAGTACTACCAGAGCAACTATGTGTTCGTGTTCCTGGGCCTCATCCTGTACTGTGTGTGAGTGCCTCCCGGGCCCCGCACCCGCACTAGCCCCGACCGGCTGGACCCCTCCTCTCGCCGCTCAGGCCCCGCCCTTCACCGCCCGGTCCCTCCTCTCACCGCCCAGGGCCCTCTTCTCACCGCCCAGGCCCCGCCCCCAAGGATTGGCTCTGCTAGACTACCTTGTCACCAAAGGGCCAGGTCCCCTACCCCACCATCACCCTGGCCAGGATGCAGTGTGACTAAATGTCACCTGGCCCTCCCTGGTCTCCAGGATGTAGCTTGCCGCCCGCCGGTGGAGAAGGCCAGGGCCGTCGGGCTGGCCCAGCCCCAGCTGTCTAACCGCTGCCTCCCTGCACTCCTCCTCCAGGGTGACGTCCCCTATGTTGCTGGTGGCTCTGGCTGTCTTTTTCGGCGCCTGTTACATTCTCTATCTGCGCACCTTGGAGTCCAAGCTTGTGCTCTTTGGTGAGAAACCCCCTGCCCAGATGAATCCTTGGTCCCTCAAATCTTGGTCTTTTGGAATGCAGACAGACCTCAGACCCCAAATCCAAGTCCTTCAAAACCCAAGTCCGCCCAAGCCTAGATGTACACTAGATCCCCCAAACCTGATCCCTTAAAATCTCAGACACAACCGATCCTTCCATCGAGTCTCAGCCCCCTCAAATTGCTATTCCTCAAACCCAGGATCCACCTGGCTGCTGTGCCTTAAACCTACTCCTTTTCAAACCACATGACTCCTCCCCTCTCTCTCCTCCCCTTGCCGCTCTCTGCGGCCAACATCAGCTGCAGGTGCCCACACTGGACACCAGGTGGCCACCTTACACTGGCCTAGATCTGTTCCCGTTTCTTTTCCTGCTTTCTGGGGTGTGACCAGAAAGAACTTGGAACTTAGAGAGGGAAGCCGAGGAGTATGTTTCATGTGGTTCCCAGACTAGTAGTACCAAGGACCACTGGGAAAACAAAATGCCAGGGGAAATTCCCCCCAGGGGAAAATCAAGGTTTGGAGTGGGGTCAGGGAGTTGGGATTGGACAGTTAGGTAGACCTGAAGGCCAGGCTCTTCAGGGGCCTGCAAGTTATGTGCTTGATGGGCTGGGGTGGAGGGAGTGCCTGAAGCACAGGCACGACTTGGCTTCAGCTGATCACCGTCACCAGAGCATGTAGACCCCATCCCTGAGACTTCTATGAGAAGCCTGAAGTTGGTATTTTTATGTGAAATCGTTCACTTTGCCAGCCACAAATCACATCCTTGCAAAACAGCTCAAAAAACACATCCACAGGTCAGATTTGGCCCTTGGGCCACCAGTTTGAGACCCTGGTCTGCGCGAGGGTTGCAGCAGGAGAGCCCTAGTCTAGGGAGCAGGAAGCCGGGATCCCAGGAACTTCCTGGAGGATGTGGGGCAGAGGGCAGAGGGTGGGGCTGAGGCAGGCGAGGACGGTGTGCTGTGTTCTGGAGGGCAGTGGGGACAGCAGGGGAACAGGGTGACCCCAGGACCTGGAGGGCCTTGGCATGAGGAGTTTGGATTCGATCCCGAGAACCTGGAGCTTGTACGGATTGTTGGGGGGCAGCAGGGGTTACTCTGGGAGAGGGCATGGAGAGTCGGAACAGCACCCCAATGCCATCTGCCCCCAGGCCGAGAGGTGAGCCCAGCGCATCAGTATGCTCTGGCTGGAGGCATCTCCTTCCCCTTCTTCTGGCTGGCTGGTGCGGGCTCGGCCGTCTTCTGGGTGCTGGGTGAGTACAGGGTCTGAGCAGCTGGGGTGGATGGTGGGAGCCAGGTGCAGGAGTGTGGCCCTGAGCTGCCGGCTTTCCTGCAGGAGCCACCCTGGTGGTCATCGGCTCCCACGCTGCCTTCCACCAGATTGAGGCTGTGGACGGGGAGGAGCTGCAGATGGAACCCGTGTGAGGTGTCTTCTGGGACCTGCCGGCCTCCCGGGCCAGCTGCCCCACCCCTGCCCATGCCTGTCCTGCACGGCTCTGCTGCTCGGGCCCACAGCGCCGTCCCATCACAAGCCCGGGGAGGGATCCCGCCTTTGAAAATAAAGCTGTTATGGGTGTCATTCAGGAAATATTCCCCCAGCATCTTCTGTGGGTCTCTATGGGTGGAGCTGGGAATACTGCACAGAGCAGGGTTGGGGTGGAACCTGGGGTGTGGGCAAGACGATGACAAGGTAAACAGGTAAAATATTATGGGATGCCCAATGGTGGTGAGTGTTCAGGAGGAGAAAAGAGTTGAGAAGGACAGTGTGCCGGGGGTCCCCGAGACCACCCCCAGGTTTGATGGTTCTTTAGGACTCAGGAATCAGAGAGCACCCCAGGTTTGATGGTTCTCTGGGACTGGGGACTCAGTATGCAATTGCACTCACAGCTCTGATTTACTCTCATCAAAGGGTATGGAGCCAAGTCAGCCAAAAGGAAAGGTGCATGGAGTGAACTCGGGAAACCAGGCATGCACTTCCAGAGGCCACACCTAATTCCTCCAGCAGTGGATCATGGTGACGTGTGAAATGTCAGCCAGGGACACTCTGATCCTAGCCTCAGCGCCCTTGGTTTCATGGGGGCGGCCACAAGAGCACCTTCTCTCCAACATATACCAAAATGCCAGGCTCCCAGAAAGAAGGCCTGTGCCTGCACGAACAGCCTAGATAGATGCAGCAAGCCACTCTAGGCCTGCACGAACAGCCTAGATAGATGCAGCGAGCCACTCTATCAGGAAGTGATAAGACCCCCCCCCCAACACCCAAGTTCCCAGCCAAGGACCAACTGTGCACCCAGGCCTGTCTAAGGACAGCAGTCTGTTGTGGAGCCTGCCAGGTTAACTCTTTTCTGCACAGAGAAAGTTCGGGAATGAGTTGTGGGTTAAAGAGGGTGACCAGAAAAGGCCTCCCTGACGTGACATTCACCAAAGACCTAAATTGAGAGAGGGAGCAGCCCAGATCCTTTGGAGGAAGAATAATTGGGGCAGAGGAAGCCACAGGGGCATAGCCTGGGAGATGGCAGCAGCCAGGAGGCTCGAGGGCAGCCAGGAGGTGGGCGTGGCTGGGGCAGATAAGCGAGGGGGACAGTGTGGGAGGCCAGGGAGCCTTGTGGGCCACGGTGAGGGCTTTGGGTTTTACTCTGCTTGAGATGAAAGACACAGTTTGCTTTTGTGAGATGGATTTTGCTTTGTTTCCCAGGCTGGTCTCAAATTCCTGGGCTCAAGCGATTCTCCCCCTGCAGCCTCCCATAGTGCTGGGACTACTGGTGTGAGCCACTGTGTCCAGCCCAGTTTGCTTCTTGCCTTTTGTTTTTTTGAGACAGGGTCTCACTTTATGGCCCAGGCTGGAGTGCAGTGGTGTGACCACTGCTCACTGCAGCATCTACCTCTTGGGCTCAAGTGAGCCTCCCACCTCAGCCTCCTGAGCAGCTGGGACCACAGGTGCACGCCACCACACCCAGCTAATTTTTTTTAACTTTTCATTAGACAGGGTCTCACTATGTTGCCTGGCCTGGTTTCAAACTCCTGGGCTGAAGCAATCCTCCTGCCTCAGCCTCTCAAAGTTCTGGGATTACAGGCATGAGCCACCGTGCCGGGTCCAGTTTGCCTTTCATCATGAGGTGGAGACTGCCACGTGGTAGCAGTAACAAAAGAGAAACACACTTGGGAGGGAAAGTGCCAGGCAGATGAAGACAAGGGAGGTGGCCGAGAGGGCCTAAGAAGTGACTTGATTTTTTTATTTTTATTTATTTGTTTATTTTTTTGAGATGGAGTCTCTCTCTGTCGCCCACGCTGGAGAGCAATGGTGTGATTTCGGCTCACTGTAACCTCCACTTCCAAGATTCAAGCTATTCTCCTGCCTCAGCCTCCCAGGTAGCTGGGATTATAGGTGCCCACCAACACGCCTGACTAATTTTTGTATTTTTAGTTTTATTTTTTAATTTTTTTGAGATGGAGTTTCGCTCTTGTTGCCCATGCTGGAGTGCAATGGCGCGATCTCGACTCACTGCAACCTCCACCTCCCGGTTTCAAGTGATTCTCCTGCCTCAGCCTCCCGAGTAGCTGGGATTACAGGCGCCTGCCACCACGCCCGGCTGATTTTTTTGTATTTTTGGTAGAGACAGGGTTTCACTGTGTTGCCCAGGCTGGTCTCGAACTCCTGACCTCAGGTGATCCACCTGTCTTGGCCTCCCAAAGTGCTAGGATTACATGTGTGAGCCACCGTGCCCCGCCAATTACTTTAGATAGGGGTGGTCTGGGAGGGCTCTCTGAGGAGACACAAGAAGTGGGTGGAGTTTCCCAAGGAGAGGGACAGCGAGTGCCAAGGCCTCAGGGATGCAGCCTCTCCAACCTCGTGTCTCCTCAGCAGAACTCACCCACTCATCCTTGATGCAGCAGGTGCTCACCCAGAGCCCACTGATGCCCACTGTTCTGGAATTCTCCTGTCAGATATGGTGGCCAGCCATATGCGGCTGCCTCAAACATGGCTGGTCCAAACTGAGACATGCTATGAGTGTGAAATGCACACCAGACTTCGAAGATTTAGTATGAAAATGGAGTAAAATATCTCAATAATTTTTATAGGCTGGGCATGGTGGCTCACACCTGTAATCCCAGCACTATTGGGAGGCTGAGGCAGGCAGATCACTTGAGGCCAGGAGTTTTAGACCAGCCTGGCCAATATGGTGAAACCCTGTGTCTACTAAAAGTACAAAAATTGGCCTGGCGCGGTGGCTTACGCCTGTAATCCCAGCACTTTGGGAGGCCGAGGCAGGTGGATCACGAGGTCAGGAGTTCAAGACCAGCCTGGCCAAGATGGTGAGACCCCGTCTCTACTAAAAATACAAAAAAATTGGCCGGGCATGGTGGCGGTGCACTGTAATCCCAGCTACTTGGGAGGCTGAGGCAGAGAATTGCTTGAACCCAGGGGGCGGAGGTTGCAGTGAGCCAAGATCGCACCACTGCACCCCAGCCTAGGCAACAGAGCAGGACTCCATCTCAAAAAAAAAAAAAAAAAAATTGGCATGGTGGCACATGCCTATAATCCCAGCTACTTGGGAGGTTAAGGCAGGAGAATTGTTTGAACCTGGGACACAGAGGTTGCAGTGAGCCAAGATTGTGCCACTGCACTCCAGCCTGGGTAACAGAGAAAGACTCTGTCTCAAAAATAATAATAATTTTTATGTTGATTATGTGTGTTGGAAGGATAATTTATTGATATAGTGGATTAAATTATTATTCATTTCACCTTTTGTTTTTTACTTTTAAAAACACGATTAAGAGGCCGGGCGCAGTGGCTCACGCCTGTAATCCCAGCGCTTTGGGAGGCTGAGGTGGGCGGATCACGAGGTCAGGAGATCGAGACCACCCTGGCTAACATGGTGAAACCCCGTCTCTACTAAAAATACAAAAAAATTAGCCAGGCGTGGTGGCAGGCGCCTGTAGTCCCAGCTACTCAGCGGGAGGATGGCGTGAACCTGGGAGGCGGAGCTTGCAGTGAGCCAATATCGCGCCACTGCACTCCAGCCTGGGTGACAGAGCGAGACTCGATCTCAAAAAAAAAAAAAAAGAAAAAAAACATGATTAAGGCTGGGCACCATGGCTCATGCCTGTATAATCCTAACACCTTGGGAAACCAAGGTGGGAGGATTGCATGAGCCCAAGAGTTTGAGACCAGCCTGGATAACACAACAAGACCCCCATCTCTGCAAAAAAGTTAAACAGTTATTTGGGCATGGTAGTGTGGGCCTGTAGTCCCAGCTACTTGGGAGGCTGAGGTGGGAGGATAACTTGAGTCCAGGAGTTCAATGCTACAGTGAGCCATGACTGCCACTGCACTCAGCCTGGGCAACACAGAGATACCCCATCTCTTTAAAAACAAACAAACAAGAGTTGCTGGGTGTGGTGGCTCATGCCTATAATCCCAGCACTTTGGGAAGCCAAGGTGGGTGGACTGCATGAGCTCAGAACTTCGAGACCAGCCTGGGCAACATGGCAACACCCTGTCTCTACAAAAAATACAAAAATTAGCCAGGTGTGGTGGCGCATGCCTGTGGTCCCAGCTACTTGGGAGGCAGAGGTGGGAGGATTGCTTGAGCCCAGTAGGTCAAGGCTGCAGTGGGCCGAGATTGCATCACCGCTGCACTCCAGCCTGGGTGACAGAGTGAGACCCTGTCTCAAAAAGAAGGCGGGGGCGGGGGGTGTGCGGATTAAATAGAAAATTGCAAGTTAGCCCGGGCATGATGGCTCATGCCTGTAATCCTAGCACTTTGGGAGGCTGAGGTGAGTGGATCACCTGAGGTCAGGAGTTCGAGATCAGCCTAGTCAACATGGCGAAACCCTGTCTCTACTAAAAATACAAAAATTAGCCCAGCATGGTGGTGCATACCTGTAATCCCAGCTACTCGGGAGGCTGAGGCAGGAGAATCGCTTGAACCTGGGGGGCGGAGGTTGCAGTGATCCAAGGTCGCGCCACTGCACTGCAATCTGGGCAACAGAGGGAGGCTCCCTCTAAAAAAAAAAAAAAGAAAGAGGAAAGGAAAGGAGAGGAAGGGGAAAAGGGAAGGGAAAAATAAAAGGAAAAGAGGGGAGGAGAGGGGAAGGGGAGGGGAGGGGAAGGGGAGGGGAGGGGAACGGGGACAGGGGAGGGGCGGGGCGGGGCAGAGAGGGTTATCCCTCTGAGGTTGTGTGGCGGATGGGCTGGAGGGAGTGAGACGAGGGACGATGATCCTAGCTGGGGAAGATGGGGCAGGGAAGTGGGGTGGAGAGGCGAGACAGGGAAGAGAGATTCAGGAGGTTGAAGGACAGGTCTTGGTGGCTGACTTGCGTGGGAGGTGAGTGGAAGGAAGCAGGAAGACCCCCAGGCTTCAGGCTTCCCAAAAGATGGGAAGACCAGGGGGAGCCTGGGTGTCTTGACGCCACACAGGAGTGCACTTCCAGAATCTGCCACCAGAGGGCAGACAAGTGCTTCCGCCAGGGAGGCAGTTAGAGATGGACTCATCCTGGGGCACCAGGCAGGGTGGGGACCCGGGGTGCCCCCGGCCAAGTCAGGTCACCTGGGCCTACTCAGAGGCCAGGGTTCCAATCCCAATTTTGGAGTAGCAGAGGGTGTTTGTTGACCTCAATGCCAGTATTCCCCAGGGGAGACTGAGTGTCCGTGCCCATGTTGGTGAGTGGACGCTAGGTCCAGTCTACATCGCTGGGTTTGCAGTGAATATGATCGAGGTGCTTTGCTTGGAGGCTACTGATGCCAAAGACCCAAGCACTCAGTTCTGAGATCACTGAGGCAGCAGGCTAGAGCTGCGGGTCAGGGGGAGGTTGGTACTCAGGCCAAAGGCCTATTCTGAAGGCAACTGGCTACAGGTCTCAAATTCTGGTGTTGAGTTATTGAGATGCTGAGACCAGAAGCTTCCATCTGGGGTGATCAAGACTAGGGTCCCAGGGCCGGAGGTGGTGGTTCATGCCTGTAATTCCAGCACTTTGGAAGGCCAAGACGCTTGAGCCCAGGAGTTCAAGATCAGCCTGGGCAACATAGTAAGACTCCATCAAAAATATGAAAACCTGCCAGATGCGGTGGCTCATGCCTGTAATCCCAGCAAGTTGGGAGGTTGAGGCAGGCGGATCACGAGGTTAGGAGTTTGAGACCAGCCTGGCCAACATGGTGAAACCCATCTCTACTTAAAAAAAAAAAAAAAAAATATTATCCAGGTGTGGTGGTGCACGCTTGTAATCCCAGCTACTTGGGAGGCTGAGGCAGGAGAATGGCTTGAACCCAGGAGGTGGAGGTTGCAGTGATCCGAGTTCGCGCCATTGCACTCCAGCCTGGGCGAAAGAGCAAGACTCTGTCTCGAGAAAAAATAAATAAATAAATAAAAATAAAAACAAAACTACAGTACCATTTCTCTGTCTCTCCTGAACAACCTTGAGATTCGAGGTTTGGTTTGGGGTAGGAGAAATTGGAGGGCTTGCTGTCTCATCAAGGGGACAGAGACCAAAGGTCTTGTCTATTTTGGTGACAGTCTGGGATCCAGCTGGCTGGTTGGAAGTGACAGATTGGGAATCTGGTGGTCTTGTTTGGTGATATAGCCTGGGATCCAGTTTCTGATTTGGGGTAATGGTAATTGGAGATCTGTTTGGGAGGCCAGGAGTTTGAAAGCAGCTTGGGTCAAAAAATGAGGTCCCGTCTCTACAAAAAAAAAAAGAAAAAAGAAAAAATTAGCTGGGTATGGTGGTGCATGCCTGTGGTTCCAGCTGCTTGGGAGGCTGAGACAGGAGGATCACTTGAATCCAAGAGTTTGATGCTGCAGTGAGCTAGGATCATACGCTGCGCTCCAGCCTGGGAGACCCTGTCTTTAAAAAAGAAAATGGGTTCAGTTCTCAATTTTTTTTTTTTTTTTTTTGAAACAGAGTCTCACTCTGTCGCCCAGGCTGGAGTGCAGTAGCGCGATCTCCGCTCACTGCAACCTCCACCTCCTGGTTTCATGCTGTTCTCCTGCCTCAGCCCCCCGAGTAGCTGGGACTACAGGCGCCCACCACCACGCCCGGCTAATTTTTTTTATTTTTAGTAGAGACGGGGTTTCACCGTGTTAGCCAGGATGGTCTCGATCTCCTGACCTCATGATCTGCCCGCCTCGGCCTCCCAAAGTGCTGGGATTACAGGTGTGAGCCACCACGCCCAGCCCAGTTCTCTTTAAGTGACAGATTAGGGACTTGCATCTGGTTGGTGTGACAGGAACCAGTTGTTGGAGGTGGCAGAGACTAATGTTCTTGTCTAGGTTGGGGTGATGGGGGCTGAGATTCTAAGGTCTGTTTTGGGGTGATAGACTGGGTTCTGATTGTCTAGTTTCTCGTGGCGAAGACTGGGACTTCTGGCACCTCCTTAGGGGTATTGGATGTAGAGTCTTGGCTCTTTTGAGGTGACACTGGGTTGAGACTGAAATTTAAGGTTTGGGGTACCAGACTGAGGGTTTGATGACCAGTTTAGAGCAACAGTAACTGGGGATCTGGTGAACTCCACTGTGGTATCTGATACTGGAGGTCTGGTTATCTCACTTTGGTGCCAGAGGCTACCAGTCCAATTATCTGGGTGGGGTTACAGAGGCCACAAGACTGGCCAACTAATTTTGGCTAAAGACCAAAGCCCTGGGGGTCAGGGCCTTGGCTTGGGGTGGAAGACCTGGGGTGACCAGTTGGGGGGATCAGCGCCTTGGCTTGGGGTGGAAGACCTGGGGTGACCAGTTGGGGGGATCAGGGCCTTGGCTTGGGGTGGAAGACCTGGGGTGACCAGTTGGCTAGTTTGAGGCTGCAGCCATTATAGGTCTGGTTGCCTAGTTGGGGTAACAGACTGGGATCTGGTTGGATAGTATGGGATGCTGGAGATCGGGGTTCCAGATGTCCAGTTTGGGACAACAGAAGTGGGGGTTAGCCTGGGAAACAGCAAGACCCTGTCTCAATAAAAAATAAAAATAAATCAACCAGGCCTGGTGGCGCGTGCCTGTAGTCCCGGCTACTTGGGGAAACTGAGGTGGGAGGATTACATGAGCACAGGAGGTCCAGGCTGCAGTGAGTTATGATCGCACCACTGCACTCCAGCCTGGGTGAAAGAATGAGACTCTTGTCTTGAAAAAAAAAAAAAAAAAAGAAACAGAAGTGGGGGTTTCTTTGCCTAGATTGGGGTGGCAGAATCAGGGGGTTCTGGTTTCTAATTTTGTGGGATAAAGACTGGGATCCCAGGACCTAGCCTGGGGCACAGAGACTGGGAAGTTGAATTTGGGGTGACAGGGGCTAGGAGGTTAGCTGCCTAGTTTGTAATGACAGATATTAGGGATCAGTTGTCCAGGGTGAGATGAAATGATAGGGGTTCCAGGGTCTAGTTTAGGGTGACATAGAATGGAAGTTAGCTTGTCTCATTTGGCATGAGTGGGACCAGGGGTCTGGCCGTCTAGTTTAGGAGACACACTGGATGGAGTCTGGTCGAGCAGATGAAGATGAATGGGACTGTGGGCCCAGGTCTCTAGTCTGAGGTCACATTTTATGCAACGTGTTGCTCAACGTGGTGTGACAGACCCTAGAAGCCTAGAAGTACAATTGTCCCGTTTGGGGTGGCAGTGTCTGGGGGTTGGTTGTCTAGGGCTGTGAGACAGAGACTGGGTCCCAGGGTGATGTATTCAGGGTAACAGAGATGGAGCATTTGGTTTTATAGTTTTGTGGGGAGAAAACAGAGACCAGGGAACATGTGACCTCATAGACTCTGGAGGTCCAGTTGCCTAGTTTTGTGGGACAGAGGTTAGGATCCCTGGGTATATTTGGGGTGACAGAGACTGGGGTCTGGTTGTCTAGTGTTGAGTGACAGAAACTGGGGGTGCCAAGCAGTATTTGGGGCAAAGAAACTAGGGCTAGGTTGTCTAGTTTTACAGGACAGAGATGGGTCCCAGAGTATATATGGGTGACAGAGACTGGGTATCTGGTTGTCTGCTTTTGGGAAACGGACTGGGGCCCCTGCATGTATTTTGGGTAACAGAAATGGGGTCTGGTTGTGTAGGTTGTTATACAGAGATCATTGTCCCAGTACATTTGTGAGGTGACAGACTAGCTTGCTAATTTAATTTAATTTAATTTTTATTTATTTATTTTTTTGAGATGGAGTCTCGTTCTGTCACCAGGCTGGAGTGCAGTGGCACGATCTCGGCTCACTGCAACCTCTGCCTCCTGGGTTCAAGCAATTCTCCTGCCTCAGCTTCCTGAGTAGCTGGGACTACAGGCATGCGCCACCATGCCTGGCTAATTTTTTGTATTTTTAGTAGAGATGGGGTTTCACCATGTTGGCCAGGATGGAGTCAATCTTCTGACCTCATGATCCGCCTGCCTTGGCCTCCCAAAGTGCTGGGATTACAGGTGTGAGCCACCGTGCCTGGCCTTATTTTATTTTTTTAGACAGAGTCTCATTCTATCGCCCAGGCTGGAGTGCAGTGGTGCGATCCTGGGTCACTGCAACCTCCACCTCCTGGGTTCAAGCGATTCTCCTGCCTCAGCTTCTCAAGTAGCTGGAATTACAGGCACCTGCCACAACGCCCGGCTAATTTTGTACTTTTAGCAGAGATGAGGTTTCACCATGTTGATCTGGCTGGTCTAAAACTTCTGACCTCAAGTGACCTGCCCCCCTCGGCCTCCCAAAGTGCTGAGATTACAGGCTTAAGCCACCACACCCGGCCTATTTTATTTCATTTTATTTTTGAGACAGGGTCTTACTCTGTTGCCCAAGCAGGAGTGAGGTAGCGCAATCATGGCTCACTGTGGCCTTGACCTCCCCGGGCTCAAGTCCCACCTAGGCCTCCTGGGACGTGCCACCATGCCCAGCTAATTTATTTTGTTTTGTGTTGTTTTGATAGAGACAGGGTCCCACTATGTTGCCTAGGCTGATCTCGAACTCCTGGGCTCATCCACTTGCCAATTTCTGGTGACAGTTTAGGTCTTGTTGTCTATCTTGATGTGCCAGACATTACTCATCCATGTCATGTTTGGGGTGACAGAGACTACTGGTCTTGCTTTCTAGTTTGGGGTGACAGTGACTGGGGTCCTTTTGTCCAGTTTGAGCTGACAGTGATTGGGGTTCAGTTGTCCATTTGGGGGAGGCAGAGACTGGGATCAGTGGTCTAGTTTGGGGTGATGAGACCAGAAGTCAAGGCCCGGCCTTGGGGTAACAGAGATGGAGATACAGTTTCCCAGTTCTGGGTGGCAGAGACTTCCTAGTTTGGGGGACAGAGACTTGGGGCATAGTTGTGCAGCTGGAGGGATGAGGCTGAGGGGTGCCTGTTTTGACTTGGGGCGGCAGGAGCTGTCATTTCAGTCCTCTAGTCTGGGGCGCAGAGTCTAGGGTGCTGGTCCCTTCTAAACATGGCTGAGCCTGAGAGTGCTGATGCCTGAATGTTCCTGGGACAACTGAGTCAAGGGTTTCCTGTACTCAGGTGTGGGGTCTCTGAGTGAGTGTGGCCAGCGGTGTGGAGCTTTGTGTGAAGGTCACTGAAGCTAGGAGTCTGGGTATTTGGAATGGAGGTGTCAAGAGGTCAGGGCCCCAGGACTCAGGACCCACTTGAGGAGTGCTTCATGTCTATGACATGGAGGGCCAGTGTTTTCAAAGCACCTCCACACCTGTGGGTGGCAGTGATAGAGACCCCTGGGGGAAGATGGAGACTGAGGCTCTAATGCCTGGCCTAGGGGTCGCTGTGGCTGGGGCACAGGTAACCTTGGGATTTCTGGCCCTGGAGACCCAGCTGCCCTTTACTGGACACAAGAGGATCCTGTGGGTCTAAAGCCTAGTCTGGACCGGGTGCAGTGGCTCACGCTTGTAATCCCAGCACTTTGGGAGGCTGAGGCAGGTAGATCGCCTGAGGTCAAGAGTTTAAGACCAGCCTGGCCAACATGGTGAAACCCCATCTCTACTAAAGATACAAAAATTAGCTGGGGTGTGGTGTGCGCCTATAATCCCAGCTACTTGGGAGGCTGAGGCAGGAGATTCGCTTGAACCTGGGAGGTGGAGGTTGCAGTGAACCAACATTGCGCCACTTGCTCTGGGCAACAGAGCGAGACTCCATCTCCAAAAAAAATAAAATAAAATAAATAAAAATAAACTAGCTGGGCTGTAGTCCCAGCTAGTCCCGCCAAGGTGGGAGGATCCCTTGAGGGCAGGAGTTCAAGAGTAGCCTGGGCAACATAGTGAGACCCCATCTCTACAACAAAAAACAAAAAAATTAGCTGGGCACAGTGGCAACTGCCTGCAGTCCCAGCTATTCAGGAGGCTGAGGGAGGACCTCTTGAGCCCAGGAGTTTGAGGCTGCAGCGAGCCATGATTGCACCATGATTGCACTCCAGCCTGGGTGACAGAGCAAGACCCTATCTCAAAAAAAAAAAACCCTAGTTTGGGGGCAAATGGTTGGTTGTGGTAGTCAAGATGCATTGTTTATGGGTGACTAACACTGAGGACTCAGATTCTCACTTTGAGAAGATGGATGCTGGGGCTCAAGATCCTGAATTTGGGGTGCCTGGAGTTCCTCCTGCCCAGTTCTGGGCACGTGTGAGCCCTTGTTCCTGTTTTGGGACACCCAACACCCAGCTCTAGATGTCTGCAGTTGTGTGGCTTCGTCACTGAGGCCGGGGATGGGGGCTACTGACACCCACATTAGTGACGACAGTGGGGGCCTACTGTCTAGATTAGAAGTGACTTCCTGTGGCATTTCACCTGTCATGTTTGGGGTGAGTCAGTTCGGAGACTCAGGTGTCAAGTCTAGGGTGACTGGTTTTGAGGTTTAGCGGTGACCGAGGTTGGCAGCCCACATGTTGATTTGGGGGTCCTACTGATTACCTTAGGGCTGACTGAAGTTTGGAGCTCACTTGCTTAGTCTGGGGGTCACTGAGCCTGGGTGCCCCAGGCCCTAGTTTTGGGGACATCTGAGACTGGGAGGCTATATGCAAAGTGTGTGGGTGGGTGGCTGTGGAGCTCAGATGCCTATTTTGAGAGTGACTTGCTGTGGTTTTGCTGACCTTGAGGCCCTGAAGGTTAATTTAGGGGTGAGTGAAACTGTGGGCCTGTATTCTTTTTTTTTTGTGGAAATGGAGTCTCGCTCTGTCACCCAGGCTGGAGTGCAGTGGCGTGATCTTGGCTCACTGCAACCTCTGCCTCCCAAGTAGCTGGGACTTGGGTTCAAACAATTCTCCTGCCTCAGCCTCCCAAGTAGCTGGGACTACAGGCGCACGCTGCTATGCCCAGCTAATTTTTTTGTATTTTAGTAGAGACAGGGTTTCACTGTGTTGCCCAGGCTGGTCTCAAACTCTTGAGCTTGGGCATTCCACCTGCCTTGGCCTCCCAAAGTGCTAGGATTACAGGCGTGAGCCACTGCGCCCAGCCTGTGGGCCTATATTCTAATCTGGGAACAAATTAAGGCTGGGACCCTAAATCCAAAATAGAAGTGACTTACCATGATGTTCAGTTAGGGAGTTCTGAGGCTGGGGGCGTGGTTCAGAGCCCAAGTTTGGGGCTCAAATCCAAAATGCCTTAGATTGTGGGTAGTTGTGGCAAAACATTCAGATGTCTAGTTTAGGAGTGTGTAATCCCAGCTGCCCAGATGTTGAGGTTGGGATGACCATCTGAGAGCCCGAACATCAATCTGGGGTGACAGCTGGGGCCCAGATGTCCCTCAGCAGATCCAGTGCCAAGCTGGGGTTGTGTCATCAGATGCCTCCTGGGGGTGTCACTCTCGTGTATGAGAAGCCCATCTTTGGGAGATTAAGAGAAGGCAACCAGATGTCTGGTTTGAGGGCTACTAGTTATGAGTTCCTAACATTTATATACAATTTGGGGCTCACTGAGTCTCAAGACCTAGTTGCCAGGGTTTGTGGTTATTTGTACCTAGTTTGGGGTGATGGAGTTTGGGGTGTTGTTCCTTTTTTTTTTTTTTTTTTGAGACAGAGTCTTGCTCTGTCACCCAGGGTGGAGTGCAGTGGTGTGATCTCGGCTCACTGCAACCTCCGCCTCCTGGTTCAAACCATTCTCATGCCTCAGCCTCCTGAGTAGCTGGGATTACAGGCGCCCACCATAATGCCCAACTAATTTTTGTATTTTTAGTAGAGACAGGGTTTCACCATGTTGGCCAGGCTGGTCTTGAACTCCTGACCTCAGGTGATCCGCCCACCTGGCCTCCCAAAGTGCCGGGATTACAGGCGTGAGCCACCGTGCCCGGCCCGGGGTGTTGTTCCTTAGTGTGGGAATGTCTGAGGCTAATCACCCAGATACCTAGTTAGGGGTGACTGACACAGAGACTCAGATCCTCTGGGAGGCTCAATGCCTGAATTAGGAGTGGCTTCAATCGGATTTTTTTTTTTTAGACAGTCTTGCTTGCTCTGTCGCCCAGGCTGGAGTGCAGTGGCGCGATCTCAGCTCACAGCAAGCTCCGCCTCCCGGGTTCACACCATTCTCCTGCCTCAACCTTCCAAGTAGCTGGGACTACAGGCGCCTGCCACCACGCCCGGCTAATTTTTTTTTTCTTGTATTTTTAGTAGAGACAGGGTTTCACCCTGTTAACCAGGATGGTCTCGATCTCCTGACCTTGTGATCCGCATGCCTCGGCCTCCCAAAGTGCTGGGATTACAGGTGTGAGCCACTGTGCCCGGCCCCCCCACCTTTTTTTTTTTTTGTGAAGAGGTCTCACTGTCACCCAGACTGGAGTGCAGTGGTATCATCACAGCTCACTGCAGCCTTGATCTCCCAAACTCAAGCGATCCTCCCGCTTCAGCCTCCCGAGTAGCTGGGACTAAGCCGTGCACCACCATGCCTAGCTAATTTTATTTTTGTAGAGGTGAGGTCTCGGTATGCTACTCAGGCTGGCCTCCAACTCCTGGGCTCAAGGGATCCTCCTGCCTCGGCCTCCCAAAGTGCTGGGATTACAGGTGTAAACCACCGCGTCCGGCCTCTTCTTGTCTGTTACCAGGTCCCTTAACATGGATTGAGGGCCCACCCCAGCAACTCAGGATAATCCCATCTCAAGATCCTTCATTTAATTGCATCTGAATAGACTCTTCCTGTAAGGTCACATTAGCAGGTTCTGGGGTTAGGATGTGGACATACCTTTTTGGGGGGCCACCATCCAACCTGCTATGAGGGTGTTTGAGGCAGGTACTCTAAATCCCAAGTTCAGGTCTCTCTGATTATGAGCTTCTTGGTGTTTGGATTAGGAAGACTGACCTTGAGGGTCAGCTGCACATACCTGATTTGGGGGTTCTTGACTTGCCTACTTCTGGGGGTAACAGCCTATGGGGTGCTTAGTGTAGGGTGACTGAAGTTTGGGGACAAAAGGGGTAGTTTGGAGATCTGAGCTTCAGTGCCACAGAGTCCTCCTAACTTTGGGGGTGTCTGAGGTTGGGAGGCTAGATGCTGAGTTCGTGGGGTAACTTAGAGGGGTCTCTAACTCTTATGAGTGGGGGTGAAAGCTCAGATGTGTATTGTAAGGGCAGGTGATGCTGGAATTCCAGGTGCCAAGTTGGGGGGCTTCTAAAGCTGCTGGTCGACCAGGAGTGGTGGCTCATACCTGTTGTCCCAGTTACTTGGGAGGCTGAGGCAGGAGGATCACTTGAGCCTGGGAGGTCGAGGCTATAGTAAGCCGAGATCATGCCACTCCAGCTCCAGCCTGGGCAAGAGAGCAAGACCCTGTCTTTAAAAAAAAAAAAAAAAAAAAAAAAAGGCCAGGTGCGGTGGCTCATGCCTGTAATCCCAGCACTTTGGGAGGCCGAGGCGGGTGGATCACGAGGTCAGGAGATGGAGACCATCCTGGCTAACACGGTGAAACCCCGTCTCTACTAAAAATACAAAAAAATTAGCCAGGTGTGGTGGTGGGCGCCTGTAGTCCCAGCTATTCGGGAGGCTGAGGCAGGAGAATGGCATGAACCCGGGAGGCGGAGCTTGCAGTGAGCCGAGATCACACCACTGCACTCCAGCCTGGGTGACAGAGCAAGACTCTGTCTCAAAAATAAATATATAAATAAATAAATAGCCAGGCGTGGTGGTGGGCACCTGTAGTCCCAGCTGCTCAGGAGGCTGAGGCAGGACAATGGCGTGAACCCAGGAGGTGGAGCTTGCAGTGAGCTGAGATCGCACCACTGCACTCCAGCCTGGGCGACAGGGAGACTCCGTCTCAAAAAAAAAAAAAAAAAAGTTGGTTGTCCACATGCATAGGTTAGGGTGACCAATGATTGGGTCTGGATGCAAGGTTTAGGGGTGATGCTACGTAGAGACCTACATGACTAGTGTTAAGGTGACTTGCTGGGGCATTTCGGAGGTTCCTTGGTTTAGTGGAAACTGAGTCTGGAGAGCCAGATGTCTAGTTTGGGGGAGCCTTAGGGTGGGTGAGGCCCAGATCCTCATTTTGACTTGAGTCTGAGGATCCAGTTGTCACATTTGGGGTTGCCCAGTTTAAGGGTGTTTGAATTTCAGTCCCATTTTCTAGTTTGTATGTGTTGAGAATGGGGTCACATGCTGAGTGGGTGATAGCAGCTGGGGCCTACTTTTGTAGATCGTGGGTGGTGTATCTTGGGGTCCTGATGAGGTTTAATGAGGAAAGTCTAGTTTAGGTGTGCCAAATTTGGGGCCCCAACGTCTAATTTGGGGGTGACAGTATGGGGAATACATGCCTAGTTTGGGGGGGGCTTGTGGTTACTGATGCTTATTTTGGGGTGACTGAGCTAAGGTCCATTTCCCTTATTCTCTGAGTGTCTTGGGCTGGAGGACTTGTTTGGGGGTGAATGGAGCTGGGCCCCAGAATCCTCATTTTGGGCTGTCTGGAGCTAGGCTGGGTTATCACCTTCTGTTTGTGAGTCGGGGTAGCCATTCGCTCCGCCTGGGGTGATCCAGGCCCATGTCTAGGTCTGATCCCAGGGGTCTTCAGTCCATGTGAGGGCTTCAGAGGGAGGGTAGGGGTTCGAAGGCCTGGTTTGTGGGTATCTAGATGCCTCCTTTGGGGGAATCTCAGTCTAGGGTCCTGAGGTCCTAGGGATCTAGTCCCAGGGGCTGGGGGAGCCAACCCCAGTGCTACCCCCCAAGGCGGGGCCTCTCCTGGGGGTGTTCGGGGAGGCAGTCCATTTGTGGGTGACCGACTTGGGGAAATAGGTGGTCCTGGTGGGGACTGATCGGGGCCAGGCGTGGTGGGGGTGGGGGCGCTGCTGCGCGGAGCCGGCTGAGCCCCCGGGGCTGGCTGCAGCGGGGGTTCCCGCGGGAAGCGGAGCGCGGCGGGGCAGCCGGCGGCGGGAGGGCGAGCGCCGGAGTGACAGGAGAGGAAGAAAAATGGGCCGAGAAATCAGAGTGGACGCGCGGGGGGCGCGAGTCCGGGAGCGGGCGGCGGCGGCGGCGACAGGCGGGGTCCGCGCTTTCTGCCTCGGGGGACGCCGCCCCCTCGCCTTCCCGGATCCCCGCCCTTGGAGGCTGGGGCCGGCGATCCGACCCCCTCCCCTAATTCCAATCCTGCACCCACTCCCGCCTTGTTCCAGTCCCCGCCACTCCCATCTTCCAAGTCCCCTCTCGCGTCCCCGACGGCCCCCTCCCGCTTTCTCTTTTCCTTCGGGGACTTCTATTCACGTTCTCCGCGTTCCAAGCCCTCCCCGCCACGTTCTCCTGCCCACTCCGCCTGCGTTCTAGCTGAGCCACCCACGTTCTAAACTGGCTCTGCGACCGAACCCCCTTCCCCTCCATGCCCTGAGCCCCCTCCCCTTTCCTGAATCTGTCCCTGCCTTCCAGTCGCCTCTTTTTCAGCAGCCCCCGGGATCCCCCCCACGTCCCCTCCAAAGGTTTGAAGCGGAAATGGGGCGCGCGGCGGCGGGGGAGGGGCGGGGCGGGGGCAGCGGCCAATGGAGCGGGAAGCAGGACAAATGAGGCCCGGCCCGCGCGGCCGACAGGCCCCTCCATCTTCCCATTAGCGCCTAATGGCCCCCCCGCCGCCGCCTGATGAAGATTTATCGGCCCCGGAACCCCCGCCCCTCCGCCCCCGGGCTCCCCGCGCCCGCCAGGCCTCGCCCTGCCCCCGCCCGCGCGGACACCTGATGAAGCCGTCACCGCGGGGGAAGGGGACGCCCGAGACGTCTCTCGGCCGAGACCCGATGAGACAGGCGCGCAGAGACGCCGAGGGGCGGCGAGAAGACAGTTCCGGGGCCGCGGAGTCAGGGTCCTCGAGAGGGAGTGGAGGGGAGGGTCTGACCCGCAGCCGAGGGAGCTCCCAACTGTGAATCCGACCCTAGTGCTGTGTCCAAGAGGCCGGCGCGGGTGGGAGAGGGGGGCGGCTGCCCGGAGGACCAGGCAGGGTTTTCAGGCATCCGAGGGAGGTTAGAGGTGGGGGCCCGGAAGCCGGGTCCTGCGACAGAAGTGGACTCCCGACCAAGCTGGGACCAGGAGAGGCAGGGACCTGGACTCATGGGTCTGAAGGAGGAAACTGGGGTGGCCTGGACTCCTGGGTCTGAGGGAGGAGGGGCTGGGGGCCTGGACTCCTGGGTCTGAGGAAGGAGGGCCTGGGGGCCTGGACTCCTGGGTCTGAGGGAGGAGGGGCTGGGGGCCTGGACTCGGGTCTGAGGGAGGAGGGGCTGGGGGCCTGGACTCCTGGGTCTGAGGGAGGAGGGGCTGGGGGCCTGGACTCCTGGGTCTGAGGGAGGAGGGGCTGGGGGCCTGGACTCCTGGGTCTGAGGGAGGAGAGGCTGGGGCCTGGACTAGTGGGTCTGAGGGAGGAGGGGCTGGGGGCCTGGACTCCTGGGTCTGAGGGAGGAGGGCTTGGGGCCTGGACTCCTGGGTCTGAGGGAGGAGAGGCTGGGGCCTGGACTCATGAGACTGAGGGAGGAGGCTACTGGGGGCCTGGACTCCTGAGTCTGAGGGAGGAGAGGCTGGGGCCTGGACTCATGAGACTGAGGGAGGAGGCTGCTGGGGGCCTGGACTCCTGGGTCTGAGGGAGGAGGCTGCTGGGGGCCTGGACTCCTGGGTCTGAGGGAGGAGGCTGCAGGGGTGCCTGGACTCCTGGGTCTGGGAGAGGAAGGTCTGGGGGGCCTGGACTCCTGGGTCTGAGGAAGGAAGGGCTGGGGGCCTGGACTCCTGGGTCTGAGGGAGGAGGGGCTGGGGGCCTGGACTCCTGGGTCTGAGGGAGGAGGGGCTGGGGGCCTGGACTCCTGGGTCTGAGGGAGGAGGGGCTGGGGGCCTGGACTCCTGGGTCTGAGGGAGGAGACGCGGGGGGCCTGGACTCCTGGGTCTGAGGGAGGAGGGGCTGGGGGCCTGGACTCCTGGGTCTGAGGGAGGAGAGGCTGGGGCCTGGACTCCTGGGTCTGAGGGAGGAGGGGCTGGGGGCCTGGACTCCTGGGTCTGAGGGAGGAGGGCTTGGGGCCTGGACTCCTGGGTCTGAGGGAGGAGAGGCTGGGGCCTGGACTCATGAGACTGAGGGAGGAGGCTGCTGGGGGCCTGGACTCCTGGGTCTGAGGGAGGAGAGGCTGGGGCCTGGACTCATGAGACTGAGGGAGGAGGCTGCTGGGGGCCTGGACTCCTGGGTCTGAGGGAGGAGGCTGCTGGGGGCCTGGACTCCTGGGTCTGGGAGAGGAAGGTCTGGGGGGCCTGGACTCCTGGGTCTGAGGAAGGAAGGGCTGGGGGGCCTGGACTCCTGGGTCTGAGGGAGGAGGGGCTGGGGGCCTGGACTCCTGGGTCTGAGGGAGGAGGGGCTGGGGGCCTGGACTCCTGGGTCTGAGGGAGGAGGGGCTGGGGGCCTGGACTCCTGGGTCTGAGGGAGGAGAGGCTGGGGGCATGGACTCCTGGGTCTGAGGGAGGAGAGGCTGGGGCCTGGGCTCATGAGACTGAGGGAGGAGGCTGCTGGGGGCCTGGACTCCTGGGTCTGAGGGAGGAGGCTGCAGGGGTGCCTGGACTCCTGGGTCTGAGGGAAGAGACTGCTGGGGGCTTGGATTCGTGAGCCTAATGGAGGAGGGGCTGGGAGCCTGGACTCGTAGGTCTTGGGGGAAGAGGAAGCTGGGGTTTTAGACTCCTGGGTCTGAGGGAGGAGGGGCTGGGGCCTGAAATCTGGGGCCTGGGGGAAGGAGGAGGCTGGGAGCCTCCACTCCTGGGCTCTAGGCTGGGAGCTTGGCTCTGGGGGGGCTGGGTTGGGAGGCCCCTGATTGATTTCTGTTTACCGGCTGTCCCCGCAGGCGGAAGAGCGAATCGCGCCCCATCCATCAACAGGCTCGCAGCCTCCCTAATAAAAACATTTTACTCCTAAATGATCTCGAACTAATTAACTCAAAGTGTTAATTAAAGTTTGCGCAGACAGCATTGTCATCAGGGAGGGCGGTGGATCCATCTTCCTGAGAAAGAGACAGGGTTTGGGGGGGCTCCCATCCCCCTCACTGCTGAGCCCTGTCCACTGCTCTGCCCTGTGGCCTCCAACCTCCCCTCGGGGGCTCTCCGCGTCTGTCCCCACTCTCAAGCTCTTCTCTGAGCTCTTCACTGGTCCGTCTCTCTCATCTCTCACTGTTAGCCCGTCTGAGTTTCTGTGTCTCCGTCTCTTGCCTCTCTTGCCAGAATGCTGTGTCCCCAGGGTTCCCACCTCCGGTTCATGTGGTGCTTTTATGTGTCTATGCGTTGGGGTTATGTGTGTGGACCACGTATGTGTGTCAGAGTTTGTATGTGGACACACATGTATGTCAGAGGAGATGCATGGTGGCTTGTGTGTGCACATGTGTGTTTGAACCCGGGGTGTATGTGTTAGAGTTTGCATGGGCACAGGCATATATGAGCCCAGAGCTATGTGTGTGTCTGAACATGAGGTCCATGCAGACAGGCAGGCTGTGGGACCCGACCAGGTGTTTGAGGACCTCTAGGGGCCCCTTGCTTGGCAGGCCAGGCAGGAGCAGGGGCCATAGGTGCACTGGGTGGGCAAGGGACCAAGCTCAAGTTCACTGGGCCCCTCTCCCCTTCCCCCCTCTCCTATAGTCCACCGCCGGCAGGGCCAGGGAGCCCAGGACAGGCCACCAGGCCATGGGCACTGGTGGGGTGGCTGGCTGGGCGGCCCCAGTGTGAGCTCATACATCAGGGCTGACAGGCTCCAAAAGCCCCGGAATTAAAACCTAAATCGAATATTGATCACCCACTCCGGCCGTGGCGCCCACAACGGCCCCCCCAGCTCCCTCGCGCTTGCTCCCTGCTCCCTGGTTCTCAGGCGTCACCGCTGTCCTGTCTCTCCGTCTTTCTTGCCTCCTCTCTCCCCAGCTTCTCCGCACCCAGGCCTTCCTCTAGTGGCCCCAGCAGGTGCCCCCTCAGGCAGAGACAGAGACAGAGGCTGAAAGAGACACAGGGACATGCGGATGCAGAAAAGAGACCCAGACACAGAAATAGTTCAACACAGACCTGCAGACAGACCCAGAGCAGGCAACACACAGACAGACAGACAGACACGGCACACAGTCATCCACAGACTTACACACAGGGAGTCACACACAGCCACACCCCAAAAGTCACACTGATACAGACACACACCACACAAAAATGCTGCCCACAGGACGCACATACAGAAAGTGCCAGACAGGCAGACAGACATACCCACAAGCCCACAGAGTTACCGTCACACGCAG
The DNA here is from genome assembly GCF_000001405.40 of Homo sapiens. Classification (NCBI taxonomy): domain Eukaryota; kingdom Metazoa; phylum Chordata; class Mammalia; order Primates; family Hominidae; genus Homo; species Homo sapiens. The sequence goes on along the minus strand of NC_000019.10, from coordinate 41,936,652 downwards.
GGTCACCGAGACCTGAGTGTAGTGACACAGGGACAATCGCAAAGCAAGTTACACCAACATGGGCAGAGCGAGACAGAAGATACACAGTCATATATGCAGGCAGACACAGAGACACACTGAGCTCCCAAGTGGCAGGGAACACACTCCCTGTCTGCCCATTTGCACTGATCCTGACACAGCGGCCACCTCCCTCTGACTCAGCCCCCAGACACCACCCCCACTCTTGGATCAAGAACCCAGAAAGCCCCACTGCACGGGGAGGAGGCTCCCAGACCTCATCCCCCAACTCTGAGCAGCCCCTTCCATGTCCCAAAGGTCCAGGCTGGTCCAGGAAGGTAACTGGAGAGATGGACCCCAGAGAGGGCAAGGATTCCCCAGCCAGAGAGGGACAGGGACAGGGCTAAGGTCATGCTGTCCAGGGAAGGCCGAGGGATCCAGGGTTCTAGTCTCTGAGACCACCTGTAGGATTGAGGCGAGACAGTGGGAAGAACTTCCCCAGACCACTAGGGCTGGGGCTCCCCAGAGTGAGCAGGGGTGCTGCCCCACCCCCACCCCCACCCTGAGGCTTCCCGGCTGGGGCGGGCAGCCTTGGAGGCGGGCGGTGGCGGCTGCCTGGGAGAAGATGAATCTTTCATGAGTGATTTGCGGCCGCCTCTTCTCGTCCCGTGTTGTTTAATGTTTCAATTTGGGCGAAAGCAAAACATTCAATCAGGCGGATTAAGTGCGTAATGCGTCTCATCGCTCAATCTGTCGCCTCCGCCGGGCAGCCCGCCGGGTGGGGGGGGAGCCTGGGAGGGGGTGGCGGGCAGAGACCCCGGCCAGGGGAGACTGTTCCCCAGCAACTCTCCTAGGCTTTGCCACAGGGAGCCCCTCAGCCTGGAATCCCCGCCGGGCTCCGGGCTCCCCCCACATACCGCTCTCTGCTTCATCTCCGGGTGTCCACTTGGCTTGGGGAGCCCTGATTTCTCCGCATCCGTCTGTCTCTCTGTGTGTGACCACCTGTCTCTCTTTCTCTCTCTCTGTCCACCTCTTTCTTCTGGGTGTGTCTGCGGTTCCCTCCGATGTCCGTCTGTCTCTCCATGAGTGCCTGCCCTTGTCCCTGTCCACCTGTCCTCTTCGCTGCCTGTTCTCTGGGTTTTCTCCCTCCTTTAGACCTAGCTCCCATCCCTCTGTCACTGTCCATCTGTCCATATGGCTCCTGTCCTGTCTCTTGTACTGTCTGTACCCAGGTCTCACCAGCCCAGCCTCTGTCTGTCCAAGAGTCTCTCTGTCACCCTCACCCTCTGCCTGCCGTCTGCTGCAGACCCCCTGTGTCCTCCATCTTTCCCTGTCCATCTCCAGTTCTAGCCCTGAACTCACTCCCCGGTCTCTCTTTCTTCTCCACCAAGGTCGAGTCCTCAATCCTGTCGGCCTGACCCCAGCCCACTTCTCTATTCATCTTTGTCCCTGTCTGTGTCCGCCTGTCTGTCCACCCATCTCCTCCTTCTCTCTTCCCTCCTCTCTCTCTCCCTCTCCCCTGTCTCTGCTCCCACTTGGGTCAGCGCCTCTGGCTTCCCTCCTTGACCTGTCAGTTCCCTGTCCCTGGTCTGGCCTAATCTCCATGTCCACTAGGGGGCAGCAGGCACAGGCTTTTCTGGAGGGGAGGCTGGTGATGGCTCGGGGGCTTCCCAGCCAGCCCTGTTACTTACTTGTCTGCTGACTATCCTGTCCATGGGGTGTCCCAGCCCCACTCCCTCCTCCCTCAGACCCAGGAATCCAGGCTCCCAGCCCCTCCTCTCTCAGACCCAGCAGTCCAGGCCCCCAGTCCCTCCTCCCTCAGACCCAGGAGTCTAGGCCCCCAGCCCCTCCTCCCTCACACCCAGGAGTCCCGGCCCCCAGCAGCCTCCTTCCTCAGACCCAGGAGTCCAGGTCCCCAGGCCCTCCTCCCTCAGACCCAGGAGTCCAGGCCCCCAGGCCCTCCTGTCTCAGACCCAGGAGTCAGGCTCCCAGCTCCTCCTCCCTCAGACCCAGTGGGTCCAATCCCCAGCCCCTCCTCCCTCAGACCCAGGAGCCCAGGATCTGAGACCATCCTCCCTCAGACCCAGGAGTACAGGTCCTGGGTCATCTCTCTCAGAACCCAGGGGTCCTATCCTCTACCCGCCTCCTCTCTCTTCCTCCCAGGCAGCCTGTGACCTGCTCAGGGATAAATGGAGATTTCAGCTGGGGACTGACAGGCACTAACCAGAAATGTTGTCACCATTGCCTGCAGCTGAGACCCAAGGGACTGGGAGACCAGGGACCCACAGCATGTGCAGGCACACGGACAGGGACACAAACAGATTGTGTGTGTGTCCAGGAAACACAAACGTCTAATGGGATATGGGATTCAGTCAACATGCAAGGACACACAGACACCAGCCAACACACATGCACACCAGATCTCAGGGACACACACACACACACACACACACACACACACGCTGAGCTTCTGCCCATTCAGGGCAACTGACTTTGGGGACAGCGTAGATAGGACAGGAGGATCTCCCCAAACTCTCATCTCCAGATTGGCCCTCAGCCCCAAACCCTCAGCCTCTGCCCTTCTCCTGGCACCCTTGCCCCTTCCTCCCCACTTCCTGGCAGGTTCTCAGCCTCTTGGCCCCTCTCCTACCCTCTGCCCCCCACCCCTCCACTCTGCCTCTCTGGCCTCTCCTCTGCCAGGCTCGCTTTTCTCTGTTGCTCATGCTCCGCACACCCTTCAGCCCCTCTCCCCAGTTCCCTAAGTTCCTGTTTCTCAGCCTCTCACTTCTGTGTGTCTGTCTGTCTGTCTGTGTCATCAGTTTCTGCTGCCCAGTCCTCCATCTGTCTTTTTCTCTGAATTGTCTTTGTCCATTTCTTTGCTTCTCTGTAGCCAGTTAGTAACATCTGGGATTTTCTCTCTGAGCCACTCTCAATTTGTCTCTCTGTCGCCCTTTCTTAGGGTGTCTCTGCTCTCTGAGTCTCTCTGAATGTCCCTGTGTCTCTCTATAACTCTAGGCTTTGCAGTCTCCAAGTTTCTCTTCATGTCTCTGCATCTCTGCATCTCTCTTCTCTCTCTCGTCTCTCTCACTGTCTGTTCCTGTCTCCCTGTCTCTGTCTCTCTGTCCATCCATCTCTCTCTCCCAGCCCCTCCCTCCCTCCCCCTCTTTCCCTCTCTGTCTCACTCTTCGCCTCTCTCTTTTCTCTCTCAAGTGTTTTCAATTTTATTCTGAGTGGAATTAACTACCCCTGATGTCAAATTGCCGCCGAAATCGATAATAATATCTTTACAAAAGAGGATATTCTTCTCTCGGAGAACGGCCTCTGAAAAATGGAAAATTTAGTCGAAATTGATTCATTACTTGACACTTTATAGAACGGCTGCGTATTGATCGCACCTGTCATGTCCCATCTCCCCTAATCGAAGCTGAAGGCCGGCTCCGATGCCTGCTATTTTTCATAATTCCACCGCAGCCGACAGCTCCACAAACACCACCGCTCGCTCAGCCTCCGCCTCCCCGGGCCGGCTGCCACCTCGCGCCCTCGGCCTGGCCCTGGCCCCGCCGGCTGCACTGCACGGCCCGTCCCTCCGTCCATCTGCCCACCAATTCTGCAGACGCCCTGTGTCCATCCTCCCCTCCTTCCTGGCCACTCTCCCCTTCTGTCTGTCTGTCCCTCCTGCCCCAGCCCCAAGCCCTAAGTTTGTCTGTCCTTTTCCTGGACCAGCCCCCACATCTGTCTCCAGTCTTCCAACACCCTCGCCCATCCTTTCCCTCACCCTTGTCTGTCTGTCTGAATTCCCGCCCCCAGGCACACACCCTGGCTGGCTGCCTCCCCGTGCTCTCCTGGCTCCCATCTGTCCTGTGTCTGTCTGCCCTCCTTGCATCTTGTTCGTCCCGGGCCTTCATCCTTCACCTTCCAGGCCCATCTCGGTCCATCTTCTCCCACCCGGGATAGGGGTGGGGTGAGGGAGGGGTGGCCATGCTGTTTGTTTGCACCCCTCTCCCAGCTGACTGGACTCCCCCATTCCCTCTGCTCTCCCCAACATCCACAGCAGTGTGGCTTGGCCCAGCTCCAGGCCCGGCTCCCCGGGGACTCCCCGTCCTTCTCCCCAGCCCCTCTCTGCCTGCTTTCTCCTCACCTCCCTCCCTGCTCTCTTTAACGTCCTCTCCCTGCCTCCCTCCTCCCCTCTCCCTCCCTCCCTGCCTCCTCCCCAGGCCCTGTGGGCTAGGCTTTGCCCTCAGCAGGGACCCAGAGATGAATCAGGCACAGGCCCTGCCCACAGGGAGCCTCAAGCCCCGAGGGATCGGGGATGGTGGGCGGTCATACTGAGCCAGAGGACACAGTGGTAGGGTGGGCCCTGCTCTGGGAGGACGCAGAGCCGTGCAGGCAGGGCGCTTGTCTGCGCAAGCTCCTAGTCTAATATGGGGGCAGCGGGGAGGGCAGGGTGGCCTGGTGGTTAAGAACACAGACCCCTCGGCCAGGCTGCTTGGCTCCAGGTCCCCTTCCAATACTAACTAGCTGTGTGACAGCCGGCAAGTGATTCTGTGCCTCAGTTTCCTCATCAGTAAAAGTGGGGGTGACGCTTATAACAGCATCTACCTCTTAGAGTTGTGCCGTGAGACTTGCTTGAGTTAATCTGTGTATAGAGTTTAGGCCACTGCCAGGCACATCCCATTAAATGGTCCTTGTCATGACTATTGACATGCTGGGATTTGGGCCCCATTCAACCTCCCCTACCCACACCACCCCCACCTTCCCTTTTGTTCCTGTGGTTCCAGGAGGGCTGCAGTGGTGGGGAGAGAGTTAAGGAGATGGAATCTTGGGGTGGGGGGCTCCTGGTTTCACCCTCTGTCACCTTTAGTGGTTTCAGCTGCACCAGGAGGCATCTTTGTTAAAAGCAATCTCGAGAGAGCCGATAGCCCTCACGGAGGGGTCCTCTTGCTCTTGGGGGTTTCAAGAGTCTAGAGGATATTACAGACCCCAGAGGTATGCTCTCTCCTTCACGGGTAATAAATTCAGTCCACTGGGTGTTAGAGGCTGGTGAGGGTATTCTCCTGCTCCCTCTCTCTGTCTCCCTCTCTCCTAGGGGGCATTAAACACCCTGAGGGCGTCCTCTCTCAGTGGGGTATTAACTACAGTCTTCTGCTGCTGCAGCCTCCCTGGGGATGTTAAGTACAGCTTAACGATCCCCCTCCTGTGAGACGCTTCCTTCAGCCAAGTAGGCAGAGTTGGCAACACTGCTAACGAGGGAACGTGTGCCCCTGCCGGCCGCGGGCGTGCTGTGCAGTGAGGGGTCTCTTTCACTGAGCACCTACTATGTGCCTTACACAGCGCTGCACGCTCTGGTCTCCTTTTCACAAATCCTCCCGAACCCTAGGACTCAGAGAGGGAGCATAAATTACTCCAAAATGCACAGCCCCCAGAGGTGTTCCAGAAATCAAGACGGTGTCTTCTGGGGGTGGGGGGTGCTGAGGGTGTTCTAAACAGTCAGACGGGTGCTGTTCCCATTCCTACCGGTGTGTGGGATGCACAAGGCAATGGGTCCTGGCCCCCCCAACCCCAGCCCCAAGAGCATCAGAGCTCTCCTTGGGGGGTCCTCCCCACCCTCTGATTGGGCATTGCAAGACCCTCAAAGGTGTTAACATTACAGTCCAGGTGTTTCTGACACCTGGGGACGTTTTCCTGTCTCCCAGAGGGGCGTGGTTTAGAGATAAAGTCTTAAAGCCCTATTGACTGATGGTCTTTGCTATCTTAAGGGTGTCTGTCCCTCACATTCCAAAGATGTTCTATTTTCCAGTAGGGTGTCGTGTATGGTGTGATAAACTGTATCTCTCCAGAGGATGTCCTATCTTACTGAAGGGTGTTATCTACAGTCAATTGAGCTCTTTCTGCTTAGAAGGTGTTCTGTCCCTCTTCACAGGGGTTTAATGGTCATGAAATGCATTCCAGTTGGTGTACTTGAAGCCTTAATGGTGTCCCAGCTCTCTTGAAGGGTGTAGCCAAGGAGTCATATCTACCCAGAGGGTGTCACCTTTCTCCCAAAGGGTGTCCTGTGTGGGAGGAGTCCTGCCTTCCAGAGGGTGTTCCGGAACCTCCTCCTTGGCTTTCAGAGCCAAGAGGGGGCTCTGTAGTGTGCTGGGTGTAGAGGGGGAATGCTCTCTGTAGTGTGCTGGGTGTTACAGATAAACTCAGAGATAGACACAGATACACATACACAGACCTGCCATCTACACACGCAGCACACACGTGCATACCGTAATACAGGAAGTGGGAACACACGACCCGTACATGGAGACATTCAGGCACACGCACAGAAACATATGCACAAACACTGTAGCTGGTGACCTGTGTTCAAGTAGGCTGTGGACAGTCCCGGGGCTGTTATGGACACCCAGAGAACCATGGCTCTGGGGGAAAGGGTCGTAAATGGAGCCCAGTGAAGCCTGTTGGCTCCTTGAAAGAATGTTCCCTTTCAGACAAGTGAAGGTACAGACAAGTGAAGGAATTCTTGTTATCTGGCAAAATTCTTAATATTTTTAATGAGATTATTCGGAAGCAGCAAGCTCACAGCAAATGCGTGTTTACTTGGTACTTGGTGCAGTACCAGCTGTGCTCCATGCGCCCTGCGGTTTAACCTTCCCAACCACTCTAGGAGGGAGGTCATTATTGTCCCATTTTGCAGATGAGGAAACTTGAGGCTCGGGGATGTTTAGCGACTTGCCTGAGTGAGTGGTGAGCGGGAGTGAGGCTGAACCTTCTCTGTCAGGCAGGGCTGAAGTTCTCTTCTAGCCTCTCAGCACCTCGGTCTCAGCACCTGGGCGCTGGTGGGGTTGGTGAGATCCGACAGAGCTGTCCTGGCCCCTGAATATCCACCTGGGGACTGCTGTCTTGCCGTGAGACCTATTTTCCCCTCTAGGGGTAGAAGCCTCCAGGGGCTGCCCAGGTGAGAGCTGCCTTTCCCCAGAGAAGGTGGTGTGGGACTTGGCGGGGCGGAGCCTGACCTGGGAATGGGAGAGAAAAGTCGGGGGTGGTGGGTTGGGGAGTGGAAGCGGGAGAGAGGGCAGGGTGAGGGGCAAGGGGCGAGGGGCAAGGGGCAAGGGAGGGAATAGGAGGGTAGACAGTGAGGGTGAGGGTCAGGTTGGGCCAGGAGGTCCGGCCGGCCGGGAGCTGAACTGTGGGTCTGACCCGCCCTGAGGCTGGTCGATATTGACTTGTTATTTCAATGGGAGCAGATCTGGCTGGGCAGGGCCCTTTCCTGTCACTGTAGGTGTGCGTGTGTGTGCCTGTGACCTTGTGGGAGTGTGAAGGGGAGTGTCAGTGTGCCAGCCCTGGGTTCTGCCTATGTGTTAGTGAGGGCTTGTGTGTCCAGGCTGTGTGTTGGGAGTGGAGTGTGGCTGTGTGTGCATCTGGTTGTCTTTGTGTCCAGTTTGTGGGTCAGTGGATCAGGGAGTGGCTGTGGGTTGGGGAAGGTGTGGTGTGCAGGCTGTGTTTGTGCATATGTTTCTCTGTGTGTGCCTGAATGTCTCCGTGTACCGGTTGTGTTTCCACTTCCTGTATTACGGTCCGCATGTGTGTGCTGCGTGTATAGATGGCAGGTCTGTGTGTGTGTGTCTGTGTCTGTCTCTCTGTAGGGTTGTGTGTCCCTGAGTGTGTGTTTGCACTGTCTTACTGTATCCATATGTCCCTCTGTCCGTGTATCTCCTATCCAGGCTGCGTGTGTGCGGGTCCGTGTTCCAGTCCCGGTCCAGGCTTGCGTGTCCAGCAGGGGTCCTGGACGCATCGTCGCCACCTCCACCTCGCGCCTGTCCGTTTGTCCGCGCGTCCACTTAGGGAGGAGCGGGGCGGAGGAGAAGGGAAGGGGAGAGGAGGGGGGTCTCTCCACCTCTCCACCCACCCCCGCCCCACCCCCACTCCCTCAGTCCCGGGATCGAACCTTATTTAGAGTCGCGATTCGACATCTGTTTTCAAATTTGATCAGCTCTGAACTTTATTTTCCGAGTTTGAGGAAAATTATATTCCATCGATCGCGCCCCCGCCCCCTCCCCCGCGCCGCCGCCGCCGCCTCCATATATCTGCGAGCCGAGCCCGGCCGGGCGGCCGCGAGGGCGGGAGGCGCGCGGCGCGCAGAGGAGTGGAGGGAGGAGGAGGAGAACGAGGAGGAGGAGGAGCAGGAGGAAGAGGAGGAAGAGGAGAAGGCGCAGGAGGCAGGGCCGCCCCGCGCCCCCAGCCGGCCAGGCTGTCCCCGGCGCGCGCCCGCCCGCGCTCGCTGTGCTGAGCTCCAGCCCGGAGCTCCGTCCTCAGCTCTCCCCGTCTCTGCTCTCTTTGCGCGTCTATCTCGCTGTCTCTCTCCCTCTCTGCATCTCCCCGTCTCTGCTCGTCTCCCCGTCTCTGTCTCCTTGGCTGTCTCTCCGTCTCTGAGTCTCTCCTGTCCCGGCGTCTCAGAGACTCCCTCTCCTCGTCCTCTGGGTCTCTGCCTCCCCGGGGCTCCGGGCATCTCCCCCCACCCCGCCCCTCGCCCCGGTGCCCCCTCCCCAGGACGCCGCGGGGGCCATGGCTGCGGGATCCGAACTTTAAACACTTCTCCCCGGACCGGAGCGGATGCGAAAAGCCCAGAAAGTGAGTGAGCGCCGCGGCCGGCGCAGGGGCGGGGAGGGGGCGGGGATTCCCGCCCCAGGAGGGGGCGGGCGCGGGGGTGGTCCCGGGAGGCCTGAGAAGCTGGGCCTCCGAGCCGGTGGAGGGGTAGGCGGATGGGGTCATCCGCCCCGGCTGTAAGGGGCAGGTGGGGCAGCGCCCAACTCTGGGAAGGTGGGAGGCGGGTAGCGCTAGAGGTGCGGCCTCGGGACAGGGGTGCGAGATTTGGGGGCGGGGAGGGAGAGCGAGTGAGAGCCACGGAGATGGGGTCTGCAAGAGACTGGACTGAAAATCTGGGAACGGGGGTTGGTGGCCGACCTGAAGGTGGATTTGGATGTTTGGGGCTGAGGAGTCTGGATATTTGGGGCTAGATTCTGAGTGGGGTTTAGAGGTCAGGGCTGAGGGCTTGCATATTTGGGACCTAGGGGCTCAAAGCCAAGAGACTGGACACTTGGGGCGGAAGATCTAGATATCTGAGGTTGGGAGCTGACTGGGGCTGGGAGTCAGGACTGGGGGTGTGGATATCTGGGACTGGGGATCAGCATAGGAGTTTGGACTTGAGGGGGCCAGAAGTCTGGATTTGGAGTTGGAGTTCAAAGCTAAGGGTCTGCGAATTTGGATCTGGATATCTGGGGTCTGGATATTTGGTATGAGGGGTCACAGGGTCTGTGGGAAGGACATTTGGGCCAATTCTGGGGTCTGCACACTTCGGGGCAAGGAGTACAGGCCTGGCCCTGACCTTCGTGGGGCCGGGGCCCTCTGGGACACCCTTTCTATCATTCCACCACTGTCGCAGGGCCCTGCTGGGCCACTTCTGTTATCTCTCCCCTGGCTGGGTCTCTCCTCACTGTCTCTCTGTCTCTGTCTCTCACAGCATCTCTGTGTCCACCTCTAACTCTCCCAGGATCTGTCTCTCTATCTCTGTCTCTCACAGCATCTCTCTCTTCCTTTTTGGGTCCAACTCTTAAGACTATCTCTCTCTAAATCTCTGTGCTTATCTCTCCCTGTGTCTCTTCCTTTCTCGGCATCTATCTCTCTCTCTTCCTTTCTCGGCATCTCTTTCTATCTCTCTCTCTCTGCCTCTTTCTGTCTCTTACTGTCTCTCTGTCTCTGTCTCTCCCAGCATCTCTGTCTCTGTCTCCCCCTCGCTGGTTTCCGCTCAGATTAAGCCGGGGACCTAATTCCAGGCCCAGGATCGAATTTTCTGGCAACAAAGGGAAATAGCGAATCGATCGGTCGCTCTGGAGATTAAGAGACAAGCGGCGCGCGGATCTATCACGGCTAAACGGCCCCCCCGCCCGCTCCCCCCTCCCGGCCGGCCGCCGCGGCCCAGACGCGCTCCGCATCGCCAAGCAGCCTCAGGGGCCCTGGCTGCCCGGCAGGCCAGCAGGCCAGGCCTCGCCTAGCCCAGAGCTAACTCTGTGCCCCACCCAGGGCCAGAGCCACGGGAGGGACCCGAGAGCCAGAACTGGCTCCCCAGGGAGGGGAGGACAGGGGAGCGAGAGAAATCGAGGTGGCAGACCATCTGGCAGAGTCACACTGCACCCACCTGTGGCCTCAGGTAACTAACCTTTCACACCTGTCTATCAATGCACCTGTCACATCCATGTTCCCCCTTCAACTCCCCAAATCTGGACTTCCAGGTAACATCTATCTCCTCATACCTGCCTGCACGCAACACCTGTCCTCCATACCTGTTCCCTTCATCTGCCCTGGAGGTAACACCTATTTCCTCTCACCTGCCCCTCCAGGTAACACTTGTCCCCCTCACACCTGCCCTTAAGATGTCTGGTCTCTCGGGGAGCATACGTCCCCTCTTACCTGCCCCTCCAGGTAATACCTGTTCTCTAAAATCTGCCCCTTCCACTGGAATCCCTGCATTTTATCTCATTTCATGTCACACTGGCCCCTTCCTACCTGTACGTGAGCCATCCCACCTGTCCCCTAAAGCTGCAAACTCACCTGTTCCTCACACATTCGTATTTCTTCACCTCTTCCTCCTCTCAAGCAGTACCGAGTCACCACACATGCACACACTCACACACACATTCCTTCTGTTGCACACAAGCACTCACACATGCAACCTGCTAACCTGTCCCCTCAGGTAAGGCCTGCCCCCACCAGTCCCCAGCCTCCTGGCCCTCACCCATCCTCCTCCGTGACAGTGTTGCACCTCCTTAACCACCCCAACACCTGCCCTTCCAGAAGAGCTGGCCACACACAGGTCACCTAAGAGCACACCTGTCGCTCACATCCCTCTCTACCTGTACCTGACTTCCAAGGTACACTGACTTCCAAGGATTCCCCCGTACCTGTCTTTCCTACTTGTCATTTCGGGTTACTCATCACAGACAACAGAAGCACCTTCCCCACCTGTGTCCTAACCCCAAGCACCACCTGATCACCAATCCACACACTAGTACCCTCCTCATGGCTTTCCCTGCCATTATGCCTTCCTCCAAGCTCTTGTCCCCTCAGAGTTTCCCGGTCCCTTGTACACTTGCTCACCTGTGTCTCACTCCTTCTTGCACTGTCTTTGCCTCTCCTGGTCTCTCACTGTCTCTCACTATACACAACATTACTTTACACACACACGTTTGGGGCAGGAGTCTGTCCTTGGCCACAGGTATCTGCGTCACCTGTATACCTGTTTTCCCACACCTGTCCCTCAGGTACTCTCTATCCACTTCTCTTCTTTCCCACATACCTAATTTCCCATGTTTCTCTCTCTCTCTTGCTGCACAAGGTCACACCAGTAACCCCCTGCACCTGCCATTCCTCACCTGTTTATCCCAGGGAATCCTCTGCCCTGGTAACACATTCAAATCATTTAATCAGCAAACAGATACCGAGGCTTCGACACCCACTATGCATACCCCCACTTAATCTCTCTTTGCTTCACATCTCTTCAGCTGGGTCTAGGGGTCACCTCCTGAAAACAGCCCTGTCCCACAGACATGCACCTGGTTCCCCACACTCCAGCCACCTCTCTCCTTTTCCTCCCCCCAAACATCCATGTGACCGGAGTCCCTTTGCACCTTTTGCAAGCATTGGGAACCCACTGCACACCTCTGCCCCATTCTCTGCTATGTTCACTTTTGATACCTGTCCCTGCAGCTTGTCACCACCACACCTTTAGGAAGAAACCTTCAGATCTCTCACACCTGTCTCCAACCTGCTTCTCTCCAGAAACACCGGTCCCCTTTCCTAGCACGTGTCTCTGACCAGCTCTCTCCTCGAGGAGCGCCTTCCTCCACGTGCATAACACCTGTAGCATGTGTTAGACACATGTGTCGCCTGTTCCCAGCCACCCCCACACCTGCTCCCCGCACTGCACAGCATCTTAAGTCCGAGGTTATCTGACTTCAATGTGCATCAGAAACACCTGGTCCAGGTATCATTCTCTGAGTAGCAGGTGCTTGTAATGTGTGCCCCACCTGTTCCACCACATAACACCTACCCTCCCCATATATACTGATGGCGACAACGAGAATGAGGATAAAGGTGAGGGTGATGGTGATGACAGCTCCCGATTACTAAGACCACCATCCATCTCTGTGACAGACACCAAGTTCTTCACACCCATTGTCTCATTTGTCCTCACAGGACCCTCATGAGGCACGTACTTGCCTCTTGTCCCCATTTTACAGAGAAGGAAACTGAGTCCAGAGAGTTTCTTTGAGGTCCCAGAAACAGGTAGATGTTAGAGATTTGAGTCAAGTCAAGGCTGTCTGACTTCAGAGACTGCCCTCCTAGCCATCCAGGTGTCCTTACCTCCCTCATCTGCCCCTCAGGTGACCTCCTCCCTCCACAGACACACCTATCCACCTAGGGACTTTGGTGACACTTGCTTCTCCATTACCTCCCAACCCCATCTCCCCTACTCTCCAGGCTCACTTTCTCACCCTTCATTGACTCCTGGGGCTAAGGCTGTCATTCCACATGCTCACCCCCACCTCCCCCACAAGCTGTTTGGGGCCAGCACAGCCCCCTCCCAGAGCACCCCCACCTCCCCAGACACACCCCCAGCACAGCCCCCTCCCAGCGCACCCCTACCTCCCCCCAGCACAGCCCCCTCCCAGCATACCCCTACCTCCCCACACACACCCCCAGCACAGCCCCTCCCAGCGCACCCCTACCACCCCCCAGCACAGCCCCCTCCCAGCACACCCCTGCCTCCCCAGACACCCCCCCAGCACAGCTCCCTCCCAACACACCCCCGCCTCCCCAGATCCACCCCCACCTCCCCAGACACACCCCCAGCACAGCCCCGTCCCAGCACACCTCCGCCTCCCCAGACACCCCCCCAGCACAGCCCCCTCCCAGCACACCCCTGCCTCCCCAGACACACTCCTGCCTCCCACACCGCCCCTCCCTGCATGCTGGCCTTTCCTTTCCACCCACCCTCACTTTCATTTCCTTTCTCCATTTCCACCTTTGCCACCACCTGCCCCTGTCTCCTTGTCCCTGTCCATGTCTGCCTGTCTTAATTCTGAGTCTCTCTGTCTCTCTTGGTTTCTGGCCTCTCGACTCCTCTGTCTCACCCTGTCTTTTTGTCTCTGTCTGTCTGTCTCCCAGTCTCTCTTTGTTCTCTGTATTTCTCTGGTTGTCTTTGTCTGTGTCTGTTTTTCTCCATACAGGGTCTTTACAGCTCTCTGACTCTCTCTCAGTTTCTCCATATCCTGGACTCTGTGTCTGTCTCCTTGTCTTGTCTCTTTCCTCCTTTTCTGTCTCTGGCCCTTGCTCTGTCCTCTGACAGTACAAATATCGGGGGCCTAGAGTCATACTGACCTGCATTCAAGTCCAGGCTCACCTCATCCCTGTGGGACTTTGGCCAAGTTACTTTTCCTGTCAGAACCTCAGTTTCCACATCTGTGAAATGGGCATCCATCATGGCAGTTCCTACCTCACAGGTGGTGGTGAGGATGGGGTGCTGAGGGAAGCAAAAGGCCTGGGTCAGAGGGGGCGCTGAACTTCCCTCTGTGGGTTCCCCCAGCCCCCTCCCGCCTCTTCCCTAGGCTGCCCCTCACATTCCCTTCACCTGGCTGTCAGTGGGAGTGAGTGTGTGCAGGGTGGAGAATGGAGGGAGAGGTGGGCAGAGGCATCCCCTCCAGCCCAGGCCTGGGCATGGGACCCGGTGTGGGGCTGGGGACAGGGATCGATCCGCCTCGGCGGCAGTGCGCGGGCCAGGATTGCATCTTGTCACAATAATTTATTGCTCTCATCCCATCTGATCGATGGCGCTGAATTAGCACCGCGCCTGATGCCCCTGGAGCCCTGAGTCCCCCCCAGCCCGGCTGGACCCCGGCCCTTGTGGGATCCCTGGTGGCCCGGCACCCAGCTCCAGCCTCAGCCCACCCAGGCCCCGCCCCTTGCCCTAGCCCTCAGGCCTGCCCCACTGCCTCTGGTCCCTCGTCCCTCGGAGTCTCTCTCCGGTTCCCAGTTCTCTGCCCCTCATGTTTGCCCTCCTGGGTCTTTGACCCCATTTCTCTGTTCCTCCTTTTCTCTAACCCTGGATCACCCACTTCTCCCCATTTTTGGCCTCAATTCCTTGTCATCCGATTCCCTGTCCCTGTGTGCTCCCGCATCTCAGTCCCATCCATCTGCCCCTCTAGCTCTCGGCTCCATCCCTATTTCCCCAGCCCTCTGACCCTGTCTCTTTGCCCTCCTCATTTCTGTCCCTTGATCTCCTGCTTTCTGTCCCTTTGATCTGCTATCTCTGTCTCCCTGATTCCCTGCTGAGCACAGTTTAATCTGGATTCCACCTCAACATAATTTCCTCAGTACACTCTTGGTGCCAAGCCCCGGGCTCTGTCGGGATGCCTGAGCCCTGGCCCTTGGTGGTTGCCGTCTAGAAGGACTCTGGGTCTCTGGGCTCCCTGAGTAGCTGGTTCTGGTGTACACCACACCCCGCTTCAGCTCTCTGCCCCCGCCCCTCCAGCATCACCAAATAACAGTCATTTCCCTGCCTTCTGTCACTCTGATAGAGGGGTGGGGCCCGATGTGGAGTGAGGCTGGGGGTGGAGGTAGAATGAAGGCAAGGGTGGGGAAGGGGTGGGAGTTGGGGATGAGGACCAGGAGGAGAGGTAGAGGATGGAGCTGGGGTCTGGGTGGGGTGGGGCCTGGTGGAGATGAGGAGGAGGAGGGGTAGGGTGGGCTTTGAAGCTGGGATGGGTCGGACTCCCAGGGGACACCAACCTCCTAGGACTGAAGAAGGGCGAGGTGGGGCGGAGGACGAGGAATCCACACCTTAGGTCTGCCCGCCACCCGGCCTACACCTGAGCCTTCCACTCCACCTCCAGGGCCGGGCTCGCCTGCATCCCTCTCCTGCCTCTGCCCTAATCCCTCAATTTTCCGCATCTCTGCCCTCTTCTCTCCTTCCTCCCAACCCAGGGTCTCCGGTGCGGCCCTCGCTCTCCCGTGACCTCCAGCTTTCTAATCTACTTTTGTCTCAGCCTCTCTGGTTCGCTCCTTCTGCCGTGTTTCCCCACCTCGGATCTCCCCCTGCCTGTCTCTCTGTCTCTGTCTCTCTCTTCTCTCTGCGTGTGCATGTGGCTCCCAGTCTGCTTCCTGTTTCTGTGGGACCTGTCCTTGTCCTCTGTGTCTCTTTCCTTCTCTGTGCCTTCCCCTGGTGGGGTTCCCCATGTCCCGCCTATCCCCCTCCATCTCCCTCCGTGTCTCACTCCTGCTTCCTCTCAGTTCTCCATGTATCACGCTCCACCCCCTCGGTCTCTCTTCCTCCCTGCATGTCTCCCCTTCTCTGTGCCCCCCACCCCAACCTCCAGTTCCTCCATCTCTCTGGGTCTCTGAGGGGAGGCGGGGTCCACGAGTGAGGTTGGGGAGCAGCCAGACCTCCCTCCGCCTCGCCTCACGGTGGCGCCTCCACCCTCCCTCTCCCCTCCCCCAGAGCTGTTTGGTAGGCGGGGTGCGTGGCACTGCGGCTCCCACCTCCCCGGGGACGCTCCCTCGCCACCCCTCAACTGACACCATTCGGAGCGCTGCTGTCCGCAGCCCCAGGGACATCGTGCGGAGACTGAGACTCAGGGAGAGAGACAGAGATGCAGAGACACACACACAGGGCCGGAGGCAGAGACAGAGACAGAGAGGGAGAGACAGAGGGAGGGGGGTGTGGGTCTCCACCCCTGCCCCACCCACAGGCCTCTCTGTCTCTGGCCTGGAGCCTCCCCACCTCTCAAGCGAGGGTAGCAGACACACCTTCCCCAGCCTGGGAATCCACTGCCCTGTCTGCCATTCTGTCCCTCTGTGTGTCCTGCACAGTGCAGTCGAGGCAGAAGACCGAGTGTGTGTGTGCGCATGTGCACATGACTGTGTGACTTGTGTCACAGTGTCTGTGAATGTGATCTGTGTAGACATGCGTGCTCCTGGGCACAGGTGACTAAGTATGGGTGCTGAGTGGAGCCACACATGTCCTGTCTGTGAGTGCATCACGTCTGTGAGTGCGTAACATCTGGGCGTGTCCTGTCTGTGAGTGCATCATGTCTGTGAGCGTGTCATGTCTGAGTGCGTCATGTCTGTGTGTCACGTCTGTGAGTTCATCATGTCTGGGCGTGTCATGTCTGTGAGCGTGTCATGTCTGTGAGTGTGTCATGTCTGTGAGTGTGTCACATCTGGGCATGTCATGTCTGTGAACATGTCATGTCTGTGCGTCACGTCTGAGTGCATCACGTCTGAGTGTGTCACGTCTGGGCATGTCATGTCTGTGAGCGCATGTCTGTGAGCGTTATCATGTCTGTGAGCATGTCATGTCTGTGCCTCACGTCTGAGCACGTCACGTCTGAGTGTCACGTCTGGGCATGTCATGTCTGTGAGCGCATGTCTGTGAGCGTGTCATGTCTGAGTGCATCATGTCTGGGCGTGTCATGTCTGTGAGCGCATGTGTGAGCGTGTCATGTCTGTGAGTGTATGTCTGTGAGCGTGTCATGTCTGTGAGTGTGTCACATCTGGGTGTGTCATGTCTGTGAGCGTATCATGTCTGTGAGCGCGTCATGTCTGTGAGTTCGTCATGTCTGGGTGTGTCACGTCTGTGGGCGTGTCATGTCTGTGAGTTCGTCACGTCTGGGCGTATCATGTCTGTGAGCGTGTCATGTCTGTGTGACGTGTGTGGTGCTCAGCTGCGTCTGGTGTGACCGTCCAAAGCTCTGGAGTTGTGCCATGTCTGGTGTTTTCACATGGTGTGGCTGTGCAGGGTAGGCCTCAGGGACCTGGGGCAGTTATCTCTGAGGGCAAGATGAGGAGGCTCAGTCCCAGAGAAACAGGGTGGAAGGACCAAGTGAGTGCGACCCTGAGAGGACCCCGGCAGCTGGGCTGGTGAGTGTGGGTGTGAAGGACGCAGCTGAGGAAGAGCCCCCAAAATCTTGTGTGTCACAGACCAGCTGTGTGTTTGTGTGGCGCTGTGTTGGTGTTCGGGGGTTGCTGTTGTGTCTCTGAGCTTGTGGGCTTGTGTCTGAGTCTGGGTTCAGATGTGGACGTGTGTGTGTGTGTGTGTGTGTGTACGCGTGCACGTGCACACGTGGGTGGTAATTTGTAGGAGCTGAATGTACCAGCTTGAGTGTTGGTTCATAACAATTGAGTGATACTGTGTGTCCAGCCCTAAAGAGCACTGATGACTGTTTGTGTATGTTTGATTGTGTATGTTTGTGTGGTTGCATGTTTATGTGTGGCTGTTGGATGGCGCATGTGTCTGCAACTTCTGTGAACTTGTGCCGAAGTCTGTGTGTGAAGCTGTTTCTGGTGTCACCCTGTGTGCTTCTGTGTGTTTTCTGTGGGTCTGTGTGTTAAGGATGACTGGTTTTGTGTGTGTCCATGTGGGGATTACAAGGTGTGGTATTGAGAGTAGTAAGCTGCGAGTGGTGTGTGAGTGTGGTGTGTGGTATGTGGGTGATGTGTGTGGTATGTGTGTTATGTGTGGCATGTGGTGTGGTGTAATGTGTGTGGGTGTGTGTATGCAGTGTTGTGTATGTGGTGTGATGTATAGTGTCTGTGGCATGGTGTGTATGTGATGTGTGTGGTGTATATGCGGTGTGTGTGTGTGTGGTGTGTGGTGTGCATGTGTGTATGGTGAGTAGTGTATGTGGTGTGCATGTGTGTGTGGTGTATGTGTGTAATGGGTAGTGTATGTGGTGTGTGTGGATATGTGGTGTGTGGTGTGTCTGATGGGTAGTGTAGCATGTGTGGCGTATGTGAGAGTGATGTGGTGTGTGTGTATGGTGTGTATGCAGTGTGTGGTATGTGTGTGGTAGATGTATATGTGGTGTGTGTATGTGTGGGGTGGTGTGTGGTGTGTACGTGGTGTGTGTGGTGTGTGGCGGATATGTGGTGTGTGTGGTGTGTCTGTGATGGGTAGTGTATGTACTGTGTGTGGTGTATGTGAGGGTTAGTGATGTGGTGTGTGTGGTTTGTCTGTGATGGGTAGTGTATGTACTGTGTGTGGTGTATGTGAGGGTTAGTGATGTGTGTGTGTATGGTGAGTGTATGGTGTGTGTGTGATGTGTGTGGTGTGTGTGTGATGTGTGTGTGGTGTGCGTGGTGCGTGTGTGGTGTGTAGGTGGTGCATGTGTGGTGTATTTATGTGTGTGTGTGATATGTGTGTGGTGTGTGTGATATGGTATGTGTATGTGGTGTATGTGTGGTGTGTGTGGTATGGTGTGTGTATGGTGTATGTGGTGTGTACCGTGTGTGTGTATGTGGTGTGTGGGGCTAGGTGTGTCTGTGGTGTATGTGGTGGGTATGTGTGTGGTGGGGGTGTGTATGTATGGTGTGTTTGTGGTGTGTATATGTGGTATGTGTGGTGTATATGTGGCGTATACATGTGGGGTATGTGTACACCCCAGGCACAAAGGCACCCCCAACCAGGGTCAGGCCAGAGCATTTGATGTGGGCAGTGTGGGAATGGGGGTGGCGTCCGGGATGGGGGGGCATGCCCATGCAGGAAACCCCACATCACCCCTGAACCCCCTCCTCTCCAAGACAGGCACAGGGTCTCCTGGTGCCTGTCGAGGGCCGGCCCCTGAGCCTGCTCTGTGTACACATGGACGTGGCTATAGTCTGGACGGACAGGTGTGTGAGCACACACACACACAGTGTGTGACCGCGGGGAGCTGGCTTCGTGCACCCAGATGGGACAGGGTGTTGGGGGCTCGTTTGTGTGGCAACAGATGGGTGGGGCTGGCAGCCGTCCCATGGCTGGGGCTGTGCATGGTGTGTGTGTGCCTACTAGTGGGTGTCACTGTGGGTCTCTACTGTGTGCACAGATGTGTCCTACATGGGCGTGTGGCGTAAGGAGAGATATGTCCCCAGATTGTGCCTGAACGTGTGGCCATGGGTGGGTGCAGTCAGGGTGTGTGTGTGCGTGCGTGCGTGTGCTTTGGGGCATGGTGTGTGCATGCGGGGGCGGCGGTGGCAGAAGGGTCTTAGGCCGCGTCTCTCTCCTCTTTAGACAGAGCCCCGGAGAAGATATGAAATTTAAAAAAAAAATCAATTTTCATTCCGATTGTGCAGATTGTGTTAAGGGGAGGTGGGGATGGGGGGGCCTGGGTGAGGGATGAAGGGGCTGGTGGTGGGGGTGCGAGGCCCGAGGCGGCTCCCGAGGCGGCCGGCGCAGCTTAGAGAAATCAAAACAACTGGTTAAACCCCAGCCCAGGGGGGCGTGGTGATGGGGCGTTAGGAGACAGAGGCAGAGAGAGATGACAGAGAGCTCAGAGACAGAGAGGGACAGAGACAGAGAGAGACAGAGAGATGCACCCAGAGAGAGAGATGGGGGAAACAGAGACACTCAGAGATGGAGATATTTAGAAAGACAGGCAGGCCAAGATGAGCAGAAAAGACCCTCTCTGACAGAGACAGACAGAGACCCTCAGTGACAGAGACAGACAGAAAGATGCGCCGACACCCGAAGGGGCTGAGAGAGACCGAGAGACCTGTGTCTCGAGAGGCAGTCACAGAAGCAGGTCTGAGACAAGGGCACGTGTCACATATGTGCACACACACACACACACCCATGCAGAGACATGCTTGGGAAGTTCACAGATGGAGGGACAGGCAGACAGATGGGGATGGTGGGAGCAGGAGTGGCAGGGGCCTTGGGTTGGGGTCATCTCTGAGTGCCCACCCCTACCCAGTGTGTCTGGGTGTGTCTGTGTGTACCTCTGCAGGGGCCGCTGTCGGTCGTATGTTTGGGTCCGTGATCTTGGTGTGTGTGTGTGATTGTGACTGTGTCTGTGAATGGGTGTGTGTGTGGCCGTGTGCGTTGGCTGTCTGGGTTGGTGCTGGTGTGTGTATCTCTACGGCTCCATGCGTGACCAAGTGCATATGTATGCGCTCGAGGGTCGGTGGTGCTTGGTTGTGTGACTGTGTGTCTGTTTCTGTGTGCTGTTGTCTCAGTGTGCGATTGTGTGCTTGGGAATCTGGGTTTCTGTATTTGATTGTGAGCCTCAGTGTGTGATTATGTGTTTACACAGTGTGTCTAGGATTTGTGATTTTGTGTCTTTGTTTCTGTGTGAGATTGAATTGATGTGTCATGTGTGTATTTGTGTAAAACTGTGTGTCTGTTTCTGTGCATCTGTGACTATGCTGATGTGTGTGTGTGTGACTGTGACAGTGTTGGTGTGTGACTTTACTGACACATGCATCTGTGTGATGTGGGTTGTGTGTGGCAGCAGTGGTATGCGTTGCTTTGTTGGTGTGTGTGATGTGTTGTGTGGGACGTGGTGCTGTGTGTGACTTTGTTGACATGTGGGCTCATGCAGTGTGTGGTATGTGATGGTGTGTGTGTGGCTGTGCTGGTGTGTGCATCTGTGCGATGTGTGCTGTGTGGGACGTGGTGGTGTGCGTGCCTGGGTTGGTGTGTGGGTCTGTGTGGTTGTGCTTGGCAGGGAGAGAAGGGAGGAGGGCCCTCGCCTGCCCAGCGCCTCTGCACACCGCTTCGCTCACATGCGCACACACATTCGGTGCCATGGCTGCGGGCGGTAGAGATGGGGGGCGAAGGGGGGGTGGAGGAAGCAAAATAAAATTAAAAATTAAAGCTTGCCTGGAGTACCCATCCGCACCACGCCGGCCGGCGGGGGGGAGGGGGGTGGGGGATTGTGGCTGCTCCCCATCCACAGCCACTGGGGCTGGGGCCGTTTGTCCATCTGTCCGGCCGTCCTGCCAGGCCCTGTTTGGCCCTGCAGCCCCAGGCCCCGCAGGCCGCGCTCCCTCCATCAGTCGATCAGCGATCAATGGGGCCAGGGGGGCGCCAGGGGCAGGGTGAGATCAAAGGGACCCCAAGAGACGGACACCGGGACAGAAACAGAGACAGAGACATAGAGACATGGAGATGGAGACATGGAGACAGAGACACAGAGACAGGGAGATGGGGCATGGAGACAGAGACAGATGAGACAGAGATGGGGGACATGGGGACAGGACAGGGACTTGAGGAGGAGGAGATATGGAGATGTGGAGACGGAGACAGGGGTGTGGAGACCCTAGACATTAAAACAGAGCCATGTGGAGACCCAGAGACATGGGGACACAGAGACGTGGGGACACAGAAGTGGAGACGACGTGGGAACCAAGAGACAGGGAGGCATGGAGACCCAGAGATGGGAGGGACGGACAGACGGACGGGGACAGGGCGGCAGAGGCGATGGGCAAGGGCGAGGGGTCCAGGTCCCTGTGGGGCCTGACACAGGACGAAGGCTGGGCACAGAGACTGCGAGATGGCAGAGACGCGTGTGAGACACGGCGGGGGGAGCGTGGGAGCAGGGCCCGGAGCGCCGATCCCACGGCTCCTCGTTATAACGTGTCCGGAGGAGGCGGCGGGGAGTTGAAAGCGTCGGGAAGAGAAATCAAAACCAACACGGAAATGAGAGGGGCCAATAGGGGGTGGGGGCGGGGGGAGGAAGGAGGGGGACCCTGAGAGGCAAAGAGAGCGGGAGGTGGGAGAGCGATGGGTGGGGGAGAGGTGTGGGGGAGCGGGGCTGCTGGAGAGACGCGGGACAGGGACACGGTGGGGGCAGAGACAGGAGAGACAGAGATGCTGGAGGGGGAGGGAGGGAGAGACAGAGATAGTGGAAGAGGAGGGAGAGACAGAGACGGAGATGGTGGAGGGGGAGGGAGAGACAGAGACAGAGATGATGGAGGGGAGGGAGAGACAGAGATGGTGGAGGGGGGGAGAGACAGAGACGGTGGAAAGGGGGGGAGACACGGTGGAGGGGGAGGGAGAGACAGAGACGGTGGAAGGGGAGGGAGAGACAGAGACGGTGGAAGGGGAGGGAGAGACAGAGATGGTGGAAGGGGAGGGAGAGACAGAGATGGTGGAAGGGGAGGGAGAGACAGAGATGGTGGAAGGGGAGGGAGAGACAGAGATGGTGGAAAGGGAGGGAGAGACAGAGACAGAGATGGTGGAAGGGGAGGGAGAGACAGAGATGGTGGAAAGGGAGGGAGAGACGGAGACAGAGATGGTGGAAGGGGAGGGAAAGACGGATAGCAGAGATGGGGAGAAAGTCATAGGGAGACAGAGATGGACACACTGGGAAGATGGAGAGACAGATGGAGAAGAAGCAGGGGTGAGAGATGGAGAAACAGGGAAGAGACTGAGGGGTGGAGGAGGAGATGGAGACGAGAGGGAGAGGGCAGTGAGGTGGGGAGAGAGACCCCCTTGGTGGAGGAGAGAGACAGAAATGGAAGGGAGATGGTGGGGGGAGACGGAAGGGAGAAGAGACCAAGTGACCGGAGAGACAGAGATGGAGAGGGAGAGATACCGAGACGGGGCAGATGGAGAAAGACGGGGAGACAGGTGTGGGAACAGAGGGGGCCTGGGACAGGGGAGGCTCCAGGAGGCAGATGGGAGGTGGGGGCATCTGAGGTTGGGGCCTCTGTGGGGAGACCGGGCGAGTCTGAGGGGACATGGGGTGTCTGAAAAGTTTTGTCCAGTGTCCAGGGGTAGGCGGGGCTCACGGGGGAACACAGTGTGGGCTGCCAGGGTCTGAGGGGTTTCTGGCTGGGGGGCGCATGGGAGCAGTGGGGAGTATCAGGGTGTCTAAGAGGAGTGGGTTTTTGAGAGCGTCTGGGGGGTCTCCAGGAAGAAGGTGCTCCAGAGGTGGGGTGTGAGGGTGGCAGTGAGGGGCTGAAGTGCCTGAGGGGAGGGGTCTCGGGAGCGCGAGGGCAGCGTGTGTCTGCGGAGGGGTGTGAGAGGGAGTGGATTGCAAGGGTGTGTGTGTGGAGGGGAGGCGCCATAAGAGGGGGAAAGGTGCGGGGAGACTGGAGTGAGGAGGGGATGGAGTATCTTAGGGGCGTAAGATATCTAGGGAGAGGGAGTGTCTGAGGGAGGGGGTCTGACAGGGGAGGCAGATGTGAGGGGAAGGGGTGTCTGAGGAGGGAGGCAGATCCAAGTGACAGGGGTCTTCAGGGTGAGCAGCAGGTCTAGGGTCTGTGGAGGCCTCCTGCAGGGCGCTGGGGGCTGCCCTGTGGGGTAGAGGACTGGAGGAGGGGGTGCTGGGCCTGCCCCCCTGCAGCCCGTCCTGGGCGGCTGCGGGTCAGGGCTGCGCCTGGGCTGGAAGAGCCCGCCTGGGGGTCGTCCGGGTGGGGCGGGTGTGGGGGCAAGTTATAGAACAAGATAAATCTGGGGCAGCCAGAGAGAGAGACAGAGGGAGACCCAGAGACGCAGGGACCGACCGACCCGGGAGGTCAGGCGGGAGAGCGGGGACGGGAGACGGCAGCAGAGACGGTGCGGGGCGCGAGCGGCGGGCGGGCGGGCGGGCGTGAGAGCCAGCGAGTGTGAGAGCGTGAGCGAGTGGCGGGGAGCGGGGAGGGAGGCTGGGAGCGGCGTAGTTAGTGATGGAGGCACCGAGTGAGGAGGAGGCTGCGGGAGGAGAGGCTGGGAGGGAAGGAACGGGGTCTCGGGGCCGGGAACGGCTGGGGACAGAGCGGTGCCTGCGGGAGGGAGTGGGCAGGAGGGATTGCGGGGAGAGGGTGTCAGGCTGGGGTGGGGACCTGGGAGAGGGGAAGGCCCCGGGCAGCGCCCCGCTGGCTGACCTGTGTCTGTCTCTCCTGCCCACCCCGTCCCCGTGTGTCCCTCCCGGCCTCTGCAGGGCCGGCTCCGCCATGGACTGTAGCTGCGTCTCCGACCTTCTCTTCGCCCCGCCCGCCCTGCCGGCTCTCTGGACCCCCGGTAACTGGCCCGGACCTCCCCCACCCCTTCCCCCACCCCTCAGGCTTCCCCAGTGAGCCGCATCCCCCTTCTCTCCGTGTCTCCACGTGTCTCACTCTAGTCCGTGGGTCCTTCTCTCTCAGTCTTGGTCAGTCCCCCAAATCAAACCCCTTCTGAGAAACTTGGCTAAAAACTTCGCAGCCAGATTCCCCTGCCCCCTGCGTGCTGGGGGGATAGGTGGGTCTTCTGGGAGGGTACGGAAGTGAGTGAGGGGTGAGGACGGAGGGGCCCGAGGCCCGGGCATCCCTGCCACGCACGTCTCAGCCTGCTCCCACGCAGGACCTGCGGGGAAAAGAGAGCAGGGACTGGGCTGGAGGGGGCACTAGGCCAGGCACGGATGGACAGGTAGACAGACGGCACTGCCCAGTCAGGGGTACGTGCAGGCACGACCCGGCCAGACCGAGACCCAGGAAAGAGGACAGCTTGCAACCGGGGTTGGTGGACGGTGAAGCTGGTCAGACACCATGCTGATGTGCAGCGGGAGGGGTGTGTGTGTGTGTGAGAGACAGACAGAGACTCTGTCCTTGGTTATTTGGGGTCTCATTTCAGTGTGTCCCTGTGTCACACTTCAGTGTTTCTAGAAGGGGTCACACTGGGAGAATGTGTCTGCACAGCCTGTCTTTGTGTGAGCTTGTGTATTTGCTTGTACGTGCACATCTGAGGCTACTTGAGTGTCTCTGGGCTGGGCGTGTCCGCATTTTGGGATGGGGGCGTCTGCCAGCTCTCCGACTGTGCCTCTGCCTGAGTGGGGTGAGGAGCCTTTGCCTGTTTCTTGCGGTCTGTCTCGGGTTGTGTGGCGTTCCGCATGGCTGTCTTGGTGCATTTGGGGCTGTGGGGGGGATGCATCCCTGGGCCTCTGTGTTGGGGGCTGTGTCTGGTTTTCAGCGTAGGGTCCATGTGCACATGAGTGAATTCTGGGGGTTTGTCTGTCACATGTGTGTGTCTGCCTACTGAGTTTGGGGGTCCTCTCTCTAGCTGTGCCTGTGCCTCATAGGTACAACATATTTGAGGGTGTGCATTTGAGGACAGATGGAGTATCGGGTTGGGTGTCCTCTTGTCACCTTGGGGTCCTGTGGGTGTGTCTGTGATACAGTTGCCTCCCCAGTAGGATGTGTTCTGGGTGTGGAATGGGTCAGAGCTGGAGTCTGGATCCAGCCCTGTCATGGGAGGTGAGAAAGACCCAAAAATGAATGGAGATAAAAATTCTCCCTCAAGGAGACTGCCTGGAGCTCCCCGGCCTTCAGGCCGGGAGGCACAAGCACCCACTTTTCTACACCAGGCAGCCTGGGTGGGACCCTGCGCCCCCTTGCCTTCCACCTGTGCAGTTCTAAACCAGAGAGGGTAAGGACCTGCCCGTAATCACACAGCAAGTGGACACGGCGATGCTGGTCTCCCCTGCCCTGGCGCACAGCAGTCTCCTCTCTCCTGCACTGCTGCCAGCTTTTTATGGACTCACTCTGCCTTCTATTTTCATGCCTGGGTCTGGGGTCTCTGAGGAGGGGGAAGGGGACAGAGGATGTGGCATAAGAGTGAACACAGAAGTTGGACCCAGGGCTTGGGGCCTTCTGCATGGGAGATGAGATTTCGGGGTGCCCAGCTCCTGGGGGTATGTGGACAGTGGAGTACTCCCCTCTGCATGTGAGACGTGATGCTGAGTGAGCCGGGGGTGTCAGTGCTGACATGTGGGTGCCTCTGTGTGCAGGTTTGGGAAGTTGCTCTACTGACATGCTGTCACCCTGTGTGTCTGGGGACATGGATATCTTGGTGCTGTGTTCACCGTCTCCATCGTACAGTGTGTTCTTTGGGCATTTGGGGTCCTGTGTGTGTCTTGTCAGGCATTTGTGTTGTTAGTAAGTCCCAGTCTTGAGATGTGTAATTCTGTGTTGTGATGGGTGTGCACTGTGGGGTTGTTGAGATGACGTGACCTTGAGTCTTGCGCAGCCTGTGTCTGCCATGTCAGCCTTGGTGGCCCCCAGCATGAGTGTGGCACTCCGGTGTGCCTGTGTCCCAGTGTGGCTGTGTGTCTCAGGCAAGTGAACTGATGTCTGTGTGACATGTCTTCCGTGGGCATGTGTGTGTCCACGCACACACACACATCGTTCTGGACTGCTCTTGGACGGACATGGGCATGGATATGGGGTGGAGGGGACACAGGGACGGGAAAGGTACAAATACACAGGCAGGTACAGACATGCACAGAGCTGCAGCCTGGATATGCCAGGATGGGTCAGTGGGGGGCTCTGGGGAATGTCGAAAGGTGGAGCAGGGGACAGGGAATGGGGAACAGAGACAGTAAGAGCTGAGGGCACCGCAGGGTACAAGAGACTAGAGACCTCCTAGGGCTGGCTGGGGGCAGTGAGAGGACTAACGCTGTTGGAGGCGGGTGCCCCTCCCCATTCCTCCTCACTGTCATGGGTGCAGGAAGCCAGTCCCTCCCAACTCCACCTCTGGATGCTGAGCCTGGGGGAGCTATGCCAAGGTAGGGGATCAGACTGGTACCAACCCAGGGTCCCTGGATGACTGGGTTCTTGCCCTTATTTGGGTAATTTGGGGACCAGACACAAAGGGAGGAGGTTTGGAGTGTGGAAACCAGGTCCCTAAAGATGCCTGAGACTGGAGGAGAACTACATGCCTCCCAGGTTACTGAGTCCAGCAGGACCCAGAGCCCTGGACTTGGCATCCTGACCCCAGGCCACTCCCTGCCTCCCGTCCCCAGGGTTTGCCTTCCCGGATTGGGCCTACAAGCCAGAGTCATCCCCTGGCTCGAGGCAGATCCAGCTGTGGCACTTTATCCTGGAGCTGCTGCAGAAGGAGGAGTACCAGGGCGTCATAGCCTGGCAGGGGGACTACGGGGAATTCGTCATCAAAGACCCCGATGAGGTGGCCCGGCTGTGGGGTATTCGCAAATGCAAGCCCCACATGAATTACGACAAGCTGAGCCGGGCCCTGCGGTGAGGAAGGGCTTGGGGCTGGATCCCACCTTGTCCTTTTCCCCCAACTGTCCCTCTGGTGCCCCCTCTGCATCCTGGGGCAGGTTCCTGCTGGATCCCACAAGGCACAGGGCTGTGCGTGAGTAGCCACCATCGCTACTTGTGAGTGGAAGGGAGGCGAGGAGGAGGGACCCCTAAACCTGGGCTTTGGAGTCTTGCAGGGCAGGGTCCCCGCTCCTGCCTCATCCCTTCCTTGCCCTGTGATCCCTATTAAGGGACTTCTGTGAGCCTCAGTTTCCCCAAGTTCTAGTGCTCTGTGCACCATGCCTGGGACAGCACACGCATTAAGAAACCCCAGATCCCGCCCCAGGGCTCCCCCTGCACCTCCCCAACACCACCACTCTCCCCACAGTTACTACTACAACAAGCGGATTCTCCACAAGACCAAAGGGAAGAGGTTCACCTACAAGTTCAACTTCAGCAAAGTCGTGCTTGTCAATTACCCGCTGCTGGACATGGCGGCAGCTGCCACTGGCTCCCCACTCTTGCTGACCCCCAGTCCCTTTGGGGGGGCCCCAGGGCCAGATGCTCCTCCCCTCACCCCTGAGGTGAGTCTGGGTACTGGGGTCCTGGAACCGAGGCACTTGGTGCCCACTCTGGGGAGGGGACAGTCTGAGAAGGGCGGCTTCTCCCACTCCCTCTCTAGACCCTGCAAACCCTGTTCTCTGCCCCACGCCTGGGAGAGCCAGGGGCCCGGACACCCCTGTTCACCTCCGAGACAGATAAATTGCGTCTGGACAGCCCTTTCCCATTCCTGGGCTCTGGTAAGAGCCTGGAGGTTCTGGGGTGCTGGGGGCACAGTGGGAGAAGCTGCAGGCTTGAGGGAAGAGGATGAGAAAAGACAAGAGAAGAGATGGGGAAGGGGGCCCAGGGCCAGGTTGTAGGGTGTGTGTGTGTAAAACCCAGAAAAGGATGTGATGTGAGGGAGGGGAAATGAGGGAGACAGGGGCTTTCAGGGGTGCCTAAGGAATGGGAAGACAAGTGGGGGAGTGGGAGGAGATGGAGTTGGGGGAAGCTGTATGAGGGGGTAAGATGCCATGTAGGAGGGATGCGGGGAGATGGGGTGGGATATGGCAGGGAGGCAGCCCCCTTTACTGGTCCCCAGGCAGGCAGGTGCCCCAGCCTGACCTACCCCTGTGCCCCCCAGGTGCCACCAGCTATTCCAAGCCCCCTGGCCTGCTGGGTCCTTATGGCCGCGCCTTCCCTGAGTACCCCTGGAACTTTAACCCGTACCTCACGGGCCCCTTCCCCAAGCTGCCTCCCTCTCTCTACCCCCCGCATTTCTACCCCAACCCTCTGGCCAGTTCCCTGGGCCACCTGCCCTCGTCAGGGGCAGGGGGAGGCCCCACAGCCACGCCCCTGCTGGCCTCGACAGGGGAGGGCCTGGGCCCCGAGCGCCCCTCGGGCCTGGCAGCGGCCCCTCGCCTGGCGCTGCCAGGGGCTGGGGGTCCAGAGGCTGCCCTTGGTGGGAAGGAGGACAGCGACTCGGAGCTGGAGATCACCGACGTCAGCGGCTGCAGCTCTGACAGCGAGGGCGATGAGGGTCTCCCGGCACCCCCCAAGGCAAAGGCGGGCAAAGGGGGGACCGGCAGCTGAGCCGGCAGGGGGCAATGGATTCTGCTGAGGCAGGGACCAGGGTGGCTGCCCGTCTGCCCTTGATGCCTGGCCCAAGGCCCAGGACCAGCCCTCAGCACCTCCCAGGTCTGGGCACATTGCTGCCCCAGTCTCCTTCCCCAGCCCCAGAGTGGGGGGGGTCTCACTTCCCCCTCCACAGAGGACAGAGGGAATGTGATGGCCTCCGGCCTCCTCCCCAGGCTCCAGTTTGAGGGGGGTCCCCGCCTGGCCCCACTCCCAAAGTGCAATATGGCGCCCAGCCTGCCCCGCCCGCCCACCCCTGTGCTATGCCCCAAGTGTTTGTGTGGCCGTGTCTCCAAACCCCCTGTGCTGGCCCCAGTCCTGACACCCCCCCCATATAGGCCCCCCTGGGGACAGGGAGCTCAGAGCAATAACCCCGCCCCCAGCCCCCACCCAGGAGGGGCCCCCCTCCCCACCAGCTCCCCATGATCCCAACAGTCACCTCCAGAGAGTTTACTACAGAAATAAAAGAACAGAGAGTGAGACTCGGGGTGCCCAGTGCTGAGCATGGGGGATCGGGGGTGGGAGCTGGAGGGCGGTGTCAGGGAGACGCCTCATACCCAGTGTGTGTACGGAGTGCCTGGGGAGTAACGGTTCAAACAAAGAAATGAATGAATGAATGAATGAACAACTGGAGGGAGGCGCAGAGGCACAGACCCAGGATGTCAACGCCAGACAGTCACAGAGAGTTCCAGACGCCATGCCAGGCCCCACCCCGCCATCACACACACAGATCTCTTCTTAGATAATATATATTAAAAAATAAACCTCCAATTCAGGGTATAAAAACAGAGCGAAGGCACTTGGGGGTGGGGGTGGAGGGGTGGCCCCCACAGGCAATACTGAGATGGCCCGGGTCACCGTGGTGCCCTCCAGAATGGAGCCCTGAGTCCCCCAAGCAGAGGGCAGGAGGGAGAGATGGCCGAGGCTCATGCGGGGCCAGTAACCCCAGCTGGGCCCCTCCCAGGCGTGGCCCACAGCTCCCTCTCCTCAGGCCCTCGGGGTGTGAGATGCTGCGGCAGCTGTGTGGGTGGGGGTGGTCCCTCACGTCCTCTCCCCCATTCCTCTCCTTCTTGCAAAAGGCCTGGGGGATGTAGGAGAAGAGGGGAGACGGGGAGAGATGGAGAGAGAGACAGGGAGAGACAGACACAGAGACAAGACAGGGAGAGCAGAGAGAGAAGGGGAGGTGGGGAGAGGCAGGCGGGCACAGAGACAGAGAAACAGATTATCAGAAACAGAGACACAGAGATGAGAAACACGAGGTGGAGTGGGGAGATTCAGAAAAGACAAAGAGGGAGATGGACAGAAGGGGCTGTAGGGATGCGAGCTCTGGAGGGGGACCCTCCTTTCAGGACAGCGCCCTGGCCCCCAGGTGCCCCACTCACCTTCCTGGGCGGGAACCTCAAGTGCAGCCAGGCTGGGGGACAGAGTTCCCCCCAAGCTGAGACAGGAGGGGTCTCAGGCGGCAAAATTCCTCCTCCAACTCCTGGTGGGGTGGGGGTCATGGATGAGGGGGGCCCCTTCCTTCCCCAGCCCACTCAGGGCACCCCTGGCCCGTCCCGCCCCACCTCCAGCTGCTTCATGGTCTCCTCCAAGCTGAGCAGGTTCTCCTGGATTTCCTGGGTCCGTGCTGGGCTCAGGGGGCCGCCCCCTGGGACCCCATCCCCATCTCGAGGAGGCCCCGCCCCATTGTCTTCCTCCGCCGGAAACAGAAGCTGCTTCAGGGACAGCACTGGCCAGGGGCAAGGAGGGGTGGAGTCAGGAGACCAGGGGGCTGGGCTGGGATCTGGGATGGGGGATTCCAAAGGGGATGTGTAGGGGCTGGAGGTGAAGGTGGGTGCCAGGCAAGGCTGAGCAGATGGGGTTCGGGGATCCAAAGGGAGGTGAAGAAGTGAGGCTGGGTTTAGGGTTGGGACAGGGCAGGAAGGTACTGAAGACAGAGATGTGTTCAGGAAGAGGCTAAATATAGAATCAAGCAAGGGATGGTGGCTGCAGAAGAGGGACGTGGGCACCCAGGACAGTGGTGCAGGCTGGGTGGGTTTGGAGCATTTGTTTTCTGGCAGCTGGGCGTAAGGAAATTTTTGACGTGGAGAGCCTTGTTCTAGTTGGAACAGAGGCACTGTTTGGGCTGGTGGCCACCCTGGAGGGGCAGAGCTGGGCTACCTTTCCGAAGGGCCGTGGCAGCGAGCTGGCCCTCGGGGCCTGGTCTGCAGAAGGGCAGGAGGTCACTGAGGATTCTCTCGGTCCGGGCTGGATTGGGGAACAGAGAGGGAGCTCAGATCCTGCCGGGCCTCCTGTGGATGCCTCTCTTCACCCGGCAGCCCCAACCTGGCCCCTCACCCAGCATCCCTCTGGTCTCACCATCAGCTGGAGACGTCTCTCGGCCACCATTGCCGTTCTCAGAGCTGCTGAGGAGGGGTTCTCGGGTGCTGAGGGGAGGAAGTGCTGGGTGACCCCACACCCCTGGCCCTGGGGGGCCGCAGGGGCAGGGAGACAGAGAGCTGGAGGTGGGGAGGCAGGGAGGTCCGGAGACAGAGACAGAGGTCGAGGCCGGGAGACAGGGAGACAGAGAGGCCCAGACAATGGAAGACACAGAGGCCTGGAGACAGGAGACAGACGGGGCAGTGGTGGGGTCGGCACATGCGCACACACACACACATGCATGCACATGCTGTCACACGCATGCACACATATGCATACACACACACCATACACGCACACACATGCACACGCACACATGCATGCATACACACACTATATATGCACGCACAGTCACATACTTGCGTACAGACACACATGTATGCACACACATGCATTCACACATGTGCATGCTCACACAGAGACGGTTCTGGAGTTGTGGAGGGAAGCCTGCCCCGCCTTCCGGCCCCACTCCCTGAACCTCCAGCTCTCTCCATGGCCCCCCTCACCTGCTCGGGCTGGGCCGGGGCTTAGGGCGAGAGGCAGGGGCAGGGACTTTCAGGGATCCGGCAGTCTCAGTGATGAGAGCACACCAGCTGGGGAGAAAGGCCAAATCCCTGGGCAGTCAGAGCCCCCAGACCCTATGCCAGGGCCTCCCCACAGCCCTCCTGTCCCTGGGAACCCAGAAACCTGGGCGTCCTCCACCCACACTCAGAACTCAGACCCCCCCTCACTTTTTCCGCTCCGACACAGTCTGTGCCACCAGCTCGTATATCTGGGCCTCCTGGTCCCAGGTAAAAAGGACGTAGAAGGCTTTGTGATCTGCAGGGAGAGGGGGAGATGGGGCTCAGAGCCCAGGTCCCCCCAGTGCCTGCCCCTCCCTAAGCACAAGCTGGAGAAGTCACCCACAGTGGTGGCGCTCTCAGGGCTCCCATGGCTCAACTCACCACTCACTGTCTGCTAATATCCAGGGCCCGATGTGTCCTCCTGAGCCCCACCTCTCACACCTCCTTATGGAATCGGGCATGTACCCTGGCTTACCTAACGAAACCCCTCCAGCCACTCCCACCCTCCAGCCGCTTCCAGTGTTTGTGGCCCTGGTGCAACTTCCTAGTAGTATGTTTACAAATCCCTCCTCACTGGACTCCTGGCCTTTCTTCTCCTTGTTTACACAAGACACGCCTCTGTGCAAACACCTGCAGCAGTTCCTACCTCACTTATAAACCCTCTAGGCCTGGCCCCGCCCTGCCCACCTCCACCTACTTCTCAACCTCTTTGCTAGAATGCTGGCTCCCTGGCTCTCTAGAGGGTTCTGCTCCCCACTCCACAGGCAGCTCTGCCCAAAAAAGACACCCTCTGCCCTGGGCCATGCAGTGGCTGCACTCACCGGTGGCCACCTCGCGGGTCATGGCGGAGGTGAGCCGCAGCACGGGCCGCAGCATGGTCTTGCCATCGGGCGTGGGCGTCAGTGTCCGGCTATGGGACTTGAGCAGCAGCCGCTCGTCCTGGCGCTGGAGCAGCAGCAGCAGGTCGTCCAGCAGCAGCACATGCACCTCTACGGGGCGAGCAGTGCTCACACGGCGTGCCCCCGCGCGACCCCCTCCCCGCCCTTGGCTCACTGCCCCAACACCCTGCACTAGGCAGCTGCTCTGGCACTCACCCACTGCCTTGTCCTTAGTCACCCGCCACGTCAGTGGGCCCTCGTGGACCAATTTCTTCTTGGTGATGTCCAGGTTCTGGGGCAGGAGGGGGTGATGGTTTGTGCAGGTTGGCAGGGGGTGATTGGGGTTGGTGGGGAGGGGAAGGGCAGGGCAGTGGCCGGGGATGACCACAGGCTGGGGATCATGGGATTGGCATGAGGTGGGGGACAGAGCTCTCGCTTCCTGGGTGTATTATGGGATGGGCAGGACAGGCTGGGGGCTGTATCACAGAATCCCCTGGGCCAAGGAGTAGGGGGGCGGGGGAGGCAGGAGGGTATGGTCACACCTTGAACTCGCTCAGCATAGGGTCGCTGCTCTGCCGAAGGTGGGACAAGTCCAGGCGCCGCTGATAGTCCTTGAGCCTCTGGGGCAGAGACGGGAGCATTATGGGGACAAGCTAAGTGCTGGGGCTGACCTGCAGTGACCCACATTGGTAAGATGAGAGCCAAGACCAACTTCTGATGCGGGCAAGCTGAGGGTTGGGCCTGACCTCCAATGACCCTGAGAGGGAGATGCTGAGGGCCAAGCCAACCCCTGGACACAGTGACCCTTGAGGGAGACAAGCCAAGGGGTGGGGTGTGACTTCTGGACAGGCTGAGGTAGGGTCCACCCCCTGCTCTCACACCATCCACTGTCCCGGGTGTGGGGCCAGCCCAGGCTCACCAGCAGGTCCTCCATGTCACGCACGGCTTGGTTGACGTGGTGTAGAATTTCCCGGCAGCACTCGGCTGCCAGCTCCACTTTCTCCCGTTCTGTGGGCTCTTCTGCAGGCAAGGGAGAGAGCAGCTCTGGTGAACCCCTGCCCTGGAGGCTCCAGATTGGGCAGCCAAGGTTAGACAAAGGACAGCTGGCCGGGCATGGTGGCTCACGCCTGTAATCCAAGCACTTTGGGAGGCTGAGGCGGGAGGATAGCTTGAGACCAGGAGTTCAAAGCCAGCCTGGGCAACATGGCGAGACCCCGTCTCTAAAAAAAAAAACTAAAAAAATTAGCTGGGCATGGTGGTGTGCCCTTGGGGTCCCAGCTACTTGGGGAGCTGAGGTGGGAGGATGGTAGATCCTGGGAGGTTGAGGCTGCAGTGAGCTGTGATGGTATCACTGATGAAAATGAGTGAGAAAAAAAATGTAAAAAAAAAAGAGGAGAGCCGAGGCCCAGAGATCCAGGCCCGCGGTACCTGTGTTCTGCCCGATGCTCTGCAGGAGCAGGGGGTACTTGGTCAGCCGCTGCATCTCCGTGGGGATCATGTCCTTCAGCTGCAGGCGGCGGCACCGCGGGCGGCTCTCAGCTTCCTGCGGGAAACATGCTGGTGTTGCGATGGCCCAGGCTTTGGGCTCACCCCAGGGCGCAGGCACCTAGGAGTCTGGGTCTCCAGGCCCCTCCTCCCTGGGAAGCTGGAGTCCAGACCCCACCTCACCTGCACGAAGGCACAGAACCGAGGGTCCTTGCGTTGCTTGGCTTTGAGCTGCTCTAAGGCAAATGACTGGCGGCTGCAGAAGCGGGAGGAGATTTTCTGGAACCAGGAGCCCTCAGCACCATCAAACTACAGCGAGATTCAGGCCAGGCAGGTGTCTCAGTGGGGATGGGCAAGAACAGGGACTAAAGTACGACAGGCTGGAAGCCCAGACCCTGGGACTGGAGTAGGGTGGGCTCAGGACCCGTCCCGGGCCTGAATTCCATGTGTCTAGCTGGGAGGAGCGGGAGGGCTGGGCATCTCACCCGGGCCAGCAGCACGTCTCCGATCTCCTCGATGAGGTAGCCACTCTCCTGCCTCCGCTTCATCAGGCGATCGAGGAACAGGGCTGTGGGGGCAGGAGGAAAGGGATGCTCCACCAGGGTCTGGAAGATGCTGTGCGGGGCCTGCTGCGGTGTGGTGGGGGTAGGGCTGCAGGTGTGTCTGTGTCTGATCCTCGGGACCGGATGGCGTATCTGCCCCCACCCCATGTGAACCCTGGGGTTCCCGAGCAGGTTGAACCCAGGGCTAGAGCAGAGCTGCCCGTGGGGCAGTGGGGTACACAGAGGGACCCTGGCTCTGCACTCACAATGCACCTCGATGAGCTCGTCCAGGCTGGGGAAGATGTTCTGCAGCTCCTCCAAGGGGAAGAACAGGCATTCTGCCATGGGCTGGAAGAAGAGGTCGTGCAGCACCCGCAGCATGCGCACGTGGGCCGCCTCTGTCACCAGCAGCTCTGCAGGGCCACCAAAGCAGGAAGCATGTTGGGGAGGGTGCAGACTAGGGGGCATGACCTCATGGGCAGGCTAGAGGAATGAGGCAGAGCAGGGAGGAAAGCTTCCTAGAAGTTGGTGGGAAAAAACTCTCTCTGGCTAGCCATGGTGGTTCACACTTGTAATCCCAGCACTTTGGGAGGCCAAGGCAAGAGGATTGCTTGAACCCAGGAGTCCAAGATCAGCCTGGGCAACATGGTGAAACCCTGTTTCTACCAAAAATTTAAAAAAGAAAAAAAATTAGCCCAGGCATGTTGGTGTGTGCCTGTAGTCCCAGCTACTTGGGAGGCTCAAGTGGGAGGATCCCTTGAGCCCAGGAGGTTGAGGCTGCAGTGAGCTATGATGGCATTACTGCACCCCAGCTCAAGCAACAGAGCGAGACCTTGTCTCAAAACAAAATGGCTGGGCACAGTGGCTCATGCCTATAATCCCAGCATTTTGGGAGGCTGAGGCAGGTGGATCACAAGGTCAGGAGTTCAAGACCAGCCTGGCCAACATGGTGAAACCCCATCTCTACTAAAAAAATACAAAAATTAGCCAGGTGTGGGGGCGGACTCTTGTAGTCCCAGCTACTCGGGAGGCTGAGGCAGGAGAATCTCTTGAACCCGGGAGACAGAGGTTGCAGTGAGCTGAGATCACACCACTGCACTCCAGCCTGGTGACAGAACGAGACTCCGTCTCAAAAAAACAAAACAAAACAAACAAATAAAAAAAAAAACTCTCCGGGTGGAGTCATTTGCCCTCTTAAATAGCCACTGAGGGGCCGGGTGCAGTGGCTCATGCCTGTAATCCCAGCAATTTGGGAGGCTTAGGCGGGCAGATCACGAGGTCAAGAGATCAAGACCATCCTGGCCAACATGGTGAAACCCCATCTCTACTAAAAATACAAAAATTAGCCAGGAGTGGTGGTGGGCACCTGTAGTTCCAGCTACTTGGGAGGCTGAGGCAGGACAATCGCTTGAACCTGGGAGGTGGAGGTTGCAGTGAGCGGAGATCACGCCACTGCACTCTAGCCTAGGCGACAGAGCGAGATCGTCTCAAAAAAAAAAAAAAAAAAAAAAAACCAGTGAGGATTCCTCAACCCACTGCCTTTCCCTTTTCGCTGTGGCAGCTGGCCAGAGTGACCAATGGTCCTCATTTGCCTGCCTGGGCTTTCAGTGATAAAACTGTGAATATCCTGAGCAAATGGGGACAAGCTAGTCATCCCACCTGCCAGCAAGCTTGCAGCTGTGTTTAGTGTCTAACCATCAAGCCACATTATACAGTGGTTGACAGCCTCAGATCCAGGGACCCCCACATCCCCGGAGGGCATATGTGTGAGTTTCAGGGGCCCTAGAAGTCCCCTGAGACTAAAAGCACGATTTTGTACATTATGCATATTCTTTCTGGGGAAAGAAATTGCTATCCTGTCCAACGTGATAGTCACCAGCCGTGTACAACTCTTTACATTTTCGTTAATTGCAATGAAATTTTAAGTCAGTGCTCAGTTGTATTTAGTGCTTTTTTTTTGAGACACAGTCTTGCTCTGTCACCTAGATTGAAGTGTGGTGGAGTGATCTGGGTTCATTGCAACCTCCATCTCCTGCTTCCTGGGTTCAAGCAATTCTCCTGGCTTACTCTCTCGAGTATCTGGGATTACAGGCATGCGCCACTATGCTTGGCTAATTTTTGTATGTTTAGTAGAGATGGGGTTTCACCATGTTGGCCAGGCTAGTCTCGAACTCCTGACCTCAAGTGATCTGCCCACCTCGGCTTCCCAAAGTGCTGGGATCACAGGCATGAGCCACTGTGCCTGGCCTAGTGCATTTCAAGTGCTCACCAGCCATAGGTGGCCGATGGTCCCCATGGTGAGCAGTACAAATAAAGCACATTTCCATCTTCCAGAAAGTCCTAATGGGTAGCACATGGCTCATGTTTTTTTTTTTTTTTATCATGTCCTTAGAAGGATCTG
Source organism: Homo sapiens (assembly GCF_000001405.40). Classification (NCBI taxonomy): domain Eukaryota; kingdom Metazoa; phylum Chordata; class Mammalia; order Primates; family Hominidae; genus Homo; species Homo sapiens. The sequence goes on along the minus strand of NC_000019.10, from coordinate 41,899,898 downwards.
TGACCCAAAAAGTACTCAACTACTCCCCTAAAATTTTTGAATAAGTATCTTTTTCACTATGAAGTAATCTGTAAATAAGCTTTCAGTCAAGTCCCAAACCTTTCTCTTGGGCTAGGCACAGTGGCTCACGCCTGTAATCCCAGCACTTTGGGAGGCTGAGGCGGGCGTTCGAGACCAGCCTGACCAACATGGAGAAACCCCGTCTCTACTAAAAATACAAAATTAGCCGGGCGTGGTGGCACATGCCTGTAATCCCAGCTACTCAGGAGGCTGAGGCAGGAGAATCACTTGAACCTGGGAGGCGTAGGTTGTGGTGAGCCGAGATTGTGCCATTGCACTCCAGCCTGGGCAACAAGAGCAAAACTCTGTCTTAAAAAAAAAAAAAAAAAAAAAGCTTTCTCTTTTTGCCACCAGCCTCCCTAGCCACCACACAATTAGCAAAGGAAAAAAGGAAAAAGACAAAAATGATACACTCATCATCTCTCCACGCAGAAGCAAGCACTGCTAATATACTGATCATTCTCCCAAACTTTCCCCTGTGGGGATCTTTTCTCCCCTAAGCAATTAAGATCAAACTAGTAACAACAATCTCATTAAAATGCTCTTCCTTGACTGGGCCTGGTGGCTCACACTTGTAATCCCAAGACTTTGGGAGGCTGAGGTAGGAGGATCACTTGAGCCCAAGGGTTCGAGACCAGCCTGGCCAACATGGCGAAACCCCATCTCTACAAAGAATACAAAAATTAGCCAGGCATGGTGGTACATGCCTGTTCAGCTACTCGGGAGGCTGAGGTGGGAGGATCAGTTGAGCCTGGGAGGGTAAGGCTGCAGTGAGCCGTGATTGTGCCACTGCACTCCAGCCTGAGAGACCAACTGAGACTCTGCCTCAAATAAAAATTTAAAAAAATAAATAAAATAAAATGCTCTTCCTCTGTGCCCAGCACTATGCTAAACATTTCACACAAATCATCTCATCTTCATGACAATATCTGAGGTAGGAACTATTAATGCCCACATTTCACAAGCAAGGAAATAAAAGCTTGCACCAGAAATGCAGTGTTCTCAACATCAGCACTGTATTGCACTACTAGAAATGTTTGGAAATGTCCCTTCCACAGTGGCATTCACATTCCATCAAAATGCTCTGTGTTGAAACAATCTGAACTTGGAACAAGAGGGAATTTGAAGCTGCCTTCAAGTTCTCCCGATGGTAAATGACACCAAGATGAACATCTCTCTGCGCCTGTCTTTGCCTTTGCCAGAGCTGGACTGTGTCCTTGGCCACAGTGGGGTGATGGGGGCAGTACTCACCGCTGATGACCTCCTGCCGCTTCACCTGGCTCTTGGGCAGGCTGTGCAGGGTGTCTGGGGGGACGAGTTCCCGCCAGCCGGGAGGCTCTTCTGGTTCAAGCTCCAGTCCCGACCGCCCCGGCTCCCCCTCATCTCCAGGCTCGGGGCTGTGGACAGAGGCCTTGTTAGGGCCCCAGCTTGGGCCATCCCAAGAAGCAGCCTTCAGCCTCTTAGAGCGTTCAACCCCGGTCAGTGGCCTTGGCATTCGATGCCCGCAGGGTGGCCCGTGCAGCAGACCAGGTCTCTAGATCGGACCACACTAGAGTTCCCAGATCTCTAGAAGCATTCTACCCCCTCCTCCTCCAAGGTCTGTGACCACAGTTGGCCTCAATGACCTCGGTCTCCAACGCCCATTCCTCTGTGACTCTGACAACAATCCCTCCCTGATTCTCCAGGCTGCCTTAGTGGATGGGGGAAGGGAGAGGGTTGACATACGTGGCTCGTCGGGCAGGGCCAAGCACTGCCGTGGCGGAACTGGGGTCCATGTCCACGTCGCTCCGGGAGCGGCCCCCACCCCGGCCCTTAGCCCCGAGGCTGCCCCGGGAAGGCCGGCGGCGGTCACTCACCCGCAGGCTCTCTGAGCGCCCCAGACGCCCTGATAGCCTGGACCCCGAGGCCAAGGACAGAGTCAGGCAGATGCCGGGGACAGAGACAAGGAGAGACCAAGACAAGAACAGAGACGAAGAGAAACCAGGACAGGGACAGAGACGGGGAGAGACCAGGGCAGGGACAGAGGTGGGGAGAGGCCAGGGCAGGGACAGAAATTGGGGAGAGACGAGGACAGGGACAGAGACGGGGAGAGACCAGGACAGGGACAGAGACAGGGAGAGACCAGGACCGGGGCAAGGGTGACCAGGACAGGGATCAAACATGCAACAGAAGAGAGGAGAGAGTCAGAGGAGTGGTGGGATTTTAGGGGCACTGGGGTAGTGGGGGGTCTTGGGGGAGGGGGGATACTGAAATTTGATGGGGGAAGGGATGGGGAACCCAGGATGGAGCATAGGACTGACCCCCTCCCTTCCCTGAGGCAGGGGGATGGCAACAGAGGGGGTGTTATGGGGTGGGGAGGATTTCCATACTTAGCTCTTCAACTGGGAGGGTGATGTCCCCACCCACCCCTCACAGGGAGTGAAGGGGAGGGAGTGGCCATGGGGAGAGGGGAGGGGCTGGGAGAAATGGGGGAGGGGCTAGCCCTTCCCCCACCCAGGGCCCAGGCACCCACCTCTTCCACCTTCTGGGGAGAGAGGGGCACAGGGTCAGAGGTGGGCCCAGATGGAACCTGACCCACCTCCCCGCACCCACCAAAGGGTCCCCAAAGCAGCGGCACAAGGACGGGCAGGAGGCAGAGCCTGCCCCCCAGCTGTAAGGGGGACAGGGCCCCCAGGGCACAGAGCAGAGGGGTGGGGGGTTGAGGGACGGGCACCAGGAGGCAGGAGCGAGGCGGGGGGTGGGGGGCAGGGGGCAGGGGGGCTTGAAAGAGAAGGGGAGGAAGGGCTGAAAAAATGAAAAGTGGCAGGGAGATCGGAGGGGGATGGAAGGTGGGGAAAGAAAACCCAGGTGAGAGAGGAGTGGGGAGGAAAGAGAGGAGGGGGAAGGTGAGAGAGGAGGGGGGAGGTGAGAGAGGAAGAGGGAGGTGAGAGAAGAGAGGGGAGGTGAGAGAGGAGCGGGGAGGTGAGAGGAGGGGGTAGGTGAGAGAGGAGGGGGGAGGTGAGAGAGGATGGGGGAGGTGAGAGAGGAGAGGGGAGGTGAGAGAGGAGGGGGAAATAAAGGAGATGGAAGGAGTGGTGGAGAGGAAGGGAGGAGGAGAAGGATTAGTGAAAAAAGGAAGGAGAGGAAGGAGCAGAGGAAAAAGGAAGGATAAAAGGAAAGGGGGGCAATGAGGAAGCAGGAGGGAGATGAGAAAAGGAAAGAAGAAGGGAGAGGAATGGCCAGACCCAGAGAGCAGCAGAGGAGCATGGGGAGCAAGAGCCTGGGACAGGCAGGCACAGATGGCAGCGGTGACCCTGCACCCACCCACCAGCGCCCAGTAAGCCACACCTCCCGCCCCTGCACCCCAGCCTGGGCACCTCTCGGTTTCGGCCCCCTCGTCGGTACTCTCTGGGGGCGCCAAGGACTCCAGGCTCATTGGGCCCTGCGGGGATGAGTCCCCCAGCTCCAGGGGGGCGTCAGCACCTGTGGGGTGGAGGGAGCAGGGCTGGCTGGAAGGCCTCTGCGGCCACGAGACCCACACTCTGGGGGCCTGGAATTGCGGGGGCTAAAGCTACCCAGTGCCTGGCAGACACCACATGGCTGCTCTGTACTTCAGCACGGGACGGACAGATGTTAAGACCTCTCAGAACATGGCCACTAGGGGCAGGAGCATGAAGATGCAACAGAAGTGGGTGCCCCTGTGTGTCCTGGGTGGATGGGGACCCCAGGCCTAGCAAATAGGTCACAAACATCTCTCCCACCCAACCAGACTGCAGCCCCCTGAGGTCGGGAGGGCCCTGGATTCTGTGCTGCCTCCACGTCCATTCATCCTCCCCACCCTCTCATACTCCTTTAGAGAAAAGCAAACGGAGGCTAAGAAAGGGGAGTCATATCCAAGATACTAAATAAACACAAGCAGTCAGCAGAGCTGGTGTGTGAGCCCTGGCCTGGCCATGCAGAGATCCAAGGGCCTGAGGCCACAGCAGTGTAAGGATGGTGAGGGATGAAGCTCATGGGGCTGGCGGGCTCCCCACCTAGGGGGCCAGCAATGCAGCTCAGAGGGTGGACTGGTCATGTACTCAGGGAAGGTTCTGGAAAAGGAAGGGTTGATGGAAAACGTAGTCCAAGGGGGTGGGAGACGCAGCACCAGCAGAGAGGTCAGAGCCTGGGAGCAAAGCTGTGGAAAGGGCAAACTGAGGGAAGGGGAAAGTTATGAATGACAGTGGTGACCAGGAGCAGGGAGAAGTGGATGCTGAGAGCAAAGGGGAGGTGTTGCTGGGGAATGGCTTCTATCTGGGGGTGCCAAGGGGGCAGGCAGCACCCCCACCCTGGATCGCCGGGCCTCATGGAGCCCTGGCCCAGGAAACTCTCACCTGGTTCCCGGTCTGGGCTGTCCAGGGACAGAGGGTGCAGAGAGACTCCAGGGGTGTCCTGCCCAGGAGCCCCGATATTCCGGTCCCGAGAGGGCATCCCCACGCCTCCCTTCCGGTCTGTAGCACCTGGCTTCTCGGCTGGGGAGACAGTGAGGGAGAAAGAGGGAGATAAGAGAACAGTAACTCAAATCCACAACCGCCAGGGGATGCAAGAGGCTGTGCTCAGGCCCTTCCCCACCATGACAAGGAGCCCCTTCCTCCCTCAGACCCAGGAGCCCTCAACCCCTCCTCCCTCAGACACAGGAGTCCAGGCCCCCAGCCCCTCCTCCCTCAGACCCAGAGGTCCAGGCCCCAGGCCTTCCTCCCTCAGACCCAGGAACTCCCCCAGCCCCTCCTCCCTCAGACCCAGGGGTCTAGGCCCAGCCCTTCCTCCTCAGACCTAAGAGTCCGAGTCTGAGCCGCTCCTCCCTCAGACCCAGGGGTCCAGGCCCAATCCCTCCTACCTCGGACCCAGGGGTCCAGGCCCCAGGCCTCCCTCCCTCAGACCCAGGAGCTCCCCCAGCCCCTCCTCCCTCAGAGCCAGGGGTCCAGGCCCAGTCCCTCCTCCCTCAGACCCAGGGGTCCAGGCCCAGCCCTTCCTCCCTCAGACCCAGGAGCTCCCCCAGCCCCTCCTCCCTCAGACCCAGGTGTCCAGGCCCCCATCCCCTCCTCCCTCAGAACCAGGCGTCCAGGTCCCAGCCCCTCCTCCCTCAGACCCAGGCGTCCAGGTCCTAGCCTCTCCCACACAGGCCCCCAGTATGGATGCTATGGCTACAGGTACATTACCATCAACCTCTGCTTTGAGGTGTCGAAAATCTGGAACTGAAACGAGAGAGAATGAGACAGTGAGTGGGAGCAGCTGGGGAAGACAGGGGAGGGCAGAGGCCAGAGCCGCCTTACCCTGGGGCTCTCCCCGGTTCCAGCGGGCGGCATCCAGGATGCTGCTCAGCCCCTTCTTGGTCTTGGCAGGCTCGTCCGACCGCCGGTTCCCCATCACCTGTGAGAGGGCGGGGAGGAAGACCAGGCTAAGCATCTCTGAGACAACAACAAAGCAGAATTTGACGCTAGGTATCCAGAGTCATGAGGCTCCCAGGGCGTCTCTGGAGAGGAAAGGGTCAGGACGGGGCACTGAGGGAAGCACCTTTTTCCGGAAGAAGTTCCTCCCCGACTTCTTGTCTCCACTCTTGGTCCGCACCCCAAGGTGGCGCATGTACAGGCCAATGGCGTTGACCACGGCAGCACTGTAGGGAAGGGACAGTGAGGGCTCAACACACACAAAGACACACACACACACACACACACACACACACACTCACACACACACTCTCTCTCTCTCCCCCTAGAGGCAGAGGCCCGGCCTTCCCATCCTGACCCCACAACTACTTCCTGTGAGACTCTGAGGAGAGATGAGAGGGTTCAAAAGGACAGGGGCAAGGGCTGTTACCCAATGCCCAGGACCCAAGTGTCCAGGCCCCAGGCTCCTCCTCCCTCAGACCCAGGAGTCCAGGCCCCCAGCCCCCTCCTCCCTCAGACCCAGGAGTCCAGGCCCCCAGCCCCCTCCTCCCTCAGACCCAGGAGTCCAGGCCCCCAGCCCCTTCCTCCCTCAGACCCAGGAGTCCAGGCCCCCAGCCCCCTCCTCCCTCAGACCCAGGAGTCCAGACCCCCCAGCCCCCTCCTCCCTCAGACCCAGGCGTCCAGGCCCCCCAGCCCCCTCCTCCCTCAGACCCAGACGTCCAGGCCCCCCAGCCCCTTCCTCCCTCAGACCCAGGAGTCCAGGCCCCCAGCCTCCTCCTCCCTCAGACCCAGGAGTCCAGGCCCCCAGCCCCCTCCTCCCTCAGACCCAGGCGTCCAGGCCCCCAGCCCCCTCCTCCCTCAGACCCAGGCGTCCAGGACCCCAGCCCCCTCCTCCCTCAGACCCAGGCGTCCAGGCCCCCCAGCCCCCTCCTCCCTCAGACCCAGGCGTCCAGGCCCCCCAGCCCCCTCCTCCCTCAGACCCAGGCGTCTAGGCCCCCCAGCCCCCTCCTCCCTCAGACCCAGGCGTCCAGGCCCCCCAGCCTCCTCCTCCCTCAGACCCAGGAGTCCAGGCCCTCAGCCCCCTCCTCCCTCAAACCCAGGAGGCCGCACGCCTCCCCTGCCCCCCTCACCTCTTTTCTTCGTCGGTAGAGATGGTATGTCTGTAGGAGGAAGAGAGATGTTTGTGACATATTTGCTAGGCCTGGGGTCCCCATCCACCCAGGATACATCTCAGGGTTGCTGTCCTGGGATAGGCAGGGGGAAGAGAGACAGAGAGGGGACACTGTGGAAGGGATTGGGAAGGACTGTCATAAGAGGGAGGGAGGTCTCTCATCCAGGAGGATGGGATCCAAGTGCCAGATCATGGACAAGACCCAGAAATGACAAGGGAACCCCAAAGCTGGAAAGGGAAGACTCGGATTCAAGGTGAGTTAAAACACCAGGGTAGAGGAAGACCCCCAGTGCCAAGAAATGAACTCTGACCCTGAAGAGGGAACCTGCAAACGGGATGGAACATGCCAGAGGTAGCACGGGTGCCCTTGTGCTGGGGAGGGGCGACGCTCCCACCAGGGCTGGCCTACTCACTGCATCTCCTCCAGGTGCATGAGCAGCCGCTCCGCCACGTGCCGCTCCCGGGCCTCGTAGCTGGCTCGGTCCCGCCCAACCCAAGCCTCCAGCTGGGCCAGCTCCTGCTCCCAGGGCGTCATGCCCATGAGCCGCTTGGAACGGAAGTCCTCCAGCTGCCGGCCCACGGCTACCTGCTGGCTTTGCACCACCTCCTGCACGAACCGCCGCTGGACATCCTCGGAGATGAGGTCAGCCCTAGTGCGGTCTGCAGGGACACACATGGGGGCTAGGGTCCAGCTCCCTGGTGGCTTGGACCACGGTCCCCACCCACCCTTGGACTCCAACAGCCACACGTCCTGAGGCCGCTGCCAAGAAGGAATGAATGAATCTCGGCTGTCCGAGCAGAGCATGGGAGTGCGGCCTCCCTCCCCTTGGCCTCCTGGGAGGTGTGGTCCCCGCTAGACACCTCTCCCTCATCCCATCCTTCTCCTTACCAAGTTCAAAGGCGACGTTGGGAGGGACCGGCACCCGGAGAACCTGCTCAAGAGAGAGAATGGGGTGAAGAGGAGGACTTGGTGTGCTGAGATGCAGGCCGGGAGGACTGCCAGGAACCCTGGTCTAAGCGAGGGTGCTGGGGAAGGCCTGGGTCAGCAGCTGCCCTCAGGGCAGAGGCTGGGGACCGCATGGTGACTCTGCAGGCCCAAACAGGGATTGCAGGGTTGGGGCAGCTTGAAGGTCTCTCACCGCTGTCTTCTCCAGGAAGCTGTGGTAGAAGTCCAGGAAGGCCTTCTTGGCCTCCTTGGGGCCCAGTGAGCCCAGCATGTCGGCATGCAGACAGCAAAGCTGGGGGAGACACACAGCATGACTCTCCGCTCCCTCACCCTGCCTCAAACCACACTCTCCCTTTGAAAAGGGCCTTCCTCACCTCCTGGCCATCCTATGGCTGTGGGACTCAACTGCCACTTCCTCTGGGAAGCACTCCCTGACCTCCACCCCTAAAGCCAGGCCCTGGGTTCCCCTGCAGGCTCCCTGGGGCTGCCATGAGCATTTTCTAATTTTCCATCCTGTGCTATGGTCCTTTGTGGTTCTTCATCATGGTCTCCTCCCGGCAATAATGACAACAACTACTACTACTGTCTATACTGACGGCTTAGTGTATACCAGACACGGCTCTACACCCTCTACATGCATTAACGTGTTCAATCATAGGGACCGTCATTATCCCCATTTTACAGATGAGAAAACGGAGCTCAAGAAGTTTAGTCAAGCTTAGTCGCACAACTAGGCTAGGCACAGTGGCTCACACCTGTAATCCCAGCACTTTGGGAGGCCAAGGCAGGTGGATCACATGAGGTCAGGAATTTGTGACCGGCCAGGCCAACATGGCGAAACCCTGTCTCTACTAAAAATAAAAAAATTAGTCGGGTGTGGTGGTGGGCACCTGTGATCCCAGCTACTCGGGAGGCTGAGGCAGGGAGAACTGCTTGAACCCAGGAGATGGAGGTTGCAGTGAGTGGAGATTGTGCCACTGCACTCCAGCCTGGGTGACACAGAGCGAGACTGTTTCATAAATAAATAAATAAATAAAACCCAAAATCACATAGCTACTAAGTGGCAAAGTTAGGATTCGAATCCAGGCAGCCTGTCTCTACTACACTCCACTGCCTGGAAAGACTGTGAGCAGCTTAAGGGTTTGTGTGTGTTGAGGGGTGTTGTAGGTTGATCCATCTGTGTCCCAGATGGTGGTGCCTTGTGCATACTGAGGGCTTGGAAAGAACAGGTGGACAAGTGGGGCTCACTCTGTCATTCGTCAAGCATTTCCTGAGTGCCCGCCCCTGTTCTGGGTGACAGTGGGGACTCCAACCTGTCCTGGCTCCTGGGGGCTCTCATCTGGGAAATGAACTCACTCCAATGGGAGTGGGACTTTTTCTCCTTTTTCTTTTTTGAGATGGAGTCTCGCTCTGTCACCCAGGCTGGAGTGCAGTGGCGTGATCTCGGCTCACTGCAACCTCCTCCTGGGTTCAAGCGATTCTCCTGCCTCAGCCTCTGGAGTAGCTTGGATTACAGGTGCCTACCACCAGGCCTGGCTAATTTTTTTTTTTTTTTTCCGCCTAGGCTGGAGTGCAATGGTGCAATCTCGGCTCATTGCAACCACCACCTCCCAGGTTCAAGTGAGTCTCCTGCCTCAGCCTCCCGAGTAGCTGGAATTACAGGTGTGTACCACTGTGCCTGGCTAATTTTTCTATTTTAGTAGAGATGGGATTTCACCATGTTGGCCAGGCTGGTCTTGAACTCCTGACGTCGGGTGATCCACCTGCCTCAGCCTCCCAAAGTGCTGGGATTATATGCGTGAGTCACTGCGCCTGGCCAATTTTCATATTTTTAGTAGAGACGGGGTTTTACCATGTTGGCCACGCTGGTCTCGAACTCTTGATCTCAAGTGATCTACCCACCTCAGCCTCCAAAGTTCTGGGATTATAGGTGTGAGCCACCATGCCCGGCCCCACTTTTTTTTTTTTTTCAAGACAGGGTTTCACTCTTGTCGCCCAGGCTGGAGTGCAGTGGTGCAATCACTGCAGCCTCAACCTCCCAGGCTCAAGCTATCCTCCTGCCTCAGCCTCCCAAAGCGTTGGGACTACAGTCATGAACCACCAGGCCCGGTCCTCCTTCTCCACTTTAAACAGTTTTAACACATCTATATCCACTCTTCACACCCCCCAAATATAGCAAAATTCTAAGACAGGCCAACAGGAAGCTGCCCAGGGGACCACAGCTATCTCTGATCGGCTCCCCACAAGCTGATGAGGTGAGGGAGCTATGCGAGAATAAACCTCAAAATGCCCAGAGGCCGCCGGGGTCACCTCAGGCAAGTCCCTGACCCTCTCTAGGCCTCGGTTTCCACATCTGTAAAAGAACATGGTAGTCAGCACGATCCCTGGGCTGATGTCCACAATCTGGTGTTCTAGAAACCCCAAGGCTTGAATAGGGGACTCCCTTGCTCAGAGGGCCAGAGTCTCCGTGCATGTGGTTGTCGGGGGAACCACTCTTCTGGAAAGAGAATGTAGACAGGGGAAAGACTGCAATTTCCTAATTTTCTGCATATCTGATGGTTTGGCGTCCGGATGACCAGCCTCTGGTCTTGCAGCTGACATGTTCTTCTTTCTGCATGCCTCGGGCACTTCTCCCCACTCTATCGGTTTCCTTGTTTTCTGGAGGGGTCCACTATGCATGTCCACATGGTGCAGTGCCCTGGCTGTCCCCAGGCTGTCCTCCTATCCTGTGCTGGGCTGGACGGGGTCTTCTTGGGATGAGACCCTTGTCTACAGATCCCCTGCCAGCCAGCACTGTGGCCTCTCCCTTTCTAAATCACCTGCTGGGTTTTCTAGACTCTGCGGGTGTTTCTGGATGGCACGGTTGTCCATCCACATCTCCCAGGTATCTTCTGCCTCATCCGGAGGCTTCTGGATCCACAATTGTGTGGTCTGCCTTGTGAGCTGTGTGTGGTGGTTTTCTTGTTTCCAGATCAGGGCCTGCTGTGCTCCCTAGACCTGGGATGGCTAACAGCTTCTTTTTCCCAACCATCAACCGTGAATGACTGCGTGCTGGCATCTGCCAAAAAGGCTTTGGAGAGAAGAATTTGGTCCCCTAGAGTTCACGGAAAGGTGCTGCCACAGGCTGATGGGGGCGCTGCCACAGGCACAGAGTGGGATGGGATGTGGTTTCTGCCAGGCTGCTGGACTCTCTGTGGCTCCGCGGGGTCCTGACGTGTGTACCCTGCCCGCTGCGCACTGAGATCTACCCTGGGCACTTGTAAGCCTGTTGAGGTCACGTGGCATGCTTTCTGGCTCTTGTCTAAAGCATTCTCTCTTTCTAGATCTGGCTCTCTGTGTTCTAGATCTGCTTTTCCAGACCCTCCAGGCACTAGCTCGCTGGTTTAATTCGCTAAAAGCTGTGCCTGTCCCAGCCCCACCCCTCCCTGTGCCCACCCAGCCCTGCCCTCACCAGGGGTCCTGGCTCAAACTGCAGGGCCACGTGCTGCAGGAGGGCCATGAGGTGGGCTGGGCGCCGCTTCACCTGCTCCAGGCTCTGGAACTGGCTGTTTTGCTCTTCTGAGTTCTGGGGGTGCAGGAAGGGGTGAGTACAATGGGGAGAAGAGGAGGGGCCTTAGGGTTGACCCTACCCATTCCTGGCACTTCACAAGGGATCCAAGCCAGGGTTAGCTCCTGGGAAGTGGGGAGTGGTGACAGTGTCCAAAAAATGATGGTGACAGCAAGGGCAGGTGTTCAGGGAGAATGGATGAGACTTAATATTATAATGGTGGATGATGAGGACAGAAATTAGGAGAGAAGAAATTGGGGTCCATGCTGGGGGAGGAGAGAGCAACGATAAGAAATGGGGTTAAGAGTAAGAAGGGTGGGCGTCTATGCTGCTGTGTGGGGTCGGCGAGGTGAGGAAGGAGGTACCAGGGAGATGAGAGGATGAGACAGACCGTGGGAAAAGGCCAAGAAGACAGCATCTGCAGGTGGGAGGGGACCTGGGGCGGGACACTGAGCCTGGGACAGAGCTTTTCCACCCTATCTCCCACTCACTGTCTCCAGCTCGTTCTCAAAATCCTCATCCTCAGCCCCGATGATGCTGACGGGAACCAGGCCAGGCCGGGAGGGGCCTGGGGAGGCCTGTGGAAAGGGAGGGCAGCTTCAGTCCACAGGACTCTCCACCCACAGCCCCAGAGTCGCCTCACCCCTTGCTCTGTCCACTCACCGCCCCTCGGGCGAAGTCTTCCATCTCCCTGGGCTCTGCAGGGCTGGAGGAAGAGGAGGGGCTGTGGTTAGGAGGGTGGGAGGAGGCGGCCCAGGGTGGTTACTCACAGATTCCTGGCCCAGGTGTGAAGGTGAGTAAACAGCCTCCCCCATCCCAGCCTCCGCAGCTCAATGGGGCCTCTGTGTGGCCACAAAGAGCCCTTCAGAGACCCGCCAGGGGGCGGGAGCCCAGGGACGGGAGCCTTGCGGGGGCAGGCGTTGGAGGCTCAGGAGCCTGGGTCCATGGGAAGGCTGAGTCTGACAGCCTGCAATCTGGGGTCCCTAATGCCCTAATGGAAGAGGGGGCTGGGGGCCTGGACTCCCAGGTTGGAGGGACCAGGGGCCTGGGGGCTAATTCCTGAGGGCACAGCCCAGAGGCAAGAGGGGATGGGAGGGTTAGAGGAGAGGCGGGAGAGAAGTGGGGTGCAGGGGTCTCCTCTGGTCTGTGACAGGCCTGGGACAGGATGTTGCCTTGGAACCCACCAGCCCCACTTCCTGTGACAGGAAGTCACAATGGCAAACCCCCAACCCCCAACTCTCCACATAAGAAAACAAAACTCAGAACCCTCCTCCCTCAGGGACTGGGAGTCCCCAAACCCAGAAGTTCTTCTTTCCCCCAGGGACCTCATCTCTTCCCAGGCTTCCAGTCCCAGAAACCAAGTGATGGGGCCTCAGACAGCCCATCTCCAAGGTGCGTCTGTCCCCTCCACCCTACGTGCGCCTTGGTCTGTCCGCAGCCAGCTCTCCTTGGCTGTCTGTCCCTTGAATCTGTCTCATGTCTTGGTCTCTTTTCACCCTGTTTCCTGATTTTTCTCTTTCCCTTCCTCCAGAACTGTCTCATTTTCCCCACCATCCCTGCCTCTCCTCCCTCCATCTCTCCCTCTCAGCGGTGACACCCCCTTCCTGCTTCTGTAGCTCCGTCTGTCCTGTCCCTGTCTCTGTGCCTCTGTCCTCCCACATCTGGTTTCTGCAGCCACCATCCTCACACCTCTCTGAGTCACAGTCTCATGTGCTGTCTCTCATCTCTCCATCCCTTTTTCTCCCCCATCTCTTGCTGTCTCTCCCATCTTTGTCTCTCCTTGAGTCTCCACTTCTCTCTGAGTCTTTCCACCGACATCTTCTGTGTCCTTAATTAGTCTGACTAATGCCACGGAGCCCGTGTCAGGTGGGAAGGAGCTGTGGAAAGAGGGGTGGGGTGGACCAGCGGCGGGGCTCCCCACAGCCCAAAGCTATTTATAACCCAAGCCAGCAGAGACCCGCCCTTCTCCTGCTTTATGGGCCTCCTCCCTAGCTCCCCAGTAAATGGTAACCAGGATTTTGATGATTAAACAATGATGCTTTCTGGAGTGTCCAAATGCCACCCTGTGGGTCCACCTGGGGAAGGCATCATTTTTATTATTTCCCACAAAGTGTATTGTCCAATATCTAAGCTTGGGCAATTCAAGATTCAAGTACTGTTAAACATTCACTTTAATAAATTTGCAAACTGGCCAGGTGAGGTGGTTCATGCCTGTAACCCCAGCACTTTGGGAGGCCAAGGTGGGAAGATCGCTTGAGCTCAGGAGTTTGAGACCAGCCTGGGGAACACAGTGAGACCCTGTCTCACTATGAAACATGACCACGGACGTGGAGGGTGCATGCTCATCCCACTCAGAGGTAGAAACGCTCAACTGAGGCAGGGAAATTTTAAAAAGGCAAAGGAGGGGATACTCATTATCTTTGCAAGTGCTTGGTGCCAGGTCTGGAACTGTGCACTTGCCAAGTTCTTATCTCCTTATTCCTTATCACAATAATAATGAAATGACAGCTGACACAAAAGAGACACTTAGTATGTGCCAGGCATGGCATCGCTGGTTGACAGGTAATAACTCATTTAATCCTCTCGGTGACTCCAAGAGATCATTATTATTCTCACCTCCATTTAACAAAGAAGGAAACTGAGGCACAGCTCATAAGAGGCAGAACCAGGACTCAGACCTGGGCAGTTGGGCTACAGAGTTTACGCATTTAAAATAAACTGCATTTGGTGGACACAGTGGCTCACACCTGTAATCCCAGCACTTTGGGAGACCAAGGCAGGTGGATCACTTGAGCTCAGGAGTTCGAGACCAGCCTGGCTAACATGGTGAAACCCCCATCTCTACAAAAGATAGCCAGGTGTGGTGGTTCATGCCTGTAGTCATAGCTACTTGGGAGGCTAAGATGAGAGGATCGCCTGAGCCCAGGAGGCAGAGGTTGCAGTGAGCCAAAATTGTGCCACTGCCCTCCAGCCTGGGCGACAGAGTGAGACCTTGTCTTAAAATAAAATAGGCTAGGCACGGTGGCTCTCGCCTGTAATCCCAGCACTTTGGGAGACCAAGGCGGGCGGATCACGAAGTCAAGAGATCGACACCATCCTGGCCAACATAGTGAAACCCTGTCTCTACTAAAAATACCAAAATTAGCTGGGCGTGGTGGCACGAGCCTGTAGTCCCAGCTACTCGGGAGGCTGAGGCAGGAGAATCGCTTGAATCCGGGAGGCGGAGGTTGCAGTGAGCTGAGATCGCGCCACTGCACTCCAGCCTGGTAACAGAAGTGAGACTTCGTCTCAAAAATAAATAAATAAATAAATAAAACAAAATAAAACAGAGAGCATTGCTTCAGAGCATGGGGAGCCCCCACCCTACCCTTCAGAAACTAAAATCTGAACCAAAGCTCTGAGACACATCATGTCTTCTTATGGATGCCTGGAAAAGTCACGGGTATGTGGTCACTATGGCCTAGGCAGGAGTGCAAGTTGGATACGGCTGCTCCACAGAGGCTTGGGGGTTGGAGATGATGGAGGCGAGGAGTGTCGCCTGTTTAGGAGGAGGGGTTTGGGGGAGTCCCACAAAGGCTGGAGAATTATAGGTGAAGCTGTCAGAGAATAGATGGATCTATAGGCAACTGACAAGGCCTGGGGGGTCCAGCAGAGGGAACACTGCGTGCATGGGGCGCTGGGGGGTTAGGGCTGGTTTAGAAGGTCCATGGGTTGGGGGGCCACATGGGTGTTGAGTTCTATGGAGGTCTCAGGGTCTATAATGTGTTGAGCAGGTGACTCAGGGTCTCCAAGAACTTCTGGAGCCTTAAAGAACCTAAAAGAGTCGTTGGAATGTGTAACTCCCCAGATTCTATTTGACACACAGTGGGTCTAAAGGATCCAGGGATCATACAGGATCATGATTCTATAGGGACAGCTGCCAGTCTGTGGAACCTCTGGAGACTTAAAAGGGACTCAGAATTCCATAGGGGTGCGTGGTGGGTCCCGAGACCCATGGTCTATAGAGCCCCGGATTCTAGGGGATGCCACTGGTCTATGAGGACCCCACGTCTATAAGAAGCCAGTTCTCCATGGGGGGCTGGCAGGAACCTGGAGGGTCTGTAAGACTTTATACGGAATGAGGCGGGTCTACACGAGACCCAAATCTTACATGGACGTGGCGGGTCTTACGCGGGCCCTAAATCCTACGGGGGACGTGGCAGTGTGCACGGCCAGGGATGCCGGGGAGGACGTGCAGAGTCAGGGTCTGACACCCGCTGGGGACCGCGTCCCTCACCTGCTCCAGGTGGAAAGAGAAGCCATCGCCGCCACCGGAACCGAAGCCTCCGCGCTCGGGCTCCGCACTCTCCCCACCCCTGCCGCCGCGTCGCTCTAGCCGCCCTGAGTCCACCTTTGCGCCCAGCTCCACTCCTCCTGCCAGCCGCTCTAGCCCGGCTCCTGCCGGGCTCCGGCCCCGACGACTCTACTCCTCCCGCCGGCCGCTCTAGCGCTGTACTGCGCCACGCAGGCCAGATAGGGCCGCTCTGGCCTGTCTTGGAGGGCCAGCGTTTCCGTATCTCGACTGCCCCCGTCACTCCCCGGGCCCCGCCCCGCGCCCGGAGGTGCAGATGGGTCCAACTCCTCCCGAGTTCGATCGGAGATCTCCTAGTCACCCCAGCGCTGAGCACTCGGACGGCGGACTGGGGCTCCCCGTCCTATTAGTCTCCCCACTTAGGGGACCCGCTGAATTTCCAATCCTCGTACATCAATCCCCTCCGTCTCCCACCCCCAGCCCCTTCCTTTGGAACCGGAAAAGCAATAGTCTTGAGTTCCAGCACAACTTTCCCTCTGACATGCAGTGTAATCTGCAAAAAGTAATGACTTCTCTGTAGACCTCAGTCTTCCCATCCGTACAATGGGAGAAGGCCTCCAGCTCTCTCCCTACACCTGTCTCTCACGGTATAATTAATGACCTAGAAAAGAGCTTTCCGAAAACTCTTTCAAATGCACTCTGCAACTTTCAGCTTCACAGCGACCCTCGTCGTTGTTGTTATTGTTGTTTTTCATTTTTAGGTGGCCCTAAAGCATGCGGGGGTTGGAGGATGGCGCTTTGCGGAAAGCACGTGCGAGTTCAAATCCCAACTCCACACTTTCTCACGATGTGCGTTCCCTGGGACGAGTCGGTTTGGCTCCCCGGGCCTCGGTTTCCCCACCCGTACAATGGTAGTGATCGTCCGTTCTCCACTGAGCAGGTGGGAGGCCTTGGCCCCGGCCTCGCACCGTTCGTCCCCACCTATGGGGCACTCGTCAAGTGTGAGTTCTCCCCTCTTTGCTCCCTTTGACAGATGGGAAAACTGAGGCCCAAGGAGGGGCGGCCGCTGGTTCCGTGGGGTCCGAAGGGGGCCCCTCCGCTGCCGGCAGCGCCCCAGCCCCTCCCTCCTCCTCCCCACTTCCCCCAACAGCCGAGGGGAGGAGGCCGGGCGGGGCCGGGGACCGAGTACCTGGTGTCCGCGCGGAGGTGACCGGCGGGGCGCCCGAGGTCGGGCTCGGCGATCCCGGGCCCTGGGTCCCGGCTCCCGCTTCCTGGCTCTGGCGGGGCAGGAAGTCGGGGCGTTTTTCCGGAGGCCCCCGCCCCGCCGCCCCTCCCCGCTTCCTGCCCGCGCCCCGCGCCCGCCCGGCACCTCCGCTTCCTTCCCCTTCTCGCCGCTTGCCCGCCCCTCCTTTCCCCGCTGCGCCCGGGTCCCTGCGGGCACCGGCCCCCGCCCCGGCCGCGCCCGAGCTCTCCCCGGCTTTGTCCATCGGTCCGTCCGCCGGGCGCGGGCTCCGCGGGACTCGCATCTCCCGGCTGGGGTCACCTCCCCGGAGGTGCTGGGGGGCAAGCCCTGCTCCCCGTGCGCCCTAGACCGAGCCACGACCTCCCCGGCTTTCCGCGTCTGTGGTTCTCATGGTCTTGCGCCCTTCCTTCGCCTCTGTGGGTGTGCTCCCGCCTGCGTCTGCATCCCCTTCTCTGTCCCTCTGTCTTTCTCTACTGGGGTCTTTCCCTCCTTGGCCTCCACCTCTCCTCTCTGTCCCTCCATCACTTTCTCCCCGAAAGCCCTTCTCTACCCTCTCCAGCTCTCTCTGTATCTTTCTGCATCTCCGTCTCAGTCTCTGTCATTTCCCCAGCTGTTGCTGTGCCTGGGCCTCTTCGTGCCCATTTTCGGTTGCCCCTTCTCCCTTCTGTCTCTTCCTTTCCTTCTCGCTCTCTCTCTGTCCCTTTCTCTCCACGTCCCTGTCTCTCTCCCGGATTCCCAGGGTCTCATCATCTCTTCCTTCCCTTGCTCGTCCCCTTCATGATCCCTGGGTCTCAGCCTCTCTCCTCTCCCTTTCTCAGGAAATCCGTGTCTCTGTGCCTCTCTGTCATTGCCCCGGGATCTCCCTGCTATCCCCAGGTTAGGACCACAGACCCTCCAAAATGCCCCTTCTGTAAGTCAACGCATCGGGAAAAGGCTGCAGTCTGAATTCTGTACTAGCCCCAATCCACAAGATAGTCCCTGTGTTTCCAAGGCTTAAATACGCATAAAGTGGCTCATGCCTGTAATCCCAGCACTTTGGGAGGCCGAAGCATGGTGGATCACTTGAGGTCAGGAGTTCGAGACCAGCCCGGCCAACATGGCGAAACCCTGTCTCTACTAAAACAAAAATTAGCTGGGTGTGGTAGCACATGCCTGTCATCCCAGCTACTCGGGAGCCTGAGGTACAAGAATCGCTTGAGGTGGAGGTTGAAGTGGGCTGAGATTGCGCCACTGCACTCCAGCCTGGGCGACAGAGTCAGACTCTGCCTCAAAAAAAAAAAAAAAAAAAAAAAAAGCGGCCGGGCGTGGTGGCAGGCGCCTGTAATCCCAGCACTTTGGGAGGCCAAGGTAGGTGGATCACCTGAGGTCAGAGGTTCAAGACCAGTCTGGCCAACATGGTGAAACCCCGCCTCTACTAAAAATACAAAAATTAGCTGGGCATGGTGGCAGGCGCCTGTAATCCCAGCTACTTGGGAGGCTGAGGCAGGAGAATCGCTTGAACCCAGGAGGCAGAGGTTGCAGTGAGCACTCCAACCTGGGCAACAGAGTGAGACTCTGTCTCAAAAAAAAAAAAAAAAAAAAAAGTGTAAGTAATTTGGTAGCCACAGCCATCTTGATCTTGTCCCCTTCTTGCTTAAGGATATGACCCTAGGGTGAGGCCCTGCAAAGAGGGCCAAACCAGTCCTTCAGTTGGTCTGGGGACCTTCCCAAGAGACATCTTGTTCTCCCAGGAGGGCAGCCCAGACTGGCTACCTGGTCCCAGGTGTGGGGAGTGGGCAGGGAGTGGCTTGGGCTGGGACTCCTGGGTCTGAGGGACATGTGGGAGAGGCGGTTCCCGTAAGATCCACGACTCCTGCCAAGGTCTGCAGTTGGGAAGAATTTATTATCACTAAGTGGCCCTGACAGATCAGGGAGGAGGGGGTGACACTAACGAGGCTGCTACAATCAGCTCCCCTAGAGGCAGCGATTAAGGGCTCATTACCCGCTGGGGTGAGGGGAGCCTGGGAAAGGCAGCGGGGCGGGGGGATTAGGTTAGGAGGTGGGGCAGTTTAGAGGGAAGAAGAGTGGGACACCCCCAGGGGAGTCCAAGGAGGCCTGGCCTGGAGAAGAGTGAGGTTACCCTCCCACCCCCCACTGGGGGAATATGACTAAGGAAGCCCCCAGAAGGGCTGAAAGGAGAATGTCCCAGGGAAGTGAGCTGAGACACTGGAGCTGGGTGCACAGCAGGCGGGGGCAGCCTGGCAGGAGTAGGGGTGTCACGGCTTCTCCAGCTGGACATCTCCTATGTTGAGGCTGCCCACATCCTGGTAGGTGCCCTGGAGGCCCCGGGAGATGTCCTCATACATGGAGCAGTCGTCCAGGTTCAGGCCCTGGGATGGAAATGAGGCAGCGAACATCAGCACCCTGACACCTGGGGTCCCTGCCCCCAGCCACCCCCAGAGGGAACACCCCCACCCCTAACACAACTGCCCCTACCCCATCCCCACCCTTCACTCACTTCATAAAGGTTTTCATCTTCATATTCATCCCCGGCATCCAACCCGAGCTTCTCGTTCTGCCATCGTTTCTGTAGGGGTGGGTGGGGTGGGTGCCTCAGTGAGCAGGGGGAGGTGAATATCTTTCAGACCCTCCTGGATGCCAGGAAGTACTTTTCCAGAAAGGGTAAGAGATGTCCCCAAGGCCACATACTGGTTATGTAACAGTTCTCTCTGAGTCTACAACCAGTGTTCTCCTTCCTTCCTTCCTTCCTTCCTTCCTTCCTTCCTTCCTTCCTTCCTTCCTTCCCTTCCCTTCCTTCCCTCCCTCCCTCTCGCCCTCTCTCTCTCTCTCTCTCTCTCTCTCTCTTTCTCTCTCTCTCTCTTTCTTCTCCCTCAGTTGCCCAGGCTGAAGTGCTGTGGCAACATCATATTTCACTGCAGCCTTGAACTCCTGGGCTCAAGCAATCCTCCCACCTCAGCCTCCTGAGTAGCTGGGACTATAGGTGTGTGCCACCATGCCTGGCTAATTTTTTTTTAAGACTTTGTGTGTGTAGAGATAGGGTCTTGCTGTGTTGCCCAGGCTGGTCTCAAACTTGTGGCCTCAAGTGATCCTCTTGCCTCGGCCTCCCAAGCTAGCGTCTTCTTGAGTCTCCACTCCCTTACTATTCTCCATGAATAATAACAATAACAGTCACACTTTCTGTAGTGCCTAAGGAGAGGCTGGTACAGATCAGAGATTCTGGGAGGACCAGGCCCCACCTTCCCTGGTCTTGGCTACACCTGGAGGGTAACCACACTCCTGGGTGAGGGCAGGAGGGGAGTGAGGACACTCTTAGGGAGAAGAATGAGACTCTTCTTGGGGGGAGGTGGACGTGAGGACAGCCCAGAAGGGGAAACTAAATTGAAGACACCCCCTGGGCTCAGCGCCAGTTCAAGTCCCTTCTTTATATTCATTCATTTAACTCCCACAGCCCCTATATGGTGGGTGCTTTCATTCTCCCAAGTTTTGGATGGGGAACCTCAGGCTCTAGAGGGCTACCTGGGTATTGGGGGTCCCTCGGCCCAGGCCCTCGCCCGGCTGACTCAGAGGTCCGAGGGGGCTCACCCTGAACAGCAGCAGCGTCCCAGGCACCACCGCGCAGAACAGGAGGATGATCCCCTCGGCTGTGATGATTCGGTTCTTGGTGCCCTCCCCCATGTCCAGGAAGGGCCTGGGGGGCGGCTCTGCAAGGAGGTAGTATGGCTCAGAGCCCTGGCCCCTCTTGCCCTCCCTAGCCTCCTGGCCCCGCCCACCTCCTGCAAGGCCCCAGACCCCCCAGAGACCCCACTCTGCAGAGGAGAATGTCCGTCCCTCTGTCCAAGCCGGTTTGAAACCCACATTGAAGGTACTGGCTCTATCCCCACTTCAAAGATAAACCGAGTGTCCCCAGCGGGACAGTGGGAGTAGGGGCCAGGGCTGGGCCACTCACGGCGCACGCGGAGGTAGGTGCCGCAGGACTGCTGGTATGACTCGTTGCCCTCCTGGACCCGGCACACGTATATGCCCCCATGGCTCTTGTTCACATTCTGGATGATCAGCGTACCATTGGGGTCCTCGCCCGGGCCCAAGAACTCAGGGGGCCACGTGTAGTTGCCATGGAGGACGCGCCACCAGGTGACGTTGGCGTTGTTGCTGCTATTGTGCGGGCATTGGAAGTGGGCGTCTTCCCCCAGGCTCACCATCAATGATGCTGGGACCTTGTGCATCCACAGGGCCTGGCACCCAGGGCCTGTGGAGAGACAGGGTGGGTGGGTCAGGGACTGGGGATGGTGACACATTTCCCCAGCCCTGGCCCCTGCAGTTCCAGCACTCCTGGGAAGAGGGTGAGGACTCTCCTGGGTGGGGAGGGAGAGAGAGAGCCCCTGACAGGGGCTGATACATCCTGGGGAGAGGGGGGATGCGGGAAAGTGAAGAAGCCCCTGGGAAGGAGAGAGGACATACCTGGTTGGGGTGGGTGAGGATATCCTGGGAGAGGAGAATGAGACTCCCTGGGATGGTAAGACCCCTGGGAGGCCCTTCTCACCTCTGCAGCGCCATCTCTTGCCCCCCTCCCGCATACCCACTTTGTACTCTGGCCCTGTGAACTCTCTGGATTTTGGATGTTTGTTCCAGGCACTGGAGGACCGCTGTCCAGACAGCTCCTTCCAGAAGCAGTGCAGGCGTCCCCTCCTCCCGCAGCCTTCCCGGTCCATTTTTGCACCCCAGCCTCAGCCAGGCCCAGCACCTGGCGCTTTTTCTTGTGTAATCATTCACAGAACCCTAGAAGTAGGTTCTCTCCTTAGCCCCATTTTACAGGAGGGATGGCTGAGGCTCTGGGAGGGCAGGCGGGTTGCCAGCATCACCAGGCAGTCAGGAGTGGCACTGGGTTCAAACTCTTGGCTCCCTGGCCTCTCCCTGCCTGGGCTGAGGAGCCAGTCTGTGGCCTGCCCTGGCCTGTGACCCTGTGCCTGGCCCTCATTCTCTGTAAGTTGTATGTGTCAACCTAGGGGTCAGGGGTGAGTTCAGTCCTTGGGCTGGGCTGCTGGTGATTGAAGGGGCTCAGAGCGGGGTGGAGACTGGGGGTGTCTCTGAGTGAGACGAGGCGGCTCAGGCTGGCTGCAGTGTCCAATCCGGGCTCCTCTGGGAAGCCCCAGCTCTCAGCCAGGCCTCCCACATGGCCAGTCCCCTCTTCTGGAGGTAGGTGGAGGAGGGAGGTGAGGAAGAGAGAAGGAGGAAGAGATGGGGAGAGGGGCCGAGCACCCTCATCGTCACGGGCTTAAGACTCAGACGTGAACTCCAATCCTTGCTCCCAGTGTCCCCTTGGGTGGGGAACCTTTTTCTCTGAACTCCTGGGTTAGCGTGGCCACAGCCCCTGCCAGCTGTCCTTGAGCAGGTGAGGGGGAGTCCATGAGACACCCATTCCCCCAGTGCTGAGAAGGGACTCCCAACAGAGAGAGGCACCTGAGGTTTAAGGCAGAGAAAGCTTTTTCTCCCCTTGACAGACGCTGAATGCTGCTACCCCTAAGTCCCCTTCCTGCCCCCAGCCCTGGTGCTCAGTCAAGAGCAACTTTAGTTCCTTATTTTGGCCTGTGGGGAACAGGAGGTGGGGGAGGTGACTCTTGCTCCTGCCTCCCTGTGTGAGACTGTGGACGCCCCTTCTCCTTCGCTGGGCTCCCTCCAGCCCCACCTTGGCCCATCTTGGCACAGATACGATTTCTATAGGCATCTTCCCTGGGTCCCCTATCCTCTGCCTCCTCTTCCCCTTTCCCTGAGCCCCCTTCCCTCTGCCTGTGCCCTCTCTGCAGCCTCCACAGCTTCCCCCACCTCCCGCCAGTTCCTGCCCTTTGGCCACATACCCAGGTAGACAGCAGACAGCAGGAAGAGGAGGAAGATGGTGGCAGGCAGAGCTTGGAGGACTCCTGGACCCCCAGGCATCTTCTCCCAGTGGGTTGGTTAGTTTGAGTTGCAGCAGTCCCAGGGTACCAGATCCCTACCCCAAACCCCACCCTACTTCCTGCCCAGCCCCCCGGAGATGGGCTCCAGTGGCCCTCGCTACTGGGCCCTTTGCTTGTTGGGCCTGGGGACAGCCCCTGCCGGGTATGCTTCAGGCTGTGAGTGGAGAGAAACTGCTCCCTGCACCTGTGGTGGCCACAATTCCCCTGAGAGGTGGCTGCTTGGGTGGGGGAAGAGGCTGGTTCAAGGGCTGGCTCGTCACTGCTGAGCCTTTGGAAGGAAGCCTAGGGAACCTGAGTCCTGGGCATGTGTCATGGGCAGGTGATGGTTCTGAGCTTGACCTCTCCCCCTGCCTGGACTTGGGCAAACCTTGTCCCTTCCCTGACCCCATTTCCTTGCTTCTTGGGATTAGAAACAAGGACTTAAAGGGGTTGTCACATGCACAGAAATGGCCCACAGTAGGCGCCCAGTAAATGTTAGTCACTATAAATACTCATGAAGAATAAATAAGGCAGGCTGACCTGTGGCTGACTACCCGTGTGACTAGGTGGGCACTTTGATCCTTCGAAGCTTGACATTTTTCATCTGTGAGATGAGGACCAGAATGTCTCCCTGTCTCATTATGTGATACGAGATGGTGTTCCTGGTATTCAAGGAGTGAGAACCATGATCAGCTCTTTACTGGAATTCTTTTTTTAAAAAAACAGGCCAGCTATGGTGGCTTATGCCTGTAATCCCAGCCCTTTGGGAGGCTGAGACAGGAGAATCACCTGAGGTCGAGTTTGAGACCAGCCTGGCCAACATGGCGAAACCCCATCTCTACTAAAAATACAAAATTAGCCAGATGTTGTGGCACATGCCTATTATTCCAGCTACTCAGGAGGCTGAGGCAGGAGAATCAGTTGAACCCAGGAGGTGGAGGTTGCAGTGAGCTGAGATCACACCATTGCACTCCAGCCTGGGTGACAAAAGCGAAACTCTGTCTCTAATAATAACAATAATAACAACAACAACATATATTTTTCTTCTTTTTTTTTTTTAAGAGGGATGGGATCTTGCTATATTGCCCAGGCTGGTCTTGAACTCCTGGCCTCAAGCAATCCTCCTGCCTCAGCTTCCCAAAGTGCTGGGATTACAGGCATGTGCCACTGTGCACAGCCAGAAGTTGTTTTATATTGACCTGCCATGACTGGCAAGGTAGGCCATCCCCCATTTTACAGAGGGGGAAACCGAGGCCAGAGAGGGGAGGTTGTCACTTGCGGGTGTCATACAGTCTAGGGGTGGTGGACAGAGATTCAAAGTCATCTTTGTGTTGCTCCCAGTTTCCTTTGAGCATGTCTGGTAGGAGGGAAATGAGGTCTGAGTGGGGAGGGCGGAGTTGCTGAGATATTTGTGAGCAGTTAGGGGACCCTCACACACATACAAGGGGATATATAAAATAAATTTATTGCAGGGAGATTTTTGGTAGCAAACATTGAGAAGCAAATGAAAAGTCCATTTGTGGGAGAATGGGTGCATACACTGTGGCAAAGTGAGCCAACAGAATGCTACAGAATAGGGGAAGGTGTCATAAGGCTGTCTCAGAAACAGCACAAACATCAGAAAAAATATCGTAGCATGATACAGTTGACTTGTTTTCAAAAGGCGTCCGCTGCTTAGGGACACACGTTTGTAGCAGAGGTGTAGACCCGTGCAGGGGAGTGGCAAACGCCCAGTTCCTGGGAGGGGTTACCTCTGGGGGACGCCAGGGTTGGGTCTGGGGAGGGACACACAGAGACACAGAGAGCTCATCTTGTCTTGGTTTTATTTCCTGTGTTACTTTTTTTTTTTTTTTTTTTGAGACGGAGTCTCGCTTTGTCACCCAGGCTGAAGTGCAGTGGCGTGATCTTGGCTCACTGCAACCTCTGCCTCCCAGGTTCAAGTGATTCTCCTGCCTCAGCCTCCTCAGTAGCTGGGATTACAGGCGGCCACCACCATGCCTGGCTATATTTTTGTATTTTTAGTAGAGACCAGGTTTCACCATGTTGGGCAGGCTGGTCTCACACTCCTGACCTCAGGTAATCCACCCACCTCAGCCTCCCAAAGTGCTGGGATTACAGGCGGGAGCCACCGTGGCTGGCCACTTTTTTTTTTTTCTTTTTTAGAGATAGGGCCTCTCTCTGTCACCAAGGCTGGTGTCCAGTGGCATAATCATAACGTCAAACTCCTGGGCTCAAGTGATTCTCTTGCCTCAGCTTCCCAAGTAGCTGGGATTACAGGTGCACACACCATGCCTGGCTATTTTTAATTTTTTTTTTCTTTTGAGACAGAGTCTCGCTGTGTAGCCCAGGCTGGAGTGCGATGGTGTGATCTTGGCTCACTGCAACCTCCGCCTCCCGGGTTCAAGTGATTCTCCTGCCTCAGCCTCCTGAGTAGCTGGGACTACAAGCAGATGCCACCATGACCGGCTAATTTTTTGTATTTTTTTAGTAGAGATGGGGTTTCACCGTGTTAGCCAGGATGGTCTCAATCTCCTGACCTGATGATCCACTCGCCTCGGCCTCCCAAAGTGCTGGGATTACAGGCATGATCCACCGCACTGGGCCTATTTTTTAAATTTTTTGTAAAGACAGGGTCTCACTGTGTTGCCCAGGCTGGCCTGGAAGTCCTGACCTCAAGTGATTCTCCCAGCTTGGCCTCCCGAAGTGCTGGGATTATAGGCACTGCACCCTGCCCTGCCTGTGTTACTTAAACTGGGTTGTGCTTCATAGGTTTTTCTTACATTATGAATACTGAATGCTAAATACTTGCATGCCTGAAGTATTTCAGATTTTTTTTTTTGAGATGGAGTCTTGCTCTGTTGCCCAGGCTGAAGTGCAGTGGCGGCACAATCTTGGCTCACTGCAGCCTCCGCCTCCTGGGTTCAAGCTGTTCTCCTGTCTCAGCCTCCCAAGTAGCTGGAATTACAGGTGTGCACCACCATGCCCAGCCAATTTTTTTTTTCATAGACACAGGGTTTCACCATGTTGGCCAGGCTGGTCTCAAACTCTTTTTTTTTTTTTTTTTTGAGACGGTGTTTCACTCTTGTCGCCCAGACTGGAGTACAATGGTGCAATCTTGGCTCACTGTGACCTCCACTTCCTGCATTCAAGCGATTCTCCTGCCTCCACGTCCAGCTAATTTTTGTATTTTTTAGTAGAGACAGGGTTCCATCATGTTGGCCAGGCTGGTCTCGAACTTCTGACCTCAGGTGATCCACCTGCCTCGGCCTCTCCAAGTGTTGGGATTACAGGTGTGAGCCACCACTCCAGGCCAAGGTCTCAAACTCTTGACCTCAAGTGATCTGCCCACCTCTGCCTCCTAGAGTGCAGAATTTTAAAAAAGTGCAATTGCCAGCTGGGCGCGGTGGCTCACGCCTGTAATCCCAACACTTTGGGAGGCTGAGGCGGGCGGATCAGAAGGTCAGGAGATCAAAACCATCCTGGCTAACACAGTGAAACCCCGTCTCTACTAAAAATACAAAAATTAGCCGGGCATGGCGGCGTGTGCCTGTAGTCCCAGCTGCTGGGGAGGCTGAGGCAGAATGGCGTGAACCCAGGAGATGGGAAAAGGGCAATTCCCATCCACGCAGAAGAGCCTGGGCCTCAAGAGTCCAGGATTCTTTTACAACTCAGCTCTGCCAACTGACTGGTCATCTGAAACTCAGTTTTTTCTCCTATAACATGGGTACAAACCCCCCACTTGATAAGACTGCAAGAATATTCTGCAGTGCATTTGGCACAGTATCTAGGACAGTTCTGTAGCCCTGGGAACCAGGACCCCAGGTGTTCTGCTGGGGTCACTAGCCCCTCTGCACTTCAATTCCCCGTTACAACCCCCTCCCAGGAATAAGCCTGGCTCCAGACCTGGAAGCCCTAGGAATTCACCTTCAAGAGCCTTCGGTGGCTGAGCTTCTTTCTAGGCCCTCTACTGCTCCCCAGTGGCTGGAGCGGCGCGGCTGCGGGATTGCAGGCCTGCTCGGGACACCTAGACCTTGCTTCCTACCTGGGAAGCGCAATGCCTGCTGCTGTGCAAACCGGACGCTTGGCATTGAGTTCTCATGTCAGCTCTGGGAAATGTTTTCATTAATGGCCAAAAGAGGAAACTAGAGCCCAGAATGGGGAGTGACTGGCCTGCAGCTAGAGTGCAACCCTTTGGGCCTCTTTTCTGAGGCACAGAGCCCTTGGAGTGGCTAGGTCCAGGCTGCAGCTGGGTTGCTTGGGTTCATATGATGGCTCCAGCTGTGGGATATCTGGCAAGTTACCCAGCCTATGGCTTACTTTACCTACCTCCAAAGCACTTTTCGGCACTTACTTCACAGAGTTGCTGAGTGTAAACAACGGTGCTTTTAACATTTTTATTGATTCTTTTTTTGAAATGGAGTCTCGCTCTGTTGCCCAGGCTGGATTGCAATTGCTCGATCTCAACCCACTGCAACCTCCGCCTCCGGGGTTCGAGCGATTCTTCTGCCTCAGCCTCCTGAGTAGCTGGGATTACAGGTGCGCGCCACCATGCCCAACTAATTTTGGTATTTTTAGAGACAGGGTTTCTCCATGTTGGTCAGGCTGTTCTCAAGCTCCCAACCTCAGGTGATCAGCCCGTCTCGGCCTCCCAAAGTGTTGAGATTACAGGTGTGAGCCACTGTGCCTGGCCGATACTTCTTAAACTCTTACGCCTTACGTTTGGGGACTGCCAACTGAACTGTCCAGCAGCAGAGCTACTCAGAGCCAAGGCTCTCCACGGCATCTTGTCCAGTCTCTCAGGAGTTAGCAGGCTTACACACGAGGAGACGAAGGCTCAGAGGATAAGGTGCACAGGGTTACGTGGGATTAGGGGCAGAGTTGTGATTTAAACTCTAGTTTGAACTTCAAAACCCAGGCTCGCCCCTTTCCAGGAAATGGGTCAGATCCCAGGAATAATTTGGACAGGGGAATCCTGGGAGATATTGGCCAAACCAGTTTAGTCTTCCCAACTGGGAGGGACATCTGGTCACAGCGGGCCCTAAGTTTCTTTCCTGGCTTGCCCCTCCAGGGGTCGGACAGCTGCCCACTGGGTGCTATTTGGATCTCCCAGCCTGACCAGGTGCCCAATCATGGGCGGAGGCCACATCCCACTTGCCGTGCACGACTGCAAAGGTTGTGCAGCCCGTGTGTGGCCGCCCTGGTAATTCAACTTCTGCACAGGGATCTGCTTCCACCGACTTCCTGCCACTGCCACTCAGCGGGCCCAAGACCGCTCAGATGCAGAGTGAAGGCTCAAGGACCATTCAGCCTGTGCAGGCCCCAGGCCCAGGAAAGTTAGTGTGTAGGCAGCACAGGTCAGTTTGCGGTGGAGGCTCCCTGGTGGTCTGTCCTTTTCTACCTTCCAGGGAAGAGCATGAACCCTGGGCCCTCTTGCTTTACTCCAGCGGAAGCCACCTCTGCAGCCCAGGCCCAGCTGAGGTCACAGCTCACAGCCATCCTTTCGTTTCTCACTTTCTGACAATTGCAAAGACAGGATGTGGGGGAGTGAGCCACAAGGGCCCCTGGGTCCTTCCTCCAAACCCAGATGGGAACTGTTTGACCTGGGAAGGCCCGACTGGCTGCCGGGTAAACAGCCACCCAATCACCCTGGGCCCCCTCACCCAAGGGAAGGGAGGAAGCGCCTCTTCCTCATGCCCCTGAAGAACAATCAAGAGACCCAAACCAGACCAGGCACAGTGGCTCACACTTGTAATCCCAGCACTTTGGGAGGCTGAGGCAGGAGAATCATTTGAACCCAGAAGGCGGAGATTGCAGTGAGCTGAGATGGCGCCACTGCACTCCAGCCTGGGCGACAGAGCAAGAGACTCAAAAAAGAGACCCAGACCAGGATTACGAATGAGGCAATTTATTAACCCAGCATGGTTTGTTCTAATGCTTCTTGTTGGCAGCTGCCACCTGTGGGAAAAGATGGAAGAATAAAAGTTAGTCAAGGGGGTCTCTGCTGGGGCACTTTGTAACAGCTACCTAACTACCCACCACAGGTGGGCACCCCGATTTGTGGTTTCAAATGCATCTATCTCATCTAATTCTCACTGTGGGTATTCCCCCATTTCACAGACGTGGAAACTGAGTCTCAAGGGAGTGGCCAGGCACAGTGGCTCACACCTTTAATCCCAGCACTCTGGAAGGCCGAGGCAGGTGGATCACCTGAGGTCAAGAGTTCGAGACCAGCCTGACCAATATGGTGAAACCCTGTCTCTACTAAAAATATAAAAACTAGCCAGGTGTGGTGGTGTGTGCCTGTAGTCCCAGCTACTCGGGAAGCTGAGATAGGAGAATTGCTTGAACCCAGGTGGCAGAGGTTGCAGTGAGCTGACATTGCACCACTGCACTCCAGCCTGGGCGACAGAGCAAGACTCTGTCTCAAAAAAAAAAAAAAAAAAAAAAAAAAAAAAAGGAAGGGAGTGGCGGAGTGGAGTCCAAATTCCGCCCACTGCCATGTGAGAAGGCCAACATCCAACCACCAGCAATGATGTGTGCGCCAAGCCCCACTCTGCCTGGAAGAGCTTTCTCCTTCCAGACCACCCCCAACTCCTAGAGGGCTGACACTTTCCATTCTTTTGTGACACTTGACTGACTAAATGCTCCAAGGCTCCTAGGAGGCCTGAGTCAGTGATACAGAATTGAGCTCATGCCAGGCCCTGGGTGCTCCTGCTGTACTATAGCTCACTGACTCCTCACTACCATGCTTGAGGTGGCCAAGGGTAGATTTTGGCCACAGGGAGGCCAAGACAGGAGACTGTGGCACCAGGGGTGTGGCCACTCTGCCCCAGGGTGTTGGCCAGCCAGGATCTGAATGGAGACCTGGGTTCTGAACCAGCCCCCCTCCCTTATCTCCACCTCTCCCAAGCAGCCCATGTGATGCTCAGTACGCATGAGGACTAAGGGGAAACATCGCAGGCTGACCTGGGGAGGGGGAGTCATCTACGGGTACAGCTATGTGCTCTGTGGATAGATGCCCAGTGGCACCTGGGCTGGAGTTCCCTCCAATTTTTTTTTTTTTGAGATGGAGTTTCACTCTTGTTGCCCAGGCTGGGGTGCAATGGCATGATCTTGGCTCACCGCAGCCTCCACCTCCCGGGTTCAAGTGATTTTTGTGCCTCAGCCTCCCCAGTAGCTGAGATTACAGGAATGTGCCACCACACCCGGCTAATTTTGTATTTTTAGTAGAGACAGGGTTTCTCCATGTTGGTCAGAATGGTCTTGAACTCCTGACCTCAGATAATTCGCCTGCCTCGGCATCCCAAAGTGCTGGGATTACAGGGGTGAGACACCACAGCCAGCCTGCCTCCAAATTTCTAAGCAGCACCAACAGGAAAAGTCAGACAGGACTGTCCTTTCTCCTGTCTCTGGGCAGCCCTCCTCTGACCCCACCAGCACCCTGGGCTGTGCCCTCCAGAGAAGGAAATAAGTCTACCTGACAAAGTATGGGCTTTGGAAATGCTTGGGCAGCGACTAAGGGACCCAGCCCCACCCCAAACGCAGGCCTTACCTGTCCGGCGATTCTGTCCAGATCTCTTTGTCCCTGAGGTGTCAGTTTGCGGCCGCTGTGGGGAGGGAAGGGTCATGCAGGCCCCAGTGAGCACAGGTCCTGTTCTCAGCCCCTTCCCTCCTGGCTGTGAGCCAGGCTTCTCAAAAAGCCACCTGCCGCCAGCCAAGTCCCACTGAGGGCCCTAGTCAGGTGCATTCTAACGAGCTGGGGGCAGTAGTGGGAGCCCCCCTGGGAGCTGACGGGGTGTTGTTTGTGCAAGCATTTAGATCAAAAGCCCCGAAAAATCAATTGGGAAAAGTTAACGAGCAGGCTAATGAAAGCAGATAGTCGCTAAATTACCCTCCTGGAGCCTGGGCTAGTCAGCCAGAGAGGTCGGGGTGAGGCCCCGTGCTGTTTGCTTTTCTGCAGAATCCCCTCCTGCCTGCCTCTGATAGGAGGGGCCTGAGGGGCTGGGCAGACTATGCAGGACCATTCGTTGGGGAATTGATGACCGGGCCTCAAGGCTACTCCATCAATGCAGCCCCCTCTACCCTGCTTACCCATCTTGGTCCTTTTCCACCATTTTCAGCCCCTCCAGGGCTTGGAGGACCCGGCGGGCCACACTCTTGGAGCCTCGGCTGAAGTGGCTGGGCATGACGCCGTTTCTCTGACGTCCCCCATAGATCTTGGTCATGGAGCCAACCCCAGCGCCACCCCGGAGGTACAGGTGCCGCGCTGTGGAAGCTGGGGGTAGTGTGAGAGGGAGATTTAAGGGTCTTGATCAAGGTCTCAGGTAAACAATTCCTTGTGTGTAAACAGCTAATTCTCACTGTTTTATAAGAAGGGAAACTGAAAACACACACTAACACCCAGAAACTGACAGCCCCCTCTCCTCACCCACCCCCCCGGCTAGCTCTTCCTTGACAAACAGCCCTGCACCCTGGGTGGGCACTCCCACCATCTCCAGGGCCAACTTCTTTAGTGGTTACTATCCCAGCAGCACTGCTGTTGAATTGAACCTGAGGTTATGTAGGGGTGGAGCCTAGCTGTGACCATCTCCATGGGCCCCAGAGAAGCAGGAGTGAAGGGACCTATTGCCACTCTCCGGGCCACCTCAGTCTGGAGAGCTCAGGATAACAAGGGCAGGGCAGACACTCTGTGCAGTGGGTGCCCCCTGCTTGGAATGTGTACCAGCCCCTCTGCAGACACAGGGAAGGCTGGCTTGGGCAAGTCCCTGGTCCACCCCAGCCAGCCTCCTTGCCTGCAAAAAAAGCTCCGTAAAATCCAGTCGACACACCAGCCTCCCCAGAAACGCTTGCACGCTTCTATTAACTGGAGCACACATCTGCCAGGCCCTGTGCCAAATGCTTTTCGATCTCTCCACCCTTCTTCACCTGAGGGCCGGGTTACTCTGAGGACTCAACAGGTGTGTCAAGTGCTACTCTCCTTTAAAGAGTGAAACTGAGGTGCCAGAGGGTACTCACTGGCTCCGTGTCACACAGCTCTGGAGGAACTGCCCTGTCCTGCCACTGTGATGGCACCGGGGCCCACATGCAGGAAGCACCCAGATTTCAGCCATCACATGGTCCTGCCTAGCTCTGGAGCTCAGAGCAGAGTCTGGTTTGTTCCTGGGACCCAGAGATCAGCAAGTTGGTCTGAGTCTGCTCTAGTGATTTCTTTCCTCTAGTTCTAAAGATCAAGTGGGGGAATTGGGGGTTCTTCCATAACTGCCAAGTGCCAGGCAGTAGTCTGTGTGGGGTGGGCTGCTTCTGCCCAGAAACAGTTCTTACACACCGCTTGTTCCCAGCCCACTCCTGCCCTGAGATCAGGTCCAGATACAGCCAGCCCTTCATATCCACAGACTCAACCAAGGGTGGATCAAAAATATTTAGGGGAAAAAAACTACAATTCAAAACAGTGTAACAATTATTTACACCGTATTAGTGCTTTTTCTTTTTTCTTAAAACACAAAAAAAGGGCCTCATTCTGTCACCCAGGCTGGGGTGCTGTGGTGTGATCATAGCTCACTGCAGCCTCGAACTCCTGGGCTTAAGCAATCCTCTTGCCTCAGCCTCCTAAGTAGCTGGGACTATAAGTATGTGCCATGTCTGGCCTGTATTAATCTATAAGTAATCTACAGATGATTTAAAATATATGGGATCAGGCCGGGCGCAGTGGCTCACGCCTGTAATCCCACCACTTTGGGAGGCTGAGGCGGGAGAATCACCTGAGGTCAGGAGTTTGAGACCAGCCTGGCCAACATGGTGAAACCCCATCTCTACTGAAATTACAAGAAAATTAGCCAGGTGTGGTGGCACACCCGCTGTAACCCCAGCTACCTGGGAGGCTGAGGCAGGGCAGGAGAATCACTTGAACCTGGGAGGCAGAGGTTGCAGTTAGCCAAGATCATGCCACTGCACTCCAGACTGGGTGACAGAGTGAGACTCTGTCTCAAAAGTAAAACATCTACATAGGATATATGCAAATATTATACTTTTTTTTTTTTTTGGAGACAGGGCATCATTCTGTCACCCAGGCTGGAGTGCAGTGGTAACAGCTCACTGCAGCTTTGACCTCCTGAATAGTTGGGACTACAGGTGCAAGCCACCACGCCCAGATAATTTCTGAAGAGACCCGGTTTTGCCATGTTGCTCTGGCTGAACTCCTGGAGTGAAGTGAACCACCCATCTTGGCCTCCCAAAGTGCTGGGATTACAGGTGTGTGCCACTGTGCTGGCCCCGATATTTTTTTTTTCTGAGATGGAGTCTCTCGCTCTGTCGCCCAGGCTGGAGTGCAGTGGCGCAATCTCGGTTCACTGCAAGCTCTGCCTTCCGGGTTCACTCCATTCTCCTGCCTCAGCCTCCAGAGTAGCTGGGACTACAGGGGCCCGCCACCACGCCTGGCTAATTTTTTTGTATTTTTAGTAGAGACGGGGTTTCACCGTGTTAGCGAGGATGGTCTCAATCTCCTGACCTCGTAATCCACCTGCCTTGGCCTCCCAAAGTGCTGGGATTACAGGGTTGAGCCACCGCACCCGGCCCCTGGCCCCGATATTACACCATTTTATAGTAAGGGTGAGCATCTGTGGACTTGGGTATTGGGGTTCATCCTGGAACCAATCCTCAGCTGATACTATACAACCATGCTCTGCTGGGGGCCAAGAGCACAGCCCTGCTGTTGGCTCACTACCTCTGGCATCTGCTCACTTTAAAATCCCCACCTCACTCCAGGCCCTACCCCCTACGCCACTGCCTGGTAATAAGTGCCCATAACCAGGACCAATAGACAGACTCACCTGGCGTAAGCCACCCCCCACAATCCTGCCAGAGAGTGACATCACTGGAAACCTCCACCCTTTCAGACCAGCTCAAATACCCAGCAGCTGCTGCCATCCCTCTGGGCCCTGTAGCTGGTTGTGCCCTGGGGCTCTGGGTGGAGACCTGCTCTCCCATTTGAACTACAGTACCCAGGACTGGGGAACGCAGAATAGCTTTTCCTGTTATCCTGCTTTATTTTTTTTTTGAGACGGAGTCTTTCTCTGTTGCCTAGGTTGGAGTGCAGTGGTGCCATCTGGGCTCACTGCTAGCTCCGCCTCCCAGGTTCAAGCAATTCTCCTGTCTCAGCCTCCCGAGTAGCTGGGACTACAGGCACACGCCACCACACCTGGCTAATGTTTTGTATTTTTAGTAGAGATGGGGTTTCACCATGCTGGCCAGGCTGGTCTCAAACTCCTGACCTCCTGATCCGCCCGCCTCGGCCTCCCAAAGTGCTGGGATTACAGGCATGAGCCACCGCGCCCGGCCTTTTTTTTTTTTTTTTTTTTTTAAAGACGGAGTCTCACTCTGTCGCCCAGGCTGGAGTGCAGTGGCGTGATCTCAGCTCACTGCAAGCTCCGCCTCCCGGGTTCATGCTATTCTCCTGCCTCAGCCTCTACAGTAACTGGGACTACAGGCGCCCGCCACCACGCCCGGCTAATTTTTTCGTATTTTTAGTAGACATGGGGTTTCACCATGTTAGCCAGGATGGTCTCGATCTCTTGACCTCATGATCCGCCCGCCTCGGCCTCCGAAAGTGCTGGGATTACAGGTGTGAGCCACCGCGCCGGGCCTCTGTTATCTTGCTTTTTAAGAATAAGGCACACACTCCTAAGCGCAGAGATGCCCAAAGCGGCTGTACACCAGAAATGGGACACTCAACCTCAGTCTTGTTGGGTTGGGACTAGCGCCCAGAGCAGTCAGACAGGAGCTTGAATCCTGACACCGTTCCTCCTCAGGAGGGACACAGGACCCACCTATCCTCCAGGTGGTTTGTGCTGCGGTACTAAAGGAGACACTTTACTTAAACCTTGAGCACAGTGACTGGTAGAGAACAAGCTCCCATAAGGCCTATTAGGTGCTTTTTTTTTTTTTTTGAGACAGTCTCACTCTGTTGCCCAGGCTGGAGTGCAGTGGCGTGATCTCAGACTCACTGCAACCTCTGCCTCCGGGGTTCAAGCAATTCTTCTGTCTCAGCCTCCCCAGTAGCTGGGACTACAGGCGCCTGCTACCACGCCTGGCTAATTTTTATTTTTAGTAGAGACGGGGTTTCACCACATTGGTCAGGATGGTCTCAAACTCTTGACCTCAGGTGATCCGCCTGCCTTGGCCTCCCAAAGGCCTATTAGGTTCTTCAATGGAGGCTTAAATTTTTCTTAAGGCTGTATAAAAACCTTTTGGCATGGAGAACCTTGGTCAGATATTACAAGCTCCTCCCTTGCTATCCCAGTTCATGCTAATTATTTTTTTCTGACCCACTAGAAGGGAGAGGAAGGGTTATTAACTTCACAAATTGGAAAATGCTAAGAGTTGAAATACCGCGTTCTATTAAAACACTGACCTTTTTCCTCACCCCCTGGAGACCAAGGTTCCAGCCCCAGCTTTTGATGTGGAGCTGCACAAATGCAGACCGCCGTAGCTGGTACTCATGAGGGCCAATTGCGAGCAAGTTGCTGTCACAAATGGGTTCTCCTCCAGTTCCTCCATGCTAGAGGCCTTCTGCTCCTCTGCTGTGTGCATTCTTGGGATGGCAACCCACTCCTCTCAGGAACCCCTGTCCAGGAATCACCCCCTACCTGGAACTGTAAAGGAGGCCACCCCTCTCCACTCTACTGTGAGTTCATGGTCAAGGGAGGGCAGCTGTGTTCCTGCTAGACCGAGAGGGAGGGTCCCTCTGGATCTGAGCACGGGGCAGACCAACCAAGCACGGCTCCTTAGGAGTCATCACAGCTCAGCAAAGTCCAGACCGGTGGTCCCATCCTGACCTACTGAGTCAAAGGCAGGGAAGAACTTCCCCAGCACACTCTAGCTGACCCTTCTCTGCCGAACTTGTAAGAAACCACTCTCCTGACCTTGATTCATCCCTTAACTCACTTCTGTGATGCCTCCCAGATCTCATTCTTTCTACTATCATAGCACAAGTGGGTGCCCAGCCCCATGCAGGAGCCAGAGATGGAGCAGCCTCCAACCTACAAGAAGTGTTTCCAGACATCCCAATTCAGCAGCTGCTCTCAGACGCACACCAGGACACCAAACTGGACTCCCACATCTCCATCTTCAGCAGGTCCTTTAAAGAATTAAGACAGCAAGAGGCTTGTCCAGCTGGGTGCGGGAGCTCATGCCTGTAATCCCAGCACTTTGGGAGGCCGAGGCGGGCGGATCACGAGGTCAAGAGATCGAGAGCATCCCAGCCAACATGGTGAAAACCCGTCTCTACTAAAAATAGAAAAATTAGCTGGGCGTGGTGGCGGGCACCTGTAGTCCCAGGTACTTGGGAGGCTGAGGTAGGAGAATTGCTTGAACCCGGCAGGCAGAGGTTGCAGTTAGCCGAGACGGCACCAGTGTACTCCAGCCTGGTGACAGTGCAACTCTGTTTAAAAAAAAAAAAAAAAAAAAAAGCCTGTCCGGGGCTACACTGCACCACCCCCTTCATAAAGACCCATGGCGGCCATCCCTTGAACGTCCAGTGAGAGCAAGTCTTTGCGGGTTCTTCCTCTACCTTGCCCTGCCTCCTACACCACTGCCTTGGGACTGCTTACTCCTACAGCTCTGCTCCATTTCCAGACCACCCTCAAGAGGGCCCCATCTTCTACCATGGGCCTCTTTACCCCCAAACCCCAGGATTAAGACCTGTCTACCTCACACTCATTCCTATAGGTCTCCACAATTTGGCCCTGCTCAGCAAGGGCGCTGCTTTAGCACACTTTAGCCTCAAATCTGAGGAGGCAAAATAGGCCAGACTCTTATGAGTAGAAAAAAGGGAATATAGCAGGGAACCTAGTTTTGGACAGAGCCACCCTGCCAAGCCCTCCCAGGGTAACTTGCAGCAAGTCCCTTCGCCCGTCTGCACCACAGCTTCCTCTTTGGTAAAACAAGATCACTCCCATGATCAGTATAAGCTGACTGCCAAACTGGGTGGAACATGTTAAACTCTAGAATAGAGGCTGGTCAACTTTGCCTGTAATCCCAGTGCTTTGGAAGGCTGAGGCGGGAGGACCGCTTGAGCTTGGGAGTTCAACATAGTGAGACTCCATCTCTACAAATAAAAAAAATTAGCTAGGCATGGTGACTGATAGGCACCTGTAGTCCCAGCTACTTAGGAGGGTGGGGCAGGAGGATCACTTGAGCCCAAGAAGCTGCAGTGAGCTATAATTGTGCCACTGCACTCCAACCTGGGTGACAGGCCTAGACCCTGTCCCTGAAAATAAATAATAAAGGGTCAGGTAGGAAATATTTCAGGCTTTGTAGGCTACAGCTTCTGCCACAACTACAACTCTGCCCTTGTGCATGTAGATACACAGGGGTGGCTATAACCCAACAAAAATATACACAACAGG
Organism: Homo sapiens; assembly: GCF_000001405.40. Lineage (NCBI taxonomy): Eukaryota > Metazoa > Chordata > Mammalia > Primates > Hominidae > Homo > Homo sapiens. The sequence continues at coordinate 41,862,903 of NC_000019.10, read as the reverse complement.
CCTCTGGTCTACCACACAACCATCCTATGCCGCTAGGACAGCTGGGCAAGTGAGGTGAAAAAGAGGCCTTTGGGGTACTCCAAGTGATGGAGATCAGTAGGCAGGCAGAAGATGCACATCCTGCTTGAGGTTTCCAGGCAGGGCCACTGTGGGCTGCAAGGGACCACAGCAGCTCTACCATGACCAGCAGATGCAACTAGGTTTATTATCCAAGGTCTTAATGCCATCTCTTGTTAATCCCTCCCCATGTTAAAAAAAAAAAAAAAAATGTACAAGACACATACAGTCCTACTTTGGAGGTATTTGGTATGTGCAGAACGTGTCTTCACCCCAGCAAATGAGAAAGGCTAATCCCAGATCCAAAGCTGCTCTGACCAACTGACCCTTGAGGCACTGCCAAAGCAAGATGGGGGGACAGGTGGAGGAGATATGTAACTTCCAGGGCTTGTCACTGCTGTGCGCCCAGGGAAGTCAGCTTCTCTTCATCCGCCCCATTTTCTGTCTAAAACAAACGGTGGGTAGGTGGTATGCCAGCAACCCGACCCACCTCAGCAAGTTCATCTTTCAGTCCTCAGAGGCCGCGGCTGAGTTATGCTGGTCCTCTGTGCTCACTCCATGGCCTGAAAGAGTGGGCCCCAATAGACATTTGAGGCACAAGTGTACCACAAATCTACAAAATGCTTCATATTCTGAAGGGCCAAGCAACCTGTACCAAGGCCAACTCTTTTCCGGGTCATGGAGGAGTTTTGCCGATTTCCAAACCCTGCTTCCCACCTACTTCTTATCTGGAGACAAGTTGTGGTCAGGATGGAGTCCCCACTTCACAGAGAGAGAAGGTTTAAGATTGGAGAGGCCGAGGCCCCTTAGTGAAGGTCGGTGCTAAGGCTGTCACCTTGACATAACACGGCACTGCCACCGCCCACCCTGTTACATCTTCCTGAAAGTGAAGATTTAGTGAGTACTGAAATATTAAGACACGTGAGAACTAACACTAGTCAGGGACTGTACATAAATTATTATTGGAAGATTGAAAAGAGACGGGGCTGGCACGAGGTTGCAGGGTGTCCATAAGATCAGAAGTCAAGATTTAAAGCAGGGACTGACCTGGCCAGATCTCCAACCATTTAGTTAGAAACAGCCTGTTAGAGATATGGAGAAGGCTAACTTGATGATCTGAGCAATAGTAAAGACAACTGGCTTTTTCCTGAATAACTACTGTGCAACAGACACGTTCTAAACACTCTGCTTTAAATTCATTCAATCCTTGCAATACTCTAGTACTGGTACAATAATTAGTCCCATTTTGGGGATGAGAGAGTGCACAGGCAGGTTAACCAACTTGCCAGAGGACACACAGCCAGATGTAAAAGATGGATCCAAACCCAGGGAGTCTGCCTCCGTGTATATAGAAAGGATTAAACCACCTGTAAGCAAAATATGAACATTCATCTGTCTCTGGTTTCCCCTGAGGCTCAAAGCCACAGGTCCTCCTCTCACAAAGCTCTTAGAATGTCATAAAAACTTGGAGTACCAAGTTATCGAATGTCACATCACACAAAGCAAGTGGTGACACAACCAAGGGTTTCTCTCCCTCTTGGGGCGGGAAAGAGCTCAGAGGAGACAGGGAAGTATGGTTTGTGCCAGGGGTCACCCAGCTCCCCACTCTCCAGCCAAAGACCTAAGTTCCTCACCAGCTCGCGTGTAGAACCAGTTCTCATCGTAGGGAGCAAGCTCTTTGTGCTTGGCCAGCTTGACGGTATCCACCCATTCGGGGACTTTCAGCTTCCCGGACCTAAGACCAAAACAGTGGGAAAAGCACGATTCAGTCATCTCCACAAACTACCCCATATCCCAAATGCCCTCCCCTCAACACAACTATGCTGTGCCCAGAGTACAAAGAGAGGCTGGAACCGGAACACAAGCCAGGCCTCACGCTGAAAGGAGCCACGGAGGCCCCAAACAAGCCTCGCCTGCCAGGGACCGGCAAACACTGGGGCTCAGATGGGCAGGCCAAGGCGACAGCCTCCACCCGTTTTGAACCTCAGTCCCCAAACTCACTTTTTGAGGAAGGCTGCCAGAGCTCTGACGAACTCCTGCTGGTTCACGTCTTTTACAGTAACTCCAGGCATCTGAGGGAGAAAGTCAAGCATGTGAACACAGGCCTGGCAGAGACGACTGCCAAGAGCACGGACCCCACCCCAATCCTTTCGCTCCAGCGCATCCTAAACCGTGGTACCCCCCGTTACTTCCCACGGCCCCTTCAACGCCGGGCTCCGGCTCCTGCGGGTCTGAAGGAGCTCACCGACGCCCACGGCCTCTCTGGATCGCACTAACAGAGCCCGGCCCCTGCGTGTGAGGATCCTGCGCGACCCCACTCCCCAGCCCCGGGACTCCGGACGCCCCACGCACCCCGCCGCTGCCCCCCGGGGCCCACGCTCGGTTCCCGGACGGCGCTGACCGGGCATGTCCGGGCCTGCCGCTCGCACGTGGCCGCGGCTCTAGGGGGCGGGACGGGCCCGCGCCGGGCGCCTCGGGGCCCTCAGGCACGCGCTCTGAGGCTTCGGCGTCCGGCCCTGCCGCCTCGCGCCCGGTCCAGCTCGGAGCCCCCGCTTACCGTGCGGCCTCCGCGCTGCCAGCCAGGGGAAAGGGAACGACGGGGTTTCCCGGGCGCACAAGTCGGGCGTAGGGTCTCGCGAGAGTTCCGAAAGCTCGCGAGAGCGAGGGTAGACGCTGAGGCTCCGCCTCTCTCAGGGCGAAAGTTCGTCCCCGCCTAGAGGGGAGGGTGTCTAGTGAGGGGTGGAGAGGTAAAGGGGAGGGCCAAGGGGTCGCGCGTGGAGGCCTGGGTTTCCTCCCGCGTTTCCTTCTCCCGGAGTGTAATAGAGAGAGGATAGAGAGCTCCTGTTCGGAGCTGGGGGAACTTGGCTTCGTTTGCGTCGTTCGTGGCTGGAAGGAACAGTGGTGGAGAATACTATGATGGCGAAAGTACGGGGCAGGATGGGTGGGCCACAGCTGGCGCCCCACGGCGGAACAACCCCTTTTCCGGGTGGAAGTGGCTGTTCCCTGGCCGGAAGTGGGAGTAGTAAGGGCGGAACTGTGACAGGGAACCTAGGGGAAGGGCGAGGAAGAAATGTGGCTATCATCTTCCGTCCTTCACCGCCAGGAGTCGCGAGAGCGGGAGACGGAAGCCCCACCCTTCTCAGGGCGGAAGTTGCTTCAGCACGGCCGGGGCGAGCGAAAAGGGAATGAGGCGCTGGAGGAGGGGAGAAGATAAGGGCGGGACAAAGCGGCAGAGGCGGGACCTTAGCAGAAGTTAGTTCAGCTCTGCCTTCTAGTGTCGGAGTCTGTTCGCTCAGCCCTTACTTTGCCAATTTAGATTTACCTGCCCCGCTGACCTGTGTAGCTTTAGGCAGTCCATTTGCCTTCTCAGGGCTTGTCTCACCATTAAAAAAAAAAAAAAAAAATGAGATCCCCGTTTGTCCATTTAAAGTGGCTCCTCTGGTTCATGGCGCGTCACATGCTCTAAAAAATATTTTTTGAGTGCCTGCTCTGTGCCAGGCACAGGTAAATATTATTTGGACATTTATCATGTGGCTGTTACTGTAGTGTTACATGCATGATCTCATTTAATCCTTACAAGGCCCAACAACTAAATAACGTGGTCCAATAAAATTATGTTAACTTGTTGCAAAAAGGAAACACTGAAATGTGTGTAGCTATTTTCTTATGTTGGAAAGACTGAGAATTTAAAACATAAGAGCAAATATTAGAATTTTACCCCACACTGATACTGTGGCTGCAAAATGTGTTAATTATTAATAAGCCAAGACTCGTATCTGTTAGAAAAATTAAAACCAACCATGCTTCTAGCATAAGATCATATATTTAAATCAAGGTTTTACATTCATGTAGAATGTTGTTGAAACCTATCTCATACTGTTTCTAAAACTTGAGAAAATATTTTCATTATCTCAATTGTTTTTCCAGAACCAACACATACATATTTCCATATGTATTCAAAGTGGGTAATATATGCATGTCTAACTGGAAATCTCCAGGTACTTGGGTAATTTATATTCACTTTTTATAATTTAAGTAATTATTATTTAATTTTTTTTGAGTTGGAGTCTCGCTTTGTCGCCCAGGCGGGAGTGCAATGATGTGATCTTGGTTCACTGCAACCTCCACCTCCCGGGTTCAAGCGATTCTCCGGCCTCAGGCTCCCAGGTAGCTGGGATTACAGGTGCCTGCCACCACACCTGGCTAATTTTTGTATTTTTATAGAGACGGGTTTTCACCACGTTGGCCAGGCTGGTCTCGAACTCCTGACCTCAGGTGATCCACCTGCGTTGGCCTCCCAAAATGCTGGGATTACAGGTGTGAGCCACCGTGCCTGGCCCCCACTTTTAATAATTTCTAATACCAGTTCTGAATCATTTACACTTAATTCATTTAAGTCATTTCATTGAATTTAATTTTTTTTTTTAAAGCTCTCCAGAGGAACTCTGGAGTGCCTGACCAAAGGAAGAGACAGGGTGAATATAGGATTTTGGGAAGAGTGAAGCTTAGGTAAAATTTATATAAAGCAGAGTTTTGATGGACATAAGGCAAAGCAGGCATGTATTTATGCAACGGAGCTAACATCATGCCTGGGCGAGGAGCAGACCCAGGATTCTGCTTCCTTGGACATTAGAAAGTTTAGATAAATGTACAATGTTGTCTCTAAAAACCGCTTCTCTGAGATCATGACTGCTTCTCTGTGTCAAAGTGACTTAGACTTTCCAGGTAAGAATGAGATGTCCCATTTTCACTATTGTTATGATTTTAAAGATTTTTAAAAATTCTGGCAGTCTGTGATTTTAGAGAACACAGTTTCTCAGCACTGTGTCCCTGGTGTTAATTTTTGTACATGTTAGTTTTTACAGGTTCATAATTGACAACTCTGTGAGGTGGTTATAGACCAGTCAACTGAGCCTTAGAGTCAAGTCATTTGTCCAGGGTCACATAAGGTTAAAGCCTGAGCCCGGATTTGAAGCCACAACTGAAGATACTCAAGCTTTTGCAATAAACTTTTTTTTTTTTTGAGACGGAGTCTCGCTCTGTCGCCCAGGCTGGAGTGCAGTGGTGTGATCTCTGCTCATGCAAGCTCCACCTCCCGGGTTCACACCATTCTCCTACCTCAGCCTGTCGAGTAGCTGGTACTACAGTTTCCCGCCACCACGCCTGGGTAATTTTTTGTATTTTTAGTAGAGACGGGGTTTCATCGTGTTAGCCAGGATGGTCTTGATCTCCTGACCTTGTGATCCACCCGCCTTGGTCTCCCAGAGTGCTGGGATTACAGGCTCATGCCTGTAAATTTAGTGTATAAGTACAGAATTCCCATAGTCCCCATGCTGACACACAGGGATGGCCTCCCTTTCTATCAACATTCCACACCAGAGTGGTACCTTTGCTACAATCAAGGAACACAATATTATCACCCAAAGTCCGCAGTTTACATCAGTGTTCACTCTTGTTGTATGTTCTGCAAGTTTTGGCAAATGTGTAATGACACGTATCCACCATTACAGTTTCATAGAGAATAGCTTCATTGCCCTAAACAACACCCATTTATCCCTCCATCCCTCCAAGCCGACAACCAATTATCATTTTATCATTTTATTGTCATCACAATTTTGCCTTTTTCCAGAATGTCATATAGTTGGAATCATACATTTGGATTGGCTTCTTTCAGTTAGTAAGGCATTTAAGGTTCCCCCGTATCTTTCTTTTGGCGGGGTGGAGGGGAGGGGGAGGCAGACAGGGTCCTGCTCTGGAGTGCAGTGGCACTGGAGTGCTGGGATTACAGGCGTGAGCCACCGCACCCGGCCTCAATAAACTCTTTAAACACAGTTTTAAAAATGGGTTGAGGCTGTAGTACCTACAAACAGTGGGATATTATTCAGCCCTAAAAAGAAATGAGCTGGCCGGGAGCGGTGGCTCATGCCTGTAATCCCAGCACTTTGGGAGGCTGAGATGGGCAGATTGCCTGAGTTTAGAAGTTCTTGACCAGCCTGGGCAACACGGTGAAACCCCCTCTCTACTAAAATACAAAAAATTAGGCCGGGCGCGGTGGCTCACGCCTGTAATCCCAGCACTTTGGGAGGCCGAGGCGGGCGGATCACGAGGTCAGGAGATGGAGACCATCCTGGCTAACATGGTGAAACCCCGTCTCTACTAAAAATACAAAACATTAGCTGGGGGAGGTGGTGGGCGCCTGTAGTCCCAGCTACTCGGGAGGCTGAGGCAGGAGAATGGCCTGAACCCGGGAGGCGGAGTTTGCAGTGAGCCGAGATTGCGCCACTGCACTCTAGCCTGGGAGACAGAGCGAGACTCCGTCTCAAAACAAAAACAAAACAAAAAAACGAAATCCCGTCTCTACTAAAAAAATACAAAAATTAGCTAGGTGTGGTGGTGCACGCCTGTAATCCCAGCTACTCAGGAAGATGAGGCATGAGAATCGCTTGAACCTGGGAGGCGGAGGTTGCAGTGAGCCAAGTGCACTGCGTTCCAGCACCACTGCACTCCGCAGCAGGACCCTGTCTGCCTCCCCCTCCCCTCCACCCCGCCAAAAGAAAGATATGGTGGAACCTTAAATGCCTTACTAACTGAAAGAAGCCAATCCAAATGTATGATTCCAACTATATGACATTCTGGAAAAAGGCAAAATTGTGATGACAATAAAATGATAAAATGATAATTGGTTGTCGGCTTGGAGGGATGGAGGGATGAATGGGTGTTGTTTAGGGCAATGAAACTATTCTCTATGAAACTGTAATGGTGGATACGTGTCATTACACATTTGCCAAAACTTGCAGAACATACAACAAGAGTGAACACTGATGTAAACTGCAGACTTTGGGTGATAATACGGTGTTCCTTGATTGTAGCAAAGGTACCACTCTGGTGTGGAATGTTGATACAAAAGGGAGGCCATCCCTGTGTGTTGGCAAGGGGACTATGGGAATTCTGTACTTTCCACTAAATTTTGCTATGAACATATATAATATATATATATATACATACATATGTATATGTATATGTGTGTATATATGTGTGTTGCATGTATATACACACACACATATATATGAGACAGTCTTGCTCTGTCACCCAGGCTGGAGTGCAGTGGTGTAATCATGGCTCACTGCAGCCTTGACCTCCTGGGCTCAAGCTATTCTCCCACCTCAGCCTCCTGAGTAGCTGGGACTACAGGTGCACGCCACCATGCCTGGCTAAATTTTGTATTTTTTGCAGAAAGGGGGTTTTGCCATGTTGCCCAGGCTGGTCCCGAACTCCTGAGCTCAAGCAATCCTCCCACCTTGGCCTCCCAAAGTTCCGAGATCAGAGGTGTGAGCCACTGTATCTGGCCCCTGAAGGTTTTTTTGCTGGGTACGGTGGCTCACAACTCTAATCCCAAAATAATAAGAAACAAAAATACACACATACAAACAAAACAACTCTAATCCCAGCACTTTGGGAGGCTGAGACAGGAGGATCGGTTGAGCTCAGACATTCAAGACCAGCCTGGGCAACATAGTGAGACACTGTCTCTACAAAAAATAAAAATTAGTCTCACATGGAGGTGTATGCCTGTAGTCCCAGCTACTCAGGAGGCTGAGGCTGGAGGGTCACTTGAGCCTGGGAGGTTGAGGCTGCCGTGAGCCATGACTGTGCCACTGTACTCCAGCTTGGGTGACAGAGGCTGTCTTAGAAAAAATGGTTTGAGGTCAGAAAGTTCACATTTTGATGAGGAGAGGGGCAGCATTGGAGTGTGTTAACTCAGTAGGAAAAAACAATTCCTAAGGAATCAGACAGAACGTATTTTACTCAGTCATTTATTCTGAGCTCCCAAGGAGGAGCTGCAGGCAAGTCCTGTGCTCTGAGAGTGCTTATTCTCTGAGGGGGAGACATAGATGGACATAGATAGGCACAGCTCAGGGTGATCAGGACTATGAAGTAGAGACCAGTGGCCCCTTGGGAACATAGGGAACTCTGCCTGAGAGGCTTAACATATTATTTTGAGTTGGATGAAAAGGATGAACTTTGGTTTTGTGAAGAGTTCAGGATCTTGTGAAGGCCCATGCAGGGTAGGGGTTATAGGACTGTATTTATGCAAACGTGTCAGGGCTGCAAAGCCAGCTACACAATGGAACAGGGGTGCAGAATGAGGCCTATGTGGACGAAGCAATGAGGGTCTGCGTATAGGCTGGATGGGATAAGTGTATGATGTCAGTTCTACGTTGGACGAGAATTGAGGTCAGGAGTGGAGCAAGTTAATGTAGGGCTGAAGCGAAAGGAGCATGGATTCCCAAAGGGCAGAATGTGAAATAAGCTCCTGAAATAAAACCTGGGTGACTGTGGGGAGGAGTCTTGTGAGGAGAGAGAGGAACAGGGACGGTGCTTCATAGTTGGGACCTCATTGGTTAAGTCTGCAGAGTGCCAAGAGGGTACACAAAGAAGGTTTAGAAGGGAGATGATTTACTCAGTACTTTATTGGACCATGGCAATACCTTTCCCTACCTGGCACTGGGAAGTGGGAAAGGGGGCAGTATAGGAAACAGTGCTCACAGTCTATTATCTGTAATCTCTCAGAGCCAAGAAGAGGCCAGGAGCCTACTGGCTCCCTACAACCACAGGTGAAGAGTGCTGCACCTGAACAGGCAACAACTTAGGAGCATGAGCAACTCTTAAATCTGCTCTTTTCCCTAAGACTGACATCTGCAGAAGCTCTGGCCCTTTCCCTCAGGCACTAATGGGGGGCCCTAACGATTTGAAAGACAAAGTTGGCCTGGCCAACTGGTGTGAAAAGCCTTGCCCAGGCTGGGTACTGAAGGCCGGGTACTGGAGGAGAGGTGAAGGAGAGGTGGCCTCTAGTCTACTCCTTCCCCCAATCTCCATCACTTCCTCTTTTCCTCCCCTTTTCATGCCATCCTTTAACCCCAAATTATACTTTCTCTTTTACCCTTCTCAGCTCTGTGACCTTGGTGTACAGAGGACCCTTGGTCAGTGCTGAGTAGCAGAATCTCAGCCATGTTGCATGTTGCAGTGCTTCCTTTCTCTGTGACTTTGTGGCCCTGGTCATCTGTCACTAGGAAAGCATGGCACACCAAGTCTTAGGCAGGTCTATTAAGGAGCAATCATATATCTAAGTTATAGCTAAGGGGAGGGAAGAAGGGTGTGAAGCCGACTTTGGTCTCCTGATATCTCAGTATCTCCTGAGAAGTGCTGCAGGTTTGTTACTCTGTACTCTGCTAGGGAGGAGAAGAAACCCACCCTCTCAAAATCCCAAATAAGAAATAACAAGTTGTAATTGGATGTCATCACCATCAATCATCTTGAGTAAAACAAGGGGTGTAGGTAACATCAGGAAAAAGAATCAGTGATCAAGCACATCCCTTGAGCCCCTTCTAAGGGTGGGAATGGGAAGGGGGTCTCCAGGCTTCATGTCTTTGGAATAGCTCAACAGGTTTTCCTATGTACGGAATGGTTCAAGGAGAAGGACTTGACACCAGAGGACTGAGAAACAAATGCAGGTAAGATCTTATTCTTAATGATATCTTGAGGAGAAAAATAAAAGACTTTTTTGAAAAACTCTTGACTTGTATGTATCTTCTGGAGTCCTGATTGGGGAAAGGAGTGGTGCATCTTTCATTCTATGCTTTTATTTATTTGTTTTTATAGAGACAGGGTCTCCCCGTGTTACTCAGGCTGGTCTCAAACTCCTGGGCTCAAGCGATCCTCCTGCCTTGGCCTCCCAAAGTGCTGGGATTACAGGTGTGAGCTATCACACCCGGCCCAATGCTTTATAAACATTATTAACTAATTTGGAGCCTGGCAAAGAGAAGGAACCCTCCTCTGATCTCTGCCTAGAAATTTCCCCTAAAACACTTGGGCAAGTTACTTTACCTCTTTAAGCTTGTTTCTTCACTTGTAAAATGGGAACCATCCTGCATAACTTCCAGGGTTGCTGTGAAGATATGTGAATCAAATGGAGTGGGCACTCAATAAATGGTAATAAATGTTTCTTAACCTTTTATGGATCCTTCGAAACTCAGACACGTGAACCTCCCTAGTTGAGGAAAAACTTGTGATAAAGACTAACTCGATTCTTTCTATTCTGGTTAGCCTCAATTTCCCCATCTGGAAAATGTATCAAATTGGTATTCCACTGGCCAAAGCTAGCCTGAAAATATGTTTTATTTGGCACGTATAGAATTTAAAGAAGAAAACTGAGCCAACATTTGAAAATTAAGATGTTTTACATGGAAATCTAGTTTTCCAGTTTCTCTTAAAAAATCAGAAGATGGAGCAACACTGAGTCCACATTCCCGCCTGGCAGTAATCTGCTAGGGCCAAAAGGAGGCTGCTCCTTAGGCAAGGCATCCATTCTCAGTTTGCCAGGGTCCATCTGGCCTTCTTTACTCATTTATTTGATCTGCTCAGCCCTGTAGGCATTTCGATTTGTAGCCCCTCTAGACAGCTGGAAACTGTCTATGCCTGGCACAGAGCGGGCAATTAATCAGTGAATCCCCCATTATTTCTTTACATCATTTTTTTTTATTTGGACAAAGAAAAAAATCCAAGTTTGTTTTCATCTATGGTAGCTATTGGATAACAGATTTTTCACTTTGAGAAGCGAAATGAACAAGTCCTTTCTGTCAGTCAGGATAGACTAGGTTAGGCTGTGGTAACACTCTCCAAATCTCAGTGGCTTACAACAACAAAGGTTTATTTCTTGCTTACTCACACAAACCTAGACACAAAATGAAAACACTCTCCTGTTTTCACATGCATGGAGACAGACATGAATGCATAGGCATTTACAGAATCATGGAATCCTGGGATGTAAACTCATGCAAACACGTTTATAGATACTGGTCAGCTTAAATAGCACAACTCTCTCTTTATTGGGGATTTCAAGAGATCCCAGGACCCAAGAAGGGTACAAGAATATCCACTGTCAGCCAAGGAAATGCCCACACTACCAAAGGAACTGAAAGCTAATGAAGCACCTGAAAGCTTAAACAAACAAACAAACAAACAAACAAAAAAGCCCGAAGCTTGTACTACATTAAATTCCATGCATAAATCCTTAAGTAAGACACTAAATATACAGTGCCAGCAGGCTGTCACCTCCCTGCCATAGCAAGACAGCCTCCATCTCTGGGTTTCTAGCTCAGGAGGGAGATGGACCCCAGACGGCCAATATGCAGAGCAACAGAGGGGGCTGGGCTGGGTCGAAGACAGGGGCCAACAGGCTGGAATCCTCTTCCTCCAGCAGGAGCTACAGGCAAGAAGGAAGGGGCAGGATCAGGTCACACCTGTTTTTCCTTCTAGCAACCCCCTCTTTTTACCGAATCCAATCCAGGCCTCATCATTGTTCTCCTGGATTATTTCACAGACCTCCTTGCTAATTTTCCCACCTCCAGTCTTGCCTCCTCCAAACCGTCCATCAAAGCCACCCACTTGTCTTTCTAAAGCTCAGGGTCTCTGAATTTGTCCTTGCTTAGTTCAGAAACGTTCCCTGGCTCCCCTTCACATACAGTTGCTGTTCTAGACACCTAAGCCTGGCATGCCAGATCTCCACCATCAGAAGCCTCTCCAGCCTCCTTTCCCTCTGTTCTAGCATTTCCTCCAGGCCAGTCTGCCCAATCCACTATTTGGACAAGAGAATTCGCAGCTTTCCCTGTCTGTCCCCCTAGGTGTTTCTCACTCTTCAAGGTTCCTCCAATCTTCTTCAGGTTTGTCACTGAGCCTTGTGAAGGCATCCAATTTCCCTAACTAGAACGTAAGCTCCTTGAAGGCACTTATCAGACCTCCTCCCAGGCCAGACCCCACTTCAGACTTCAGCAGGCAGCCTGGGTCCAGAGACAGAGCATTGGGTTCCCTGCCACTGTCTCACTATATGCCCTTGGGCAAGTCCCTGCCTTTCTCAGTGCCCCACTTTCCTTGATATCAAGAAATTTGCTGTCGAGTGCCAAACTGATAAAAAGGATTCACTGAATAACTCTCAACTGCAATCCCAGGGGCCAGGCTGAGGAGCTTGGGGTCCTGGGCCTGAAGACGTTCAACCTGTCGACCCCCTCATCTCCTTGGTTAGTCCCTGTGTACTTCAGTGATCTCCATTTCCCAGCCATCCCTATCCATCCTCTCCTTTCATGGCCCACCTGGTGGGCCACAGGGGTGAAGCAGGGAGATCCAGGCAGGGTTGGGGGGCACAGAAGGGGTCACACGAGGAGCCTGGGATGAATCTTTCAGCCCCACGAGGGCTTCAGCTGCCTCTTGCTGCAGCTGCCACTCTGAGGGGCCAGATGTCCGGGCCAGGCACGAGGCTCCAGAGGCCTGCAAGGGAAAGGGAGACAAGCAGACTGGGAACCCCCGCTTCTGCCCACCCTCTAAGTGTTCCTCAGCCCCTGCTTCCTTCAGTTTCCTGCTTTTTCCTTCCCCAGGCTCAACCTCCTCCCAGGGCCCTAGATCCCACTTCTTTCCCAGGACCTGTGGCTGTAGCTGAAGAGGGTCTGGGGTGCCACAGGGCTGGAGTATCAGAGTTGAGTGTCTAGAAACAAGGAGAGAAGATGCCAGGGTGGTTAAACAGATGAACAGACATGCACACATTGAAAGAGGGGCAGGATTTTGCCATGTTTTGATCTGGGAATCTGAGAGCCTGCTGGGCCATTAAGCTGTGTCTTGACTTATTTTGTTTTCAGTAAAGTAAAAATCCTTGCCAGTTTTTCCTCCCAGGGCTACTGTGAGGATTATGGGAAATCACTAGTGTCTTTTTTTTTTTTGAGACAGGCTCTTGCTCTGTCACCTAGGCTGGAGTGCAGTGGCGGTGTGATCATGGCTCACCATAAGCTTGAACTCCTGGGCCTACACCATCTTCCCACCTCAGCCTCCTAAGTAGCCAGGAAAACAGGTGTGCACCACCATTCCTGGCTGTTTTAATTTTTTTGTAGAGACGAAGTCTCGCTCAGTTACTCAGGTGGTCTCAAACTCTTGGCCTCAAGTAATCCTCCCACCTCAGCCTCCCAAAGTGTTGGGATTACAGGTGTGAGCCACCAGGCCCCACCTGATGCCGGTTTTTAAAAAAACACCTAGAAGACTGAGATTACTGTCCCTGACCTATCAGAGTCTGGGTCCCATTCCCCCAGTTCCCCAGTCACCATAGAACTTGAAGGAGAGCTTGGCTCACCTTTGGGAAGCTTTTCCTAATGGCCTCTGGCCCCTCTCCTGGGTCTCTGAGGCTCTCATCATCTCTGCCCCCCATATCAGCAGGCAATCTTACCCCATCAAATCTGTCTAAGCAGATATAACAGCTACCATTAAAGAGTCTGTGCTAGGTCTATTCCATACATTATTGCTAATTCTTACAACAATCAGAGAGGTAAGTAATAGTGTCTCCAATTTACTGATAGAAAAACAGGCTCAGAGAGGTAAAGATAATTGTCCAAAGCATCACAGCTAGGAAATGGCAGTACTAGGAGAGCTCTGCCTTGCCTATTAGTCAGAGACCTTTTCATCTTCATTATCCACTGTGGTTGGACACCAGCACTGTGGTTGGACACAGCACAGGCTTAGGCTTATGATACACATCCTTCTCTCCCTACTCACGTGCGGGGCTGGCTAGGGGGCCCTTGGGGCTCTCCAGAAAGAGGAGCTGTCAGTACTGGGTGAGATCCTGGGCAGGTGGTGAAGGGCCCATGAGTGGGCAGCTGGAGGGAGGTGCCAGGGTCAAAGCCTAATAAGAATAAAAGAATGCAGAGTGTATAGGGGCCAAGGTCATAGTTTCTTTCCTCCCTCTCCCCACCTATGCTTTCTTCCTCTTCCCTCTCCAATATGTGGCAGATTGGCACTCAAATATATGTTGAATGAATGTTGAATTATCATCTTACCAGGGAAGGGAGGCAGAGAGACAGCAGGTTCTTGGTACAGCAGGCGGCACACCACTGGTGGTGGCATGGAGAAGCCTGGAGGCAGCCAGTGTCCAGGGACCCAAGGGCCAGGAGGCACCGGAGTCCAGGACAAGGGCGAGGCTTCCGGGGGATGGCTGAGCAGCAGAGGCCCACAGGAGTTCTGCAGGGGCAGAGGGCACAGGCTGGAGTTGGGTACAAGGCTGGAAAAGGATTGAGTGTATTCTGGGATACGGGCAGAACCCCAAAACTTTGGGGCTGGGAGGCCCTCGTTTTCCCCTCATTTTGCCTAGAGAAGAGCAGTGATTTGACTAGATTACATAGCAAACCAGGGCTGGGGCTAGAACCCAGGTGTTGAGGGCACAGAAGAAAGGGTCTGGGTAGGAACTAGGGTGGGGGACACTTTCTCAGGCCCCAGCCTCTCCTTACCTTCCCGGGGGGTGTCGGTGCCAGCAGGACTGCCCCATGGGGGGTCTGAGGCTGGGGTGCTATGTTCTCCTTTCCAGCTGTGAAGGACCAGGGAGAGCTCTAATGAGCCCTTTCTCCTGACCCCTATCCTACCCCAACCCCAGACAGTTCTCATCTCCCCCATCTAGCTCATTTTTTTTTTTTGAGATGGAGTCTTGCTGTGTCGCCCAGGCTGGAGTGCAGTGGCGTGATCTTGGCTCACTACAACCTCCGCCTCCTGGGTTCAAGTGATTCTCCTGCCTCAGCTTCCCGAGTAGCTGGGACTACAGGCATGCGCCACCAAGCCCAGCTAATTTTTGTATTTTTAGTAGAGACGGGGTTTCACCATGTTGGCCAGGATGGTCTCGATCTCTTGACCTCGTGGTCTGCCTGCCTCAGCCTCCCAAAGTGCTCGGATTACAGGCGTGAGCCACTGTGCCCGGCCTCTAGCCCATTTTTGACCCACAGAACTCGCTGCATTCTCTCAACGCTGGGACAGCTGAGGCCGAGGGAGTAGAAACCCTTAGTTCAAGGTCGTACACCAATTCAGCAGCAGGACTGGGCCTCTTTTTCCCATACCTGCCTCCTGTACCCAAACTCCTGCCCCATCGCTGGTCAGAGACACTCACAGGGGACCTGTGGCTGAGTGGTTCCCTTTCTGAAGTGGTTGGGAGCTTTGGGAGAGGCTTCCCCTCTCCTCATCAGGTGCTTCTTTAGCTGCGCCTCCTGCTGCCTACGCAAGGCCACCTGGGCAGCCATGACCCTGCGGCGCTCCCTAAAAGTGGGGAGTTGCAAGTCAAAGGTCAGCCACCCTTTGGAGGAGGCTCATCCTCCTCCCCTCCCAGACCTCATACTCACAGGATGAGGACACATTTGTGACACTCGCAAGCCTGGAAGAGGCAGAGGCGCTTGTGGCCCTTGAGATGGGCGGTGACACCATGGTTGCGGCAGCGGGCGCAGGTTGGAGAGCGGCTGATGGCTCTCCTGGGGATCAGCTCTGTGCTCTGGGGGTCTCTGGTCTCATCCCAGGGGGCAGAGTCTAAGGGGCAGTGGTAGCCAGCAGGCATGTCACTGGGTTCCATGGATCTAGGGGCAGGAGTGGAAGGTAAGCATAGCCAGGTGGGCCTGCCCCTAACAACCCTCCTGCCCTGGAGACCACACCTGCAGGTCTCCATCCTGCCCCTCTTTAGACCCCGCCCTGATTCTGGCTTCTTTCCCAGCTTTCTCCCCTCTTTACCCCATGACATTTCTCAGGTATCTTCCTTCTTCAGAAACCCCTCTCCTCTTCCTCTTCTGTGTTCTTTCTTTTTTTTTTTTTTTTTTTTTGAGATGGAGTCTCACTCTGTCTCCCAGGCTGGAGTGCAGTGGCACGATCTTGGCTTGCTGCAACCTCCACCTCCCGGGTTCAAGCGATTCTCCTGCCTCAGCCTCCTGAGTAGCTGGGATTACAGGCAAGAGCCACCATGCCCGGCTATTTTTTTTTATTTTTGTATGTTTAGTAGAGATGGTGTTTCACCATGTTGGCCAGGCTGGTCTCGAACTCCTGGCCTCAAGTGATCTGCCTGTCTCGGCCTCCCAAAGTGCTGGAATTACAGCCATGAGCCACTGCACCCGTCCCCCCTTTTTTTAATTTAAAAATTTTTAGGCCGGGTGCGGTGGCTCAAGCCTATAATCCCAGCACTTTGGGAGGCCAAGGCGGGTGGATCACAAGGTCAGGAGATCGAGACCATCCTGGCTAACACAGTGAAACCCTGTCTCTACTAAAAATACAAAAAATTAGCTGGGCGTGGTGGCGGGTGCCTGTAGTCCCAGCTACTCCAGAGGCTGAGGCAGGAGAATGGCGTGAACCCGGGAGGCAGAGCTGGCAGTGAGCCATGATCGCGCCACTGCACTTTAGCCTGGGTGACGGAGCAAGACTCTGTCTCAAAAAAAAAATTTTTTTTTAATTGTTTTTTATTTTTATAGAGACAAGGTCTCATTATGTTTCCCAGGCTGGTCTGGTCTCGAACTCCTGGGCTCAAGCGATCCTCCTGCCTTGGCCTCCCACAGTGCTAGGATCAGAGGCATGAGCTGCTGCGCCCGACATTCTGTATTCTTTCAATTCAAACATTCTTTTCTTTCAATCCAAACACTTTCCCACCCACACACACATCCTAGGTTCCAACCTACTCATGTCCTCACATACCCCTTCAGCGAGTCCTACATCCCCTTTTCACAAGCACCCTGTTCCGTCCCAACAGTGTTTCCTGGCATCCTCTTCAACAATGCTCACCCCACTCTCATGCATTCATCCAATGCCTACCAGTAGTTTTATGCCCCTTTCAATTCTTAGTTCAATTTCAATTCTTAGTCTCATCTATGCCCTGCAAAGCAACTGCCTCCTTGCATTCCTTTAGTCTTATTTTGTTCTTGTACCCCTTTAAATCAGAACCCTCTCTTGCACCCCCAATAATTACCTTATTCTCATGGATTCCCTGCTCCACTTTCTTTTTTTTTTTATTGACAGGGTCTCGCTCTGTTGCCCAGGCTGGAGCGCAGTGGCGTGATCATGGCTCACTGCAGCCTCCACCTCCTGAGCTCAAGCAATCCTCCTGCCGCAGCCTCCCCAGTAGCTGGGACTACAGGCTGGAGCCACTATGCTTGGCTCCCCTGTCCCACTTTCTTTCTTTCTTTTTTTTTGTTTTGAGATGGAGTCTCACTCTGTAGCCCAGGCTGTAGTGCAGTAGTGCAATCCCGGCTCACTGCAACCTCCGCCTCCTGGGTTCAAGCAATTCTCCTGCCTCAGCCTCCCGAGTACCTGGGATTACAGGCCTGTGCCACCACGCCCGTCTAATTTTTGTATTTTTAGTAGAGATGGGGTTTCACCATGTTGGCCAGGCTGGTCTTGAACTCCTGACCTGCCTCAAGCGACCTGCCTGCTTCGGCCTCCCAAAGTGTTGGGATTACAGGCATGAGCCACCGCACCCGCCACCTGCCCCACTTTCAAGTTATTTTCCTTCACTCCTTCATTCATTCCACAAATGGTTACTGAGCCCCTGTCATGTGCTAGGCCCTGATCTGGGCCAAAAACCTTCTCCTTGGGGCACTAATGTCTCTCTTGCGCTCACACCTTATTCAGGTTTTTGTGTAAACATGTGAAGTCACTGTGTCCAGCGCTTCCTGCTCCTGTGGCCACTACCAACAATTAATTTCATGCATGTCCCCCTCCCCCCTTCCCGTGCCCCAGGGAGCGAGTGGGGAACCGGGAACGCGCCAAGGGGCCCGCGAGGCAGGGAAGGGGAGAGGGGGCGCGAGGGCGGGAGGGGCGCGAGGGGGAGGAGAGGGGATGCCTGGGTTAGGGAGTCCGGCTAAGAGGGAGGAGGACGGAAAGGCAGGAGGGACCGTGTTCGTGCAGCTAGTTCACGGTTACCACAGCCTCCAATGGAGTCAGATTCAGTCAAGAAGACGCCCAAAGACACTGTGAGAAAGTGGCCAGAGGAACCGCCAAGCTCGCGCTGCTTTTCTTACCCTGTCTCACAAAGACCAATGAACTTCAAGCATCGCCTCTCTCAGCCGAGGCAGACGACCAATGCGGTTTGAGATCCTGAACTGATGTCCCGCCCCTTCCCTTCTGCCAGCTTCTTGGCGCACAAGACTATCAGTCCCACCAATAGCGCTTCGAGTTGAGCCTCGCGCCACCGCTGCCTCTCCCTCCGCACGTCCTGCCCGCCCAGACTGTCTTCCCCCTTTCGAGGCAGGTGGCCAATGGGGCGTCGAGTACCCCTTATTGGACCGAGGCTGGCCCCGCCCCCCAGGAACGGCCCGCCTGGCCCCGCCCCTGGGGCGTTGACCAAGCCCGGTCTGTGCACGGGTTGCCTCGTTTCTGGCCTTCCCTTGCCTTGTACCTCGACTTCGCGCGTGGCTTGTTTTTGCTGAGTGGAGGCCTGCGTTTTCTGTTATGTCTCTTCCGGTGCCCCACAACTCCTGAGCTACCCTTCTTTTATGCGTTCTCTCCCAGCGCTGTGATTACCGGGTTGCTTACCGGGCCCTCCTTCCTCAGATTGCACCCCTTTCCTTGTGTCTCTTCTTGTCTTTGTGTCGGTTGTGATTTTCCTAATCTCTGATTTTCCTTTTCTCTCGGACGCTCTCCCTCTTCGGACCCATTTTCTCCCGTGCTTCATGCCCTGATAGCCTGGCCCCTTCCCGGCTTCCTTCGCTACCGGGGACGCCTCTAGTTTTTCTGAATTTCTGGCTGGCTCCACCCTCCGCGTTCATCTTCCTCAAGAGTTCGCCCCTCTGGGGGCTCCTCTGTGTAATCGTCGCCTTCTCTGGGTATTTCTGTGAACTCCGTCTCACACCATCCCGCCATCTTCTCTGCCTTGGCCCCTTTTCTCTGTACAGCCAGCTCTGTGTCCTTTTCTTCTCCCCCTCTAAAATCGACTCCTCTTCTCCCTGAGAGCCCCACCTTTGTGCCCCACTCCTCATTTTCCTACGCCTCCCTCTCTCTGCTGGTCCTCTCTCTCCCTGCAAGGTTCCATTCCATCAATTTGTTTGTCTTTTGTAGGGGTGGCATCCCCTCTGACTACTGCTCCATCCTTTTTTTTTTTTTTTTTTTTTTTTTTTTTGCTTGAGGATTTCACTTCAATCTTTTCTGGTTGCGTCTCCACTTGTACTCAGCTTGTTAGGTCCAGGTCCAGTTGTTCTGCATCTGAGGCTGGCGTGTGCTGTCTTCTCTGATTGGCCTAATCTCCCTCACCCCCGTGAGATCTGTTGTCAGCCTTCGTTTCTCTTTCCTGTGTCCCAGCTTTTCTGCGGGTCTTGGCACCTTTCTTGGCCACAGATTTCTGGGTTACAGAGCATGTGTGTCTGAGGCATTGCAGGCAGAAAAGGGTGGCCGACGTGACCTCTAGCTGGACTGCTGGGCAGGGGAGCTGTCCTAGATAAAATTGGAAAGGTTGGGTGGCGCTTATCTGGGGTGGGGTGGGGTGTGGTCGGGGGAGGCTTAAAGGCCAGCTAAAGAGGTTGAACTTGATCCTTTAGGTAGTGGAGAGAGAGTGAGAGGAAGTGTGTGTGGGAGGGAGGGATAGTGGTAGAGGAACAGGGTAACCAACGATTATAAAGAGCTTAGCATTTGCCTAATACTTATGGTAATAATTTTATTGATCTTCACAATGACCCTATGAGATGTATTATACTTCATTTTATAAAGAAGGTAGTAGGCTCTGAGTTCAACAAATTGGACAGCTAGTAAATGAAGGGGTAAAGATTCCAACCTGGGTCTCTGAGGCCAAGGTCAGTGATCTTTGTACCCCCTCCTACACTGTTATTTTCCACCAATTCCCCACTTTCATTCCCTAACCTTCTTATAGGCAATTCTCATTCTAAGGTGGTTAATATGTATCTTTTGGTTTGTGTGTGTGTTCTCCCAGGATGTGTGTAGTGTTGTTGTTGGGGTTTTTTTTTTTTTTTTTTTTTTTTTTTTTTTTTTTTTTTTTTTTTAGCGATGGGGTTTTGCCATATTAACCAGGCTGGTCCAGAACTCCTGGCCTGAAGTGATCTGTCTGCCTTGGCCTCCCAAAGTGCTGGGATCACAGGCATGAACGACCACACCCGACCTCTGTTTGAGTTTTTAATTTATGCAAGTGATATTATGTTATATACTATTTGTAATAATCAGCACTGTGATTTTACAATCTATCCATGTACACATTCTGTCATTCTGTCATGATGTGTACTTTTTTTTTTTTTTTTTTTTTTTTTTTTTTTTGTTTAGACGGAGTTTCACTCTTATTGCCCAGGCTGGAGTGCAATGGTGTGATCTTGGCTTACTGCACCCTCCACCTCCTGGGTTCAAGCAATTCTTCTGCTGCCACAGCCTCTTGAGTAGCTGGGATTACAGGCTCCCACCACCACACTCGACTAATTTTTGTATTTTTAGTAGAGTCAGGATTTTGCCATGTTGACCAGCTTGGTCTTGAACTCCTGACCTCAGGTGATCCGCCCACCTCAGCCTCCCGAAGTGCTGGGATTACAGGCGTGAGCCACTGTACCCTGCCTCACATCCTGTGTACATCTAATCAACTTCTTCCAACTCCTGCGTGATATTCCATAGCGTACATCCCCAGCATGTTTTGCATTCACTTGGTCTCAGAGAGGGAAGCTCCCATTGTCTCAACCTACCATCACCACAATAATGCTGCATTCTCTGGGCATGGGAGCTCATGCCTGTAATCCCAGCACTTTGGGAGGCCGAGGTGGGTGGATTGCTTGAGCCCAGGAGTTTGATAACAGCTGGGGCAACATGGAAAAACTCCATCTCTACAAAGCTGGGTGTGTTGGCGCACACCTGTAGTCCCAGCTATTTGGGTGGCCGAGGTGAGAGGATTGCATGAGCCTGGCAGGTGGGGGCTGCAGTGAGCACAGCTGTCCTCCAGCCTGGGCAACAGAGCGAGACCCAGTCTCAGAAAAAAAAAATGCTGCATTATTGTGCATGTTCCTTTGTAGATGAAGGTGGACATTTTTGTAATACCTATGTAGGGTATACTGGAAATGGGTATTTATAAACCCAATTTGACCATGTAGTGTCAGACCCCTGCAATGCTGCTTTGGGCCTGAGATCCTGGTCAGAACTCTCAACTCCTTTGTTTCTCAGAGTCCAGAAATAGTGTTTTATTCCCCAGCCCTCCAAATAATGCCATGAGCATCAGGGGCCAAGGGTTCCTTTATCCCCACATACCTGCCAACACTTGTCTTTTCCCAGCTTTCTGATCCTTACCAGTCTGATAGATGTACAATTTGACAGATTGCATTTCCTTGGTTATTGCTGGGTTTGTGCATTTCTTCACTTTTTTTTTTTTTTTTTTTTTGAGACAGGGTCTTGTTCTATTGCCCAGGCTGGAGTGCAGTGGCATGATCTCGGCTCACTGCAACCTCTGGCTTCCGGGTTCAAGTGATCCTCCCTCCTCAGCCTCCCTAGTAGCTGGGACTGCAGGCACGTACCACCACACCGGGCTAATTTTTGTATTTGTAGTAGAGACAGTGTTTCACCTTGTTGGCCAGGCTGGTCGCGAACTCCTGACCTTGTGATTTGAGGCTAAAGCAATCCTTCAACATTAGCCTCCTGAGTAGCTGGGACTACAGGCACTCCCATGCTTGGCTAATTTTTAAACTTTTTTTTTTTTTTGGTATAGACAAGGTGTTGCCCAGGCTGGTCTCAAATTGCTGACCTCGAGCAGTCCTGGCTCAGCCTCCCAAAGCACTGGAATTACCGGCATAAGCCACTGTGTTGCCCAGGCTGGTCTTGAACTCCTGACCTCAAGGGATCCTCCTGGCTCAGCCTCCCAAAGCACTGGGATTAGAGGCATGAGCCACTGTGCCGGCCTGCATCTTCTCCCTTGATCAGATTTGCCAGCGAACTAACTAAATCTTTTCATAGAATGGATCTTTTTTGTAATAATGTTTGTTGTTGTTTACTATTTCATTGATTTCTGCTATCATCCTTATTTCCATTCTTTTTTGGGTAGGAGAGAATTGCTTTGTTGCTCCTTATACAATTTCTTGAACTAGTTCATGAATATATTTATTTTTTAATGCTTCACATTTCCTGATACATGTATTTAAAAGTATAAATTTACTTCTAAATACTGCTTTAGCTGTGTCTCAAATTTTGATGTATATATTTTATTTTATTTTTTTTTTTTTTGAGACGGAGTTTCGCTCTGTCGTCCAGGCTGGAGTGCAGCGTCGCAATCTTGGCTCACTGCAAGCTCCGCCTCCCGGGTTCACACCATTCTCCTGCCTCAGCCTCCCAAGTAGTTGGGACTACAGGCGTCCACGACCATGCCTGGCTAATTTTTTTGTGTTTTTAGAGATGGGGTTTCACCGTGTTAGCCAGGATGGTCTTGATCTCCTGACCTCGTGATCTGCCTGCCTCGGCCTCCCAAAGTGCTGGGATTACAGGCGGGAGATACTGTGCCCGGCTGTATATATTTTAAAAACCCTTTAATTTTGAAATGATTGTTGGCTCACAGGAAGTTGCAAAAGTGGTACATAGAGTCCCTTGGATCCTTCCTCCAGTTTCCCTGTAGGGGCATCTTATATAACCATAGTATATGAGCAGGAAATTGACATTTGTACAATACTGTTTGTACAGTCATAGCTCACTGCAACCTCCATCCCCGGGGCTCAAGTGGTCCTCCCACCTCAGCCTCCCAAGTAGCTGGGACCACAGGTGCATGCCACCATGCCTGGCCAATTTTTGTATTTTTTGTAGAGATGGCATTTTGTCGTGATGCCTGGGCTGGTGTACAGTACTCTTACCTAGACTTCAGACCTTATTCAGTTTACAGCAGATTTTACATGCACTTATGTGTGTGTGTGTGTGTGTATGTGTGTGTCTGTCTGTGTCTATGTCTGTGTGTGAATGTGTGTGTTATGTAATATGTTTATTATTATTCAGTTCTAAATACTTTTTTTTTTTTTGAAATGGAGTCTCTGTCTCTGTTGCCCAGCCTGGAGTGCAGTGGCGCGATCTCGGTTCACTGCAACCTCCGCCTCCTGGGTTCAAGCGATTCTCATGCTTCAGCCTCCTGAGTAGCTGGGACTATAGGCTCGTGCCACCACCCCTGGCTAATTTATATTTTTTAGTAGAGATGGGGTTTTACCATTTTGGCAGGCTGGTCTTGGACTCCTGACCTCTGGTGATCCACCTGCCTTAGCCTCCCAAAGTGATGGGATTACAGGCGTGAGCCACTGCTCCTGACCTCAGTTCTAAATACTTTTAAATTTCCATGTTGAACCAAGGGTTATTTAGTGATATGTTAACTTACACACACACACACACACACACACAACACACACGAGTTTGAAACATCTATTTGTTTCTCTGATCTCATTGCCTCTGGCTGGAGAACAGCCTGCATATCAGTAAGCCAGGATTCTCTGCTCAGCACCTTGTCCAATGGGAGGACCTAAGTGGGAGAGTGAGAGTCCTGCTTTGAGAAGCTAAGATGGTGGATGGTGCAGGTTAGACTGGAGGGCAGACAGTGGAGATGGGAAGACCTGTGACCCAGAAGGTCTGAGGGAGCCTATGTCCTAGAAGCTGATGCAATCAACTTTCTGCTCCAGAAACAGTGACCCAGAGACAGGTGGACAAAGAATTCGGGGACTGATGGGAACTGAGCTTGGGATCCAGACTGAAACTGATTCCAGACTGACCTCTAGCACCCAGGACCCAGACACAGGGCCATGGGACCCCAGCATTTGAGACTTGTGCAGCTGTTCTGCCTTCTAGGGGCCATCTCCACTCTGCCTCGTATGTCCTGTGGGGCTGGATGCTATAAGACCCAGAAAGGTGGGAGGCTGGATTCATGTCACTGGTGGAACGAGGGCTGGGTATCTAGGTTTCGCTGGGGACAGGACCTGTGGGGGCTGAACTCTTGGTTGGCAGTTAACGGGCTCAGAAGATGATATGAGGGGCCAATGACTGGGAGAGCATTCTCTTTTTAGGGGCTGGAGCTCTTTTGTGCTATGAAGCAACAGCCTCAAGATTCAGAGCTGTTGCTTTCCATAACTGGAAGTGGCTTCTGATGAGGAACATGGTGTGTAAGCTGCAAGAGGGCTGCGAGGAGACGCTAGTGTTCATTGAGACAGGTGAAGCAGTCTAAGTTTGATCAATTTCGTTTTGCTTGCTCTTCTGACCCCCAGCTCCACTCCCAGCACCGAGGGACTGTAGATTAGAATTCCACATAGTTACTATACATATATATATATATGTATATATATTTTTTTTAATTTTTTTTGAGATGGGGAGTTCTTACTATGTTGCCCAGGCTGGTCTCAAACTCCTGAGCTCAAGCGATCTGCCCACCTTGGCCTCCCAAAGTGTCCGGATTACAGGCATAAGCCACTGTGCCTGGCCATCATTTATATCTGGATAATGTCAGGACACTGGCAGGAGAGGGGCAGGGCCCCACTGGTTGTGTTGTGGGCTGGGTAAGTGGGTAGAATGGAGGTGGACAGATCCCTGGAGGAGGGCACAAGGGAGAGAGGAGTGGGGGCTGGGGGAGGTCCTGCAGTGGAAGAATGAGGAGATCCAGATGGAGACCCCAGCATCTGAGCCCTGTGCAGCTGCACTGAGTGGACACAGGGGTTGGGGAGGGAGGCACAGATTGTGACAGGCAGGGTGGGTGCAGAAAGAGCTGGGGGGAGGGAGGACTCTGGGTGAGGCCAGTGACACTGATCTGAGCTCTCTCAATCCTCTGCTCCTCAGGGACTGCAAGGGGAGTCGTGGGCTTTAAAGGCTGCAGCTCGTCTTCGTCTTACCCTGCGCAAATCTCCTACCTTGTTTCCCCACCCGGAGTGTCCATTGCCTCCTACAGTCGCGTCTGCCGGTCTTATCTCTGCAACAACCTCACCAATTTGGAGCCTTTTGTGAAACTCAAGGCCAGCACTCCTAAGTCTATCACATCTGCGTCCTGTAGCTGCCCGACCTGTGTGGGCGAGCACATGAAGGATTGCCTCCCAAATTTTGTCACCACTAATTCTTGCCCCTTGGCTGCTTCTACGTGTTACAGTTCCACCTTAAAATTTCAGGCAGGTGAGAGGAGAGGAATATTGTTTATCAAATGCCTACTCTCTGCCAGGCATTGTCCAGCACCTTCACATCTCAGAGAGGCTGGTGGGATCCAGAGATGGGATTGGGGTTGCAAGGGACAGGGCACATGAATTCCAAGGAGGAAGGGGAAGGCGCCTGGTGCCTAAGTCTCTCATGGGAGAGCAGGTGTTCTGGTTTGTGAGGGGCCTCTGGGGAGAAGGCAGGGGCCTTTTTTTTTTTTTTGAAATGGGAGTCTTGCTCTGTTGCCCAGGCTGGAGTGCAGTGGTCCGATCTCGGCTCACTGCAACCTCTGCCTCCCAGGTTCAAGTGATTCTCATACCCTAGCCTCCTAAGTAGCTGGGATTATAGGCATGTGCCACCATACCTGGCTAATTTTTGTATTTTTAAGGGAGATGGGTTTTTGCCATGTTGGCCAGGCTAGTCTCAAACTCCTGGCCTTAAGTCCTCAAGTGATCCACCTGCCTCGGCCTCCCAAAGTGCTGGGATTACAGGTGTGAGCCACTGCACCTGGCTGAAGGCAGGGCTCTTGAGTCTTGAAAGTGTTCCTGACTTCTCCCTCTCTTCCTTACAGGGTTTCTCAATACCACCTTCCTCCTCATGGGGTGTGCTCGTGAACATAACCAGCTTTTAGCAGATTTTCATCATATTGGGAGCATCAAAGTGACTGAGGTCCTCAACATCTTAGAGAAGTCTCAGATTGTTGGTGCAGCATCCTCCAGGCAAGATCCTGCTTGGGGTGTCGTCTTAGGCCTCCTGTTTGCCTTCAGGGACTGACCATCTAGCTGCACCCGACAAGCACCCAGACTCTTTCACATAACAAATAAAATAGCAGAGTTCCCTTTCTGCATTGTCCTGTGGTCCATGAGAGAGCAGGGGTGAGGAAGGTGTGAGGAAGGCCAAGCATGTCCAGGGAGGTGGGGACCCAGGAAGAGGAGCCTGGCAAAGTGACAGTGTCCTGCCCAGCAACTGGGGGAGCTGAAATATTCCTTTTCTCCTTCCCCTTCCTCTGGAGGCTTGAGCTCCAGCCTGGGTTCAGCTACTAATCAGGGTCTGATTTCCGAGACCCTGGCCAAATCTCTCCCTTTTTATGGGCCTCAGTTTCCTCCTCTTTAAAAGGAAGGGTCTTATGAGTTAGAGAAGAGCCTCCTCAGGCCAATTCTTTTTTTTTTTTTTCCTTTTTTTGACATGGGGGTCTGTCTCACTATGTTGCCCGGTCTGGTCTCGAATCTTTGGCCTCAAGTGATCCTCCTGCCTCAGCTTCCCCAGTAGCTGGGATTTTACATGGGAGCGACTGTGTTTGACCACCAGGGTGATTATTATCTGGGATTACTTACTGAGTATCTACTATGTGTGCCAGACACTGTGCTAGTATCTGTGCTAGTGTTTTACATACAGGATATCATTTAATCCTCACAAGACCTCAGTGAGGCAGCTTTTGTCTCTATTTTGCAAAGAAGAAACTAGCTCTAGGAGGTGAAACCTGCTCAAAGTAGCATCTCCCTTACCTCCCCTGCAGATTTCTGTCCCTGCTGAGGCAATTTCATTGAGAGATTTGGAGACTTGAGATTATTTTATCTGCTCAGTAGTTGTTTTTTTTTTTTTTTTTTTTTTTTTTTTTTTTTTTTTTTTGGTAAGTTGGCAAATAGGGGAGAGAGGAAAGAGCAGGGCTGGGGTGGTTGTTTTTCACCCGGAGTTTTGGTTCTGGGTTCCTAGGAAAGGAGAACAGTGTGATTCTTTTCTCTGGCCATAAGGGGGCAGCAGATACACTCACCCTGCAACTTCATGCCTTTTTAAGTTGAGTGAATGAGTGTGTGTGTGTGTGTGTGAGACAGAGTTTGTGTGTTTAGGGGTGGGAAGTAGGGAATGGAGAGTCGCTGTGTCAGGCCATTTATGTGTGGGAGCTCAGTTTAATTCTCTCCCACTATCTTGTGAGGTTTAGAGGCAGTGACGTAGGGTACCTTTACTGTGGGTTAGGCATTTTCTGTGCATTACCTCGTTCATCCTTACTACAACCTTATTAAATAGATGTCATCACTTCTGTATTTGCATTTTACAGGCGAGGACACAGGCTTAACTCCTCAAGGCCACGGAGCTGACCTTTGTTAGTAGCTTGAGCAAGTGGGGTCTGAAGCACACGTGCCTGCACCTGGCCTCAGAAGTGGGACTGACACGAGGTTTCGGTTACCATGGACCTCTGTGACCTCCATGACCAATCTAGGTTCTGGAAGGGGTGGTTGGGAAGCCAGAATAGTCACAGCAAGTGGAACAGGGCTAGGTGGAGACCAGCGAGCCTACGACAAGAGGCTTTAGGTCATAGAGGGAGGTTTTAGTAGATGAGTTTTATCAGTGGGCTTCGCCCACCTCTTCCTAACATCTGACCAGCTGGGCTATTAGTTTTAGAAGGCTGAGCTGAGGCCTGGGTGGGCCAAGACATACTTCCACAGATTGTCTTCATCCCACTAGCCAAGGTGGTTGAGGACATCAATGACCTTCAAAGGGAATTAACAAGTCAAAGGAAATGGTGTCCTAGGTGTCACAAATGGATGGCTTAATCCTGATACCAGGGACAGGACATATTTGCTACATACAAAGGATTATATGTAACAAAAATATTGGATGTGGAGTGTGATTTAACAAACCCCATGGACTCATCACTTAGCCCAAGAAATGGAGCATCAGGAGTAACTTGCTTTTTACCTGTGTTCTTTTCCCCATCCACTCCTTTGCCTCCTCCCATGAGGAAGCAATATTTTATTTAGTTTGGCTTGGATTGGATTTTTATATACTTTGTCATGTATGTATTATACCTTTAAACAATAAATATTGTTTAGATTTGCCTGGTTTTGAGCTCTGTAAAAATGGTATCATATGTAGTTTTCTGGAACTTGCTTTTTATATTATTATTGTTATTTTTAGAGACAGGGTCTTGCTGTATCACCCAGGCTGGAACTTAGTGACAGGATCATGGCTCACTGCAGCCTTGACCTCCCAGGCTCAAGTGATCCTCTCGTTTCAGCCTCCCGAGTAGCTGGGACTACATGCATGTGCCACAACACTCCACTAATTTTTTAAATTTTTAGTAGAGACAAGGTCTTGCTATGTTGCCCAGGCTTGGAACTTGCTTTTAAACAACTCGTCATTATGTTTCTAACATTCACCCACGTTCCCGTGTGGGACTTTGTTCTTCCATTTTCACTGTTGTATGACATCCTACTGTGCTATTGTACAGTAGGATCTGTACAATTGATCTATTCTCTGTCAATTATGTGTGGATTTCTTCCCCAGTTTTTGGATACTCTGGCTACTGCCGCTATGAATATTCTTATGCATGTCCTCTTGTACATGTCTTGTACATATGTGTAAGAGTTTCTCATAGGTATACACCCAGGAGTACAATTGCTGGCTGTAGGGTTTGTTCAGCTTTGGGAGTAAATGCTAAATTGTTTTCCAAAATGGTTGTAGCAGTTATACATTACTGGTGAGAGGGTAAAGAATTTTTGTTGAAATACATGCCCTTCAACTGTTCACACTTAAAAATTTTTGCCACTCTGTTGGGTATGAAATGATATCTCATTAGGGTCTGAATTTGTATTTTCCTGGTTACTAAGTAGGTTGAGCTTCTTTTCATATGTGCATTGACTGTGCTGCTTTTGTAAAATGACCATTTTGGTGGGGGCTGTATTGTTCTATAGGGTTAACTTTTTCTTCTTGATATGTAAGCTTTCTTTTATATTTTATATATTATATACTAACCCTTTGTTAGATTATTTGTCTTCATTCCTTATGG
The DNA here is from genome assembly GCF_000001405.40 of Homo sapiens. Lineage (NCBI taxonomy): Eukaryota > Metazoa > Chordata > Mammalia > Primates > Hominidae > Homo > Homo sapiens. The sequence goes on along the minus strand of NC_000019.10, from coordinate 41,834,129 downwards.
TTTTTTTTTTTTTTTTTTTTTGAGACAGAGTTTCGCTCTTGTTGCCCAGGCTGGAGTGCAATGGTGCGGTCTCGGCTCACTGCAACCTGCGCCTCCCGGGTTCATGTGATTCTCCTACCTCAGCCTCCCGAGTAGTTGGGATTACAGGCATGCGCCACCACACCCAGCAATTTTGTATTTTTAGTAGACACAGGGTTTCTCCATGTTGGTCAGGCTGGTCTCAAACTCCCGACCTCAGGTGATCCGCCCACCTCGGCCTCCCAAAGTGCTGGGATTACAGGCATGAGCCACCGCGCCTGGCCTCTCAATTTTTTAAGGTCGTTAATATTTTTCAATAAAGTTAAAAAGTTTTCTGTATTAGGATTTGGTACATCTTTTGTTATATTTAGTCTAAAATAATCTGTAGTATTTATTGTTATTATAAATGGTGTCTCTTAAAAGTTATATTTTCTGTTTGTTTCTAACGTATAGACGCGAAATTGATTTTTTTTTTTTAGACAGAGTCTCACTCTGTCACCTAGGCTGGAGTGCAGTGGTGTGATCTCGGCTTACTGCAACCTCTGCTTACCGGGTTCAAACGATTCTTGTGCCTCAGCCTTCCGAGTAGCTGGGACTACAGGCACGAGCCACCATGTCTGGCTAATTTTTTGTATTTTAGTAGAGATGGGGTTTCACCATGTTGGCCAGGCTGGTCTCAAACTCCTGAGCTCAGGTAATCCACCCACTTCGGCTTCCCAGAATGCTAGAATTACAGGCGTGAGCCACCATGCCTGGTCGCAATTGATTTTTGTATAGTATATTGATCTTAAAGCCAGGCTTCTTTCTAGACTCTTTTATAACTTCTAATAATTTGTTTGTAGGCTTTTTTTGGGGTTTTCTGGGCAGATAATAATAACCTGTTAATAACAACAGCTGGCCCGGGGTGGTGGCTTACACCTGTAAAAAAATAAAAATTAACTCAGTGTGGTGGCGTGTGCCTGTACTTCCAGCTATTTGGGAGGCTGAGGTGAGAGAATCACATGAGCCTAGGAGTTCAAGGCTACAGTGAGCTATGATCATGCCAGTGCATTCCAGCATGGGTGACAGAGCAAGGCCCTGTTTCTAAAAATAATAATAAAAAAAATACTGGCCAGGCGCGGTGGCTCACGCCTGTAATCCCAGCACTTTGGGAGGCCAAGGCGGGTGGATCACAAGGTCAGGAGATTGAGACCATCCTGGCTAACACGGTGAAACCCCATCTCTACTAAAAATACAAAAAAATTAGCTGGGCGTGGTGGCGGACGCCTGTAGTCCCAGCTACTCCAGAGCCTGAGGCAGGAGAATGGCGTGAACCCGGGAGGTGGAGCTTACAATGAGCAGAGATCGCGCCACTGCACTTTAGCCTGGGCAACGGAGCGAGCCTCCATCTCAAAAAAAAAAAAAAAAATACTGACAGCTGATCTGTGTTGGCTAGGCCATCCCAGTACAATATTGACAATGCTGGGCATCCTTGGATTATTCTTTTTTAAAAAATATATTTTGTACAGCTGGTATCTTGTTATGTTGCCCAGGCTGGTCTTGAACTCTTGTCCTCAAGTGATTCTCCTGCCTTGGCCTCCCAAAGTACTGAGATTACAGGTGCCTGCCCTGCCCCTTGGATTCTTCTTTTTTTTTTTTTTTTGAGACAATCTCTCTGTTGCCCAGGCTGGAGTGCAATGGTGTGATCTCAGCTCGCTGCAACCTCTGCCTTCTGGGTTCAAGCAATTCCCATGCCCCAGCCTCCTGAGTACCTGGGACTACAGGCACCTGCCACCACACCTGGCTAATTTCTGTTTATTTGTTTATTTTTTTTTTTATTTGAGATGGAGTCTCACTCAGTCACCCAGGCTGGAGCACAGTGGCACATTCTTGGCTCACTGCAGCCTCTGCCTTCTGGGTTCTAGCAATTCTTGTGTCTCAGCCTCCCGAGTAGCTGGGATTACAGGTGTGTGCCACTATGCCTGGCTGATTTTTGTGTTTTTAGTAGAGATGGGGTTTCACCATGTTGGCCAGGCCGATCTTGAACTCCTGACCTCAAGTGATCCGCCCACCTTGGCCTCCCAAAGTGCTGGGATTACAGGCGTGAGCCATCACACCCAGCCTTAACTTTTGTATTTTTAGTAGAGATGAGGTTTCGCCATGTTGGCCAGGCATGTCTTGAACTTCTGACCTTAAGTGATCTGCTCACCTCAGCCTCCCAAAGTGTTGGGATTACAGGCATGAACCATTGTGCTTGGCCCTCTTGGATTATCCTTGATTTTCAGTGGAATGCTCCTATTTTCCTATTAACAATGATTTTTTTTTGGTTGCTGTTTTTTTTGCTTTCTTTTTTGGGGGTTGGGGGGATAGATGTGCTTTAGCAGAGTAAGGAAGTTCTCTTCTATCCTAGTGTAATATTTTTAAGAAATGGATGGCAAATGTTATTAGTTTTTTTTGGATTTTTTTTTATAGAGACAGGGTCTTGCTATGTTGCCCAGGCTGGTTTCAAACTTTTGGCCTCAAGCAATCTTGCTGCCTCAGCCTCCCCAAATACTGGAATTACAGGCATTAGCCCCCACACCCAGCTCAGGAAATATTATTACATGATTTTTCTGCATCTATTGAGATAGTCATGAGTTTTCCCTTTATTCTCTTAATATGGCAAGTAATATATACTTTAAAATACTTAAAAAATTGATACATTACTTATATATAGAAAAGTGCATAGATTATAAATGTATTATTTGATGCCTTTTCAAAAATTGAACACACCCATGTAAATAGTAGCTAGATAAGGAAACAAAACCTTCCTAGCACCCTAGAAGCTCCCTCATGCCCCCTTCCACTTATATATTTCTTTTTTTTAAAAAAGACATTTATTCAGCATCACGATCAGACTATTACATTTAGCGATCAACAGCATCGATGCAAAAAAAAATCTACATTAAAACTCTTTGTTGGAATGCTTTACATTTTCCACAGAACAGAGACTAAAATAACCTGTTATACAATTAGTTGCAAATACAGTCCTCGAGTTTTTTGCCCATACACGTGAGTATTTGTCTAAAACATGTCTTCTTTTTAGCAGCTAGGCCCTGCCACCACTGTGCGTGGCTGAGTTCACAAATCTGTTGTAACCTGTAGCTTCCCTGTCACTTCTCTGGCTCTCCTCTCCTGCTAAGCTTTGTTTTCTAATTAAAATCTTCTGCCACTGCCATAGCTACTGCTGCTACTGGAACCGCCATAGCCACCTTGGTTTCGTGGTTTGGCAAATATTGGCCTCCACCACTATAGGGGCCAGAGCTTCTGCCTCCAAAGTTTCCTCTCTTCATGGGTCCAAAATTTGAAGACTGATTGTTGTAATTGCCAAAATCATTGTAGCTTCCACTACGTCCAAAGTTGCTTCCATCATTACCAAATCCATTATAGCCATCCCCACTGCCACCATATCCACCAACAACATGGCTGCCACCAAAGCCACCATGACCACTGAAGTTTCCTCCATGACCAAAGTTGTCATTCCCACCAAAACCACCTCCATGACCACCACCAAAATTTCCAGAACTGCTTTGATCTCTTTGGCTGGATGAAGCACTAGGTATCTCTTGCTTTGATAGGGCTTCCCTAATTTCACAGTTGTGGCCATTCACAGTATGGTATTTCTGAATGATAATCTTACCCACGGAGTCACGGTCATCAAAGGTTAGAAAGGCAAAGCCCCTTTTCTTGCCACTGCCTCGGTCAGTCATGATTTCAGTCACTTCAATTTTTCCATACTGTTCAAAATAATCTCTTAGGTGATGTTCTTCAGTGTCTTCTTTTTTTTTTTTTTTTTTAGACAGAGTCTCAGTCTGTCGTCCAGGCTGGAGTGCAATGGCGCAACCTTGGCTCACCACAACCTCCGGCTCCTGGGATCAAGTGATTTTCCTGCCTCAGCCTCCCGAGTAATTGGGATTACAGGCATGCACCACCATGCCCAGCTAATTTTGTATTTTTAGTAGAGACGGGGTTTCTCAAGTTGGTCAGGCTGGTCTTGAACTCCCGACCTCAGGTGATCTGCCCTCCTCGGCCTCCCAAAGTGCTGGGATTATAGGCATGAGTCACCACACCTGGCCTTCAGTGTCTTCTTTAATGCCACCAACAAATATCTTTTTCACAGTTAACTGGGCACCTGGTCTTTGAGAATCTTCTCTTGAGACAGCTCTCTTTGGTTCCACAACTCTTCTATCCACCTTGTGCGGCCTAGCATTCATGGCGCATCTGCCTCCTTCACAGTGGCATATGTGACAAGCCCAAAGCTCCTGGAGCGCTTGGTGTTTGGATCTCTCATTACCACACAGTCCGTGAGCATTCTCCATTGCTCAAAATGGCTTCTCAGGCTCTTATCAGTTGTTTCAAAGCTCAATCCTCCAATGAAGAGCTTCCTCAGCTGTTCAGGCTCTTCGGGACACTCTGACTTAGACATGACGGCAGGGAGAACTGAGACTCTAACGATGCTTCTTTGGCGGCGTCCATGGGCAGAAAAGCCCACTTATAGATTTATAATGTTAAATCACCTTTTTGCTTTTCCTGGAACAAACAAAACCTAGTCATAGTGTTTCATTTTTAAATATGCTGTTGATTTGATTTCCTAATGCCTTGTTTAGGTTTTTATGCATCTCTGTTCATGAATGTGATTGGCCTGATAATTTCCTCTTTTGTACTCTTTTTTTGGTTCTGGTTTCAATATCAAGTTTATACTAACCTAATAGAATGAGTTGGGGAAATACTCCTTCCTTTTCTTCCCTATGGAAGAGTTTGTATAAGATTGAGATGATCCATCATGAAAATTCTGTAGAAATCACTGATAAAACTTCTGGGCTGCACGAAGTCAAGGCTATAGTGAGACGTGATCGTACCACTGCACTCCAGCCTGGACAACAGAGTGAGACCCTGTCTCAAAAACACAAAACCGAAACTAGAACCAAAAACTTTTGGGCTATTTTTTTTCTCTCTTCTGGGCTAGATATTTTTTTCCTCTCTTTTAAAAAACTTTTCATATAGAAAATTTCAAATCATATACAAGGAGAGTTTGTACACAAACATATACACACAAACTCTAGTTTATTTTTTATTTTATTTTGTTTTTATTTTGAGATGGAGTCTCGCTCTGTCGCCCAGGCTGCAGTGCAGTGGTGCGATCTCGGCTCACTGCAAGCTCCGCCTCCCAGGTTCATGCCGTTCTCCTGCCTCAGCCTCCCAAGTGGCTGGGACTACAGGCGCCCGCCACCACGCCTGGCTAATTTTTTTTGTATTTTTAGTAGAGGCGGGGTTTCACCATGTTAGCCAAGATGGTCTCCATCTCCTCACCTTGTGATCCACCCGCCTCGGCCTCCTAAAGTGCTGGGATTACAGGCGTGAGCCACTCCGCCTGTCCCACAAACTCTAGTTTATTATACTGAAGAGAAAGGTATAGTGAACGCCCATGTACCCATCAACAGTTTCAAAAATATCAACTCATGGGCTGGGTGTGATGGCTCACACCTGTAATTTTAGTACTTTGGGAGGCCCAGGCAGGCAGATCCCTTGAGGTCAGAAGTTCAAGACCAGCCTGGCCAATATGGTGAAACCCTATCTCTACTAAAAATACAATAAAAATTAGCCAGGCTTGGTGGCATGTACTTGTAGTCCCAGCTACTTAGGAGGCTGAGGCAGAAGAATCGCTTGAACCCAGAAGGTGGAGGTTGCAGTGAGCTGAGATTGTACCACTGCACTGCAGCCTGGGCAACAAGCGAGATTCCATCTCGAAAATATATATATATATACACTCATGACAAATTTTATTGTATCTATACTCATCTACTCTTTCACCCCCTGGGTTAAATATCAGAAATCATATAATTTTGTTTGTAAACACGTAAGACTCACCCTTGCAATTTAAAAAAAAATCCATATCCATGATGCCCTTCCCCCGAGTCTGCCAGGCTCCAAGTGTACAGAAAATTTCCCTAGACTCATGGTTTTTATACTGAAAAAAGTGAGATGGAGACGGACAAATAGCCTCCCCATTATCTTGGGTTTCCTGACAGGAAACCTGACCCTTTCTCAATCCACAGAAAGCACAGAGAGTGCTTGGAGGGAGAAATATCCCTGAGGATAGGCAGAGACAAGGGTGGGGGAGTCTGCACTACCATCTTCAGTTCTGGAAACTCTGCGCTGCAATTTGGCTAAATGAGACACCAAATATGAGTGGCTTTTCAGCAGCACTATGCTATAGCAGGTTCCTTCCACAGCTGTCCTGAGCACAAACTGCTTATCCAGCCTTCCCACACTACCAGGACCCTTTGGGACTTCTCTCATTTGGGATGGACAACGCTTTGATTTTTTTTTTTTTTTTTTGAGATGGAGTTTTGTTCTTGTTGCCCAGGCTGGAGTGCAATGGCACGATCTCAGATCACCACAATCTCCACCTCCCAGGTTCAAACGATTCTCCTGCCTCAGCTTCCCGAGTAGCTGGGATTACAGGCATGCACCACCATGCCTGGCTAATTTTGTATTTTTAGTAGAGACGGGGTTTCTCCATGTTGGTCAGGCTGGTCACTAACTCCCGACCTCAGGTGATCCGCCTGCCTTGGCCTCCCAAAGTGCTGGGATTACAGGTGTGAGCCACCGTGCCTGGCGTTTTGTTTTGTTTTGTTTTGTTTTTGTTTTGAGACAGAGTCTTGTTATGTTCCCCAGGCTGGTCTTGAACTTTTGGGCTTAAGTGATCCTCCCACCTCAGCCTCCTGAGTAGCTGGGATTACAGGTGTGAGCCACCATGCCTGGCTCTGATTGTTTACTAGAACCAAGGCAAACCAGGGGTTAAGGCATCATTTACTGCCAAAAAAGAGGCAGCAACCTAGTAGGAAAAAAAATCAACAGACAAATTACAAAGAATCTCTAAGCAAATACATCTAATGAAAACCAAAACAAGCCATCCAGACAGGACTGGAATACATAATTATTTAATGCAAAGACATAGATGTAAATCCACAAGAAACAACAGCAAACAGGGAATCATGACTTCCCCAATTGGACAAAGTAGGGAATCAGTGACTGACCCTAAGGAGACTACAGTATGTGAGCTCTCTGACCAAGAATTCAAAAGAGCAGTTTTAAGGAAACTCAGTGATTTAACAAACATATTGAAATAAAACAAACAAACAAAAATCTCAGAACTGGCTGTGCATGGTGGCTTACACTGTAATCTCTGCACTTTTGGAGGCCAAGGCAGGTGGATTGCTTGAGCTCAGGATTTCGAGACCAGCCTGGGCAACATGGCAAAACCCTGTCTCTACAAAAAACCAAAAAATTAACCAGGCATGGTGGTGTGTGCTTGTGGTCCCAGCTACTTGGGAGGCTCAGGCGGGAGGATCACTTGAGCCCAGGATGTCGAGGCTGCAGTGAGCCATGATCATGCCACTGTACTACAACCTAGGGAACAGAGTGAGACATTGTCTCAAAAACAAACAAACAAACAAACAAAAAAACAAAAAAGAGATCTTGGAACTGAGAAATACATTTGCTGAACTGAAAAATTTATTAAAGTCTCTCAACAGCAGAATGGATCAAGCAGAGAAAAGAATCAGTGAGCTCAAACACAGGCTTTTTGAAAATACACAGAGGAGAAAAAAAAGAATGAACAAGAATGATGATCACCTACAAGATATAGAAAATTACCTCAAAAGACCAAATCTGGCCGGGTGTGGTGGCTCCTGCCTGTAATCCCAACTTTGGGAGGCTGAGGTGGGTGGATCACTTGAGGTCAGGAGCTTGAGATTAGCCTGGCCAACATGGTGAAACCCTGTCTCTACTAAAAATACAAAAAAATTTGTTGCAGTGAGCAGAGATCATGCTACTGCACTGCAGCCTGGTGACAGAGTGAGATTCTGTCTAAAAAAAAAAAAAAAGAAAAAAAAAAGAAAAAAAATGCTCCAAACCAAATCTAAAAATTATTAATGTTTAAGAGGGAGTTGGGGAAGAGCAAGAGGTAGAAAGCTTATTCAAAGAAATAAAACAGAAAACTTTCAAAACTAGAAAAAGATAAGTATTTAGGTACAACAAGGTCAGAGAACACCAAACAGATTTGACCCAAATATGACTATCCTACGGCATATAATAAACTTGCAAAGGTCAAGGACGAAGAGAGAATCCTAAAAGCAGCAGGAGAAAATAAGCAAATAATATTCAAAGGAGTTCCAATTTGGCAACAGATTTTTTTTTTTTTTGACAGAATCTCACTCTGTCACTCAGGCTGGAGTCCAGTGGTACAATCTCGGCTCACTGCAACCTCCGCCTCCTGGGTTCAAACGATTCTCCTGTCTCAGCCTCCCGAGTAGCTGGGATTACAGGTGTGCACAACCACGCCCAGCTAATTTTTGTATTTTTGGTAGAGACAGGGTTTTTCCATGTTGGCCAGGCTAGTCTCGAACTCCTGACGTCAGGTGATCCACCCGCCTCGGCCTCCCAAAGTGCTGGGATTACAGGCATGGAGCCAACACACTCGGCCAAGCAACAGACTTCTTAGTGGAAATCATACAGGCCAGGTAGGGGTGGGATGGCATATTCAAAGTGCTGAAGGTAGAAACCCCTGCTCTCCAAGAACACTGTATCCAGCAAAGCCACCCTACAAATACGAAGGAGAGAGAAAGTTTCTTCCAGACAAACAACAGCTGAGAAAATTCACCACCAGCAGACTCATCTTACAAGAAATGCTAAAGCGGTTCTTCAATTGGAAAGAAAAAACACTAACATGTAAAAAGAAAACACTTAAAGGTGTAAAAATCACTGATAAAATTAAGTACATGAATATGTACTCTAAACTATCACTGTGGTGTAAAATCCACTAATAACTCTAGTATGAAGCCCAAAAGACAAAAATATCAAGAACATAATAGCTACAGCAAACTGTTAAGAGATAGGCGATATAAAAATATGTAAATTGAGACAACATAAAGTCAAAATGTAGGGGGTGGGGGAAGGGAGTTAAAGTCTAGAGTATTTTTTCCTGCTTTCTTCATTTCTGTTCTTTATGATCTAAGATAAGTTGTCATCTCCTTAAGTTAATTTGTTATAATCCATAAGATGTTTTTTGTAAAGCTCAAGGTAATCATAATGCCAAAACCTATAATATATTCACTTAAAGATAAATGACTTAAAACATACTACCAGAGAAAATCACTTAACTACAAAGGAAGACAATAGGAAAGAAAGAAAAAGAAGAGGGAGTTGCAAAACAACCAGAAAACAAGCAACAAAACTGCAGTACTGATTAATAATCATGTGAATGTTAATGGATGCAATTCTCCATTTAAAAGACACAGAATGGGCTGGGAGCGGTGTCTCACGCCTGTAATCCCAGCACTTTGGGAGGCCGAGGCGGGCAGATCACGAGGTCAGGAGATCGAGACCATCCTGGCTAATACGGTGAGACCCCGTCTCTACTAAAAATACAAAAAATTAGCCGGCAAGGTGGCGGGCGCCTGTAGTCCCAGCTACTTGGGAAGCTAAGGCAGGAGAATGGCGTGAACCCAGGAGGCAGAGCTTGCAGGGAGCTAAGATCGCGCCACTATACTCCAGCCTGGGCAACAAAGCGAGACTCTGTCTCAAAAAAAAAAAAAAAAAGGGTGGCTAAAGGGATAAAGAAACAAGACCCAACTACATACTGCCTACAACAAGCCCACTTCACCTATAAAGACACACGTAGACTGAAAGTGAAGGGATGGAAAAAAAATTCCACGCAAGTGGAAACCAAAAAAGTGTAGGAGTAGCAATACTTATTTTTATTTTTTAAACATTGTATTTTATTTTTAATTGACAAATAACAATTGTACATAGTCATGGGGTACATAGTGATGCTTTGATACACACAATTTATAGTGATTGGATCAGGGCAATCAGCATACCTATCATCTCAAGCATTTATCATTTCTTTGTGTTGGGAATGTTCAACATCCTCCTAGCCACTTGAAACTATATAATATATTATTGTTAAATATAGTCATCCTACGGTGGTATAGAGCACTAGAACTTATTCCTCTTATCCAGCTATAATTCTGTATCCTTTAACAAATTGCTTTCCATTCCTCCCTTCCCATCCTCTAGTATTCTCTGTTCTACTTTTTACTTCTATGAGATCAACTTTTTTTAAAGCTTCTACGTATGAATGAGAACATGTGGGGTTTTACCTTCTGTTCATGGCTTATTTTACTTAATGTCCTCCAGTTCCACCATGTTGCTCCAAAAGACAGGATTTTATTCTTTTTTTTTAAGGCTGAATGTATTCCATGGTTTATGTATATACCACATTTTCTTTATCCATTTATCTGTTGTTGGAAACCTAGGTTGATTTTTTATCTTAGCTATTGTGAATAGTGCTGCAATAAACATGAAGGTGTAGATGTCTCTTCAGTATAATTTCCTTTCCTTTGGATAAATGCCCAGTAGTGGGATTGCTAGATCATAAGAAACTGTACTTATATCAGATAAAATAGACTACAAGCCAAAGACTATCAAAAGAGAGAAAGAAGGTCACTATATAACGCTAAAGGGGTCAATGTAGTGAGAAGATATAAAAATTATAAATATTTATGTACTCAACACTGGAGCACCAAAGTGTATAAAACAAACATTAATAGATCTAAAGGGAGAGATAGACTGCAATACAATAATAGCTGGGGACTTCGACACCCCACTGTCAATAATGGACAGATCACCCAGACAGAAAATCAACAAAGAAACATTGGAGTTAAACTACATTTTAGACCAAACAGGCCTGATATTTACAGAACATTTCACCCAACTGCTGCAGAATAGATATTCTTTCCATCAGCACATGGAACATTCTCCAGAGTAGACTATATCTTAGGCCACAAACCAAGTCTCAATAAATTCAAAAAAGTAGGAATCTTATTAAGTATCTTTTCTTTTTTTAAAAGAGATAGGGTCTTACTCTGTTGCCCAGGCTGGAGTGCAGTGGTGAGATCATAGTTCACTGCAGCCTCCAACTCCTGGGCTCAAATGATCCTCCTCGCTCAGCCCCCCAGATAGCTGGGGTTACAGGAGTGCCCCACAATGCCCAGCTAATTTTTTTTTTTACTTTTGTGGAGATGGAATCTCACTATGTTGTTCAGGCTGGTCTTGAACTCCTGGCCTCAAGTGATCTTCCCATCTTGGCTTCCCAAAGTGTTGAGATTATAGGCGTGAGCCACCAGGCAGGGCGTAAGTATATTTTTCTTACCACAGGGGTATAAAACTAGAAATTAATAATGAGAGGAATCCCAGAAAACACACCAGCACATGGAAATTAAACAACATACTACTGAGCCACCAATGGGTAAATGAAGAAATTAATAAGGAAATAAAAAATTTCTCCAGCCTCAGCCTCCTAGGTAGCTGGGATTATAGGTGCACACCACCACACCCAGCACATTTTTGTGTTTTTAGTAGAAATGGGGTTTCACCATGTTGGCCAGGCTGGTCTCGAACTCCTGACATCAGGTAATCCACCTGCTTCGGCCTCCCAGAGTATTGGGAGCATTTTTCTTTTTTCTTTTTTTTGAGACAGAGTCTTGCTGTGTTGCCCAGGGTGGAGTACAGTGGCGCCATCTTGGCTCACTACAAACTCGGCCTCCCATGTTCAAGCAATTCTCTTGCCTCACCCTCTTGAGTAGCTGGGGTTACAGGCATGCACCACCGTGCCTGGCTAATTTTTGTATTTTAGTACAGATGGGATTGGCCAGGTTGGTCAGTGTAGTTTAACTCCTGGCCTCAAGTGATCCACCCACTGTGGCCTCCCAAAGTGCTGAAATTACAGGCGCGAGCCACTGCGAATGGCCTATATTTCTACTTCTGTGAAGAATGCCATTGAAATATTGCTAGAGACTGAGTTGAATTTGTAGTTCATCATGGTTAGTATGGACATTTTAACAATATTAATTCTTCCAGTCCATGAACACAGTACATTTTTTATTTTTTCAGAGACGGGGGTCTCACTATATTGAGCAGGTTGGTCTCAAACTCCTGGACTCAAGTGATCCTCTCACTTCATTCTCCTGAATAACTGAGACTATAGTCATGCAGCACTATGCCCGACACATTTTTTTTTTTTTTTTTGAGACGGAGTCTTGCTTTGTCGCCCAGGCTGGAGTGCAATGGCCCGATCTCGGCTCACTGCAAGCTCCGCCTCCCGGGTTCACGCCATTCTCCTGCCTCAGCCTCCCGAGTAGCTGGGACTACAGGCTCCCGCCACCACGCCCGGCTAATTTTTTGTATTTTTAGTAGAGACGGGGTTTCACCGTGTTATCCAGGATGGTCTCGATCTCCTGACCCCGTGATCCGTCCGCCTCGGCCTCCCAGAGTGCTGGGATTACAGGCATGAGCCACCGCGCCCGGCACATTTTTCATTTCATATTGTACTTCTCAGCTTCAAGGTTTCTGTTTGTTTCTTATTATTTTACTTTCGCTGTTACATTTCTCTGACAAACGTCTGAATTGTTTCTCTATGTTTTCTTTAAGTTCTCTGAGTTTTCTTAAAACAGCCGTTTTGAATTCTTTGCCTGCCAGACCATTCATTTGCATGTTTTTAGGATAATTCATTGGCATTTTGTTCTGTCTATTTGACGAGGCACGTTCCTAGGCTATTCTTATTCCTAGATCTGCGTCTCTATCTATGCATTGGTGAATTAGGTGTTTATTACGGTCTTTACAGCCTGAGTTTGTTTGTGACCATTCTATTTCAGTGGGCTTATTTAGAAATTGTGAGTGGACTGACTGTTGTCTTCCATTTCAACACTAGGGGGTACCCTAAGCCCAGGTTAGAGGCGAGTCTGGCACTAGCTTCACTGCTGATGAAATGTCGGACCTGGATGGGGCAGGTGGGAGAGCCACAGAGGGCACCTGGGCCCTGTGGAGAACCAGCCAGGCCCTCAAGGCCAGAGGATCTGTGGACCATGCTTCCTGCAGCATGGTTTCTGTAAACAGTGTCTTTGGTGCAGCATCTCCTCTGGCAGGGATGGAGAGCCACTGCCAAATTCCTTGCAGTGGCTGCCCAACCCCACCCCTTCTTTTTGTCTTTAACTGGCCTTAGGTACTTGCAGTGTTCTCTATGGGCCAATACAGGAGTGAGTCTTTTGTGGAGGGGCCCGGAATGATGGGGAATCTGTATGTCCACCCCTAGCTCAGTTTTTCCAGTGTAAAAATCATGGGTCCATGGGGAGTTTCCACGTGTGGTGCCATAATGGCTTGAGGGGAGGCATGTTGCAAGCACAGAGAACTGATCCCTTTACCTTCCAACCGTGGTTTTGCTTGTCTTTGTGGTCCAAGGGCGCTTCCCAGCTTCACTCGTGTGTTCGAGTTTTTTTTTTTTTTTTGGCTCTTGTGAAAGTAATTTTGTGTGTGGATAGTTGCTCAAATGGATGTTTCTGCTGGGAGATAATGGCTGGAGAGACTTACTCTGCTGTCTTTCTCATCTTCTGTCATTTAACATCATTCCTTAAAAATTTTTTTGTTTTTGAGATAGGGGTTGCTCTGTCACCCAGGCTGGAATGCAGTGGCACCATCTCCACTTACTGCAACCTCCTCCTTTCAGGTTCAGGTGATTCTCCTGCCTCAGCCTCCTGAGTAGCTGGGACTACAGGTGCAGGCCAGCACACTCGACTATTTTTTTTTTTTTTTTTGTATTTTTGGTAGAGATGGTGTTTCACCATGTTGGCCAGGCTGGTCTCGAACTCCTCACCTCAAGTTATCTGCCCAACTTGGCCGCTCAAAGTGCTGGGATTACAGGTGTGAGCCACCATGCCTGGTTGCACTTTCAATGGTGTAAGACTGAATGTTTTCCCTCTAATACTAAGAAAAGGGCAAGGGTGCCCACTCTCATCATCCTTATTCAATATACTACTGGAAGTTTCAGCACTGGAATAAGGCAAGAAAAGGAAATAAATACATATGGACTAGAAAGTAAGAAATAGGGCCAGGTGCGGTGGCTCACAGCTGTAATCCCAGCACTTTGGGAGGCTGAAGCGGGCAGATCACCTGAGGTCAGGAGTTCAAGACCAGCCTGGCCAACAAGGCGAAACCCTGTCTCTACTAAAAATACAAAAATTAGCCAGGCATGGTGGTGGGCGCCTGTAATCCCAGCTACTTGGGAGGCTGAGGCAGGAGAATTGCTTGAACCTGGGAGGTGGAGGTTGCAGTGAGCCAAGATCGTGCCATTGAACTTTAGCCTGGGTGACAAGAGCAAGACTGTGTCTCAAAAAAAAAAAAAAAAGAAAGAAAGTAAGAAATAGGCTGGGTGCAGTGGTGCATGCCTGGGTGCGGTCCCAGATGTTTGGAGAGCCGAGGTGAGTGGATTGCTTGGGCTCAGGAGTCTGAAACCAGCCTGGGCAACATAATGAGATCCCATCTCTACAAAAAAAAGCCAGGCGGCCTGGCATGGTGGCTCACGCCTGTACTCCCAGCACTTTGGGAGGCCGAGGAGGGTGGATCATGAGGTCAGGAGATCGAGACCATCCTGGCTGATACGGTGAAACCCCATCTCTACTAAAAATACAAAAAATTAGCCGGATGTGGTGGCAGACGCCTGTAGTCCCAGCTACTCGGGAAGCTGAGGCAGGAGAATGGCGTGAATCCGGGAAGCGGAGCTTGTAGTGAGCCTAAATCACGCCATTGCACTCCAGCCAGGGTGACAGAGTGAGACGCCGTCTTAAAAAAAAAAAGAAAACAAAAATAAAAACAAAAAAAAGCCAGGCACTGTGGCATGTGCCTGTAGTTTCAGCTACTCAGGAAGCTGAGGTAGGAGGATTGCTTCAGCCTGGGAGGTTGAGACTGCAGTGAGCAGAGATTGTGCCACTGCACTCCAGCCTGGGCTACAGAGTGAGATCCTGTCTCGAAAAGTAAAAAAGAAGAAGAAAATAATAAATAAAACTGTCTCTATTTGAAGATGACTTGATTATCTATGTAAAAGATCTCCAGGAATTTACAAAAACGTATCTTTTAGAACTAATAAGTGAGTTCAATAAAGTCACAAGATACAAGATCAACATGCAAAATTCAATTGCATTTTTGTATACAGACAATGAACTAGTGGAAACCAAAATAAAAACCTAGTACCACTTACAATTGCTCCAGAGAAAATGAAATACTCGGACATAACTCTACCAAAACATGTACAGGAACTATATGATAAAAATTACAAAATGCCGATGAACGAAATCAAAGGAGAACTAAATACTTGGAGAGACATGTGTTCATGAATTGGACGACTCAAGACAGTAAAGATGTTCATTGTCCCTAAATTGATCTACATTAATGCAATTCCTAGCTAAATGTCAGCAATTTTTTTTCATAGACCTAGATAAGCTTACTCTAAAATTTATATGGAAAAGGAAAGGCCCTAAAATAGCCAAAATCATTTGGAAAAGGAATAATAAGATGGGAAAAATCACTCTTCCTCATAAGGCTTGCTATATAGTTATAGTAATCAAGACAACATGGGACTGATTGAGGGATAGACACATATATCAATGGGAGAGAATAGGGGACTTAGAAATAGGTGTGCACAGGTATGTGCGTTAATTTTCGACAAAGTGAAAGAAGAGAGTTCTTAGACTTGACACCCAAAATGCGATCCATAAAAGAAATACTGATGAATTTTTAAATCAAAGTTAAAATCTTCTGCTCTGTGAAAGACCTTGTTAAGAGAAAAAGAAGACAAATACAGATTGGGAGAAAATATTTGCAAATCAGATATCCAGCCAAGGAGTTGTGTCTAGAATACATAAAGAATGCTCAAAACTCAACATTAAAAAATCCAGTTAGAGGCTGGGCGTGGAGGCTCATGCCTGTAATCCCAGCACTTTGGGAGGCCGAGGTGGGTGGATCACAAGGTACCTCCCAAGCACTTTGGGAGGCAGAGGCGGGCAGATCACAGGAAGATCGAGACCATCCTGGCTAACACGGTGAAACCCTGTTTCTACTAAAAATACAAAAAATTAGCCAGGTGTGATGGTGGGCGCCTGTAGTCCCAGCTACTCGGGAGGCTGAGGCAGGAGAATGGCCTGAACCCAGGAGGCGGAGCTTGCAGTGAGCCGAGATCACACCACTGCACTCCAGCCTGGGTGACAGAGTGAGACTCCGTCTCAAGAAAAAAAAAAAAAAAAAATCCAATTAGAAAATGTGAAAAGAGGCTGGGCATGGTGGCTCACGCCTGTAATCCCAGCACTTTGGGAGGATGAGGTGGATGGATCACTTGAAGTTAGGAGTTCGAGACCAGCCTGGCCAACACGGTGAAACCCCTTCTCTACTAAAAATACTAAAATTAGCTAGGCGTGGTGGCACGCACCTGTAATCCCAGCCACGAGGGAGGCTGAGGCAGGAGAATGGCTTGAATCCGGGAGGTGGAGGTTGCAGTGAGCCAAGATCATGCCACTGCATTCCAGCCTGGGCAGGAGTAAGACTCCTCAAAAAAAAAAAAAAAAAAAAAAAAAAAAAAAGGAAAAGACCCGCATAGATATTTCAGCAAAAAGAATATGCAGATAAACACATGAAAAGATGCTCAACATTATTAGCCATTAAAAATGCAAGTTGGGAGGCCGAGGAGGGCGGATAACCTGAGGTTGGGAGTTTGAGACCGGCCTGGCTAACATGGTGAAACCCCGTCTCTACTAAAACTACAAAATTAGCTGCGCGTAGTGGTACACACCTGTAATCCCAGCTACTTGGGAGGCTGAGGCAGGAGAATTGCTTGAATCCAGGAGGTGGAGGTTGCAGTGGGCCAGCATCACTGCACTCCAGCCTGGGTGACAGAATGAGACTATGTCTCCAGTAAAAAAAAAAAAAAGAAAATAAAAGCAAGTTAAAACCACAATGAAATATCATTATACACCTAATAGAAGGGGTACCATAAATAATAATAACACCAAATGCTGGAGAGGATGCAGATAAGCTGAATCACTCATACACTGCTGGTGCACTCATGCATGCTGGCTCCAGTCATTCTGGAAAATACTTTGGCAATTTTTTTTAAAACTTAAAATGGGCTTGTCACCTGACTTAACTATTGTACTCTTGGGCATTCTTCCCAGAGAAAGGAAAAAAGTATTTTCACATGGAAACTTGTACGTGAATGTTCATAGTGTCTTTATTTGCAATAGCCAAGGACTAAAAAGGAATTCAATGTCCTTCAATGGGTGAATGATTAAATTGCAGTACTATGAAATACCACCCCTGAGCAATAAAAAGGAGTAACTCTTGATACTTGCAACAACTTGGATGAAGCTCAAGGAAAGTTTGCTGATAGAACAAAGCCAATATCAAAAGCATACATACTGGCCTGGTGCGGTGGCTCATGCCTGTAATCCCAGTACTTTGAGAGGTCGAGGCAGGTGGATCACCTGAGGTCAGGAGTTCGAGACCAGCCTGGCCAACATGGTGAAACCCCGTCTCTACTAAAAAAGTACAAAAATTAGCCGGGCGTTGTGGCGCATGCCCGTAATCCCAGCTACTTGGGAGGCTGAGGCAGGAGAATCACTTGAACCTGGGAGGTGGAGGTTGCAGTGAGCCAAGATTGCACCACTGCACTCCAGCCTGGGCAACAAGAGCAAAAACAAAAAACAAAAAGCAAAAAAACCAAAAGCATACCTACTGCATGATGGCTGGGCGTGGTAGCTCAACCCTGTAATCCCAGCACTTTGGGAGACCAAGGCAGGTGGATCCCCTGAGGTCAGGAGTTCGAGACCAGTTCACCAAAGTGGTGAAATACCGTCTCTACTTAAAAAAGAAAAAAACAAGGCTGTGCAAGGTGGCTCACACCTGTAATCCCAGCACTTTGGGAGGCCAAGGCGGGCAGATCACCTAAGGTCGGGGGTTCAAGACCAGCCTGACCAACATGGAGAAACCCCGTCTGTACTAAAAATACAAAAATTAGCCGGGCGTGGTGGCGCATGCCTGTAATCCCAGCTACTCAGGAGGCTGAGGCAGGAGAATCGCTTGAACCCGGGAGGCAGAGGTTGTGATGAGTAGAGATTGCGCCTTTGCACTCCAGCCCGGGCAATAAGAGCGGAACTCTGTCTCCAAACAAACAAACAAACAAACCAACCAGCCAACCACAAAAATTACCTGGGTGTGGTGGCGCACGTCTGTAATCCCTGTAATCCCAGCTACTTGGGAGGCTGAGGCAAGATAATTGCTTAAAACCGGGAGGCAGAGGTTGCAGTGAGCCAAGATCATGCCACTGCACTCCAGCCTGGGCGACAGAGCAAGACTCTATCTCCAAAAAACAAACAAACAAACAAAAAAAAACAAAAAAAAAACATACATACTGTACAATTCCATTTATGTAACATTCTTGAAATAACATAACCATAGAGATGTAGACTAGATTAGTGCTTGCCAGAAGTAGTTATGGGACAGGGAGGGTATTGTGGTTATGAAGGGGTGGCAACATATGATGTTGTGACTGTGGTAGCCGCATAGCATAGAGACACACACGTGCACATCCACACCCACACACAAATGCACACATGTATGCACGCACACATGCATGTATAACTGGTGAAATATGAAAAAAGCTCTGCAGATTGTACCAATGTCGCTTTCCTGGTTTTGACATTGAATTATAGTTATGCAAAATGTGAACATTGGTGGAGGCTGGGTGAAGGGTGATGGGCCTCCAAGTACATTTTTTTTCAAGTTTCTGTGAATCTACAATTATTTAAAAATTCAAAGTTAAAACAAATGTAGTTAGTTTGCAGACCTCTGACACTGGTCCTGTGAATGTTCACTGAAGTGCTGTTTGAATTTGTATCTTTGCATGTATGGTTGTACATTGATATTTCATGACTGCTCATAGCAAGGAAATTAGTGGTAACACAATTTTTGGTTTGTACTTTTTCCACATCAGAGTCCAAGACCACAAACTGTATTTTTTGATGTCTGGAAACAAAGTGGGTTAGGGGAACTGTACCCTACCTTGGTCTTTTTCTTTCTCAGTTAGGCTATGGCCCCACCCACTTTAGTGGTTTGAAGGGAATGTATTGGTTTTGTCTTTTTCTCTGCACCACGTAAAGTCCAGAAGTATCTTTAGAGGCCTGGAACTTGCTGCTCTTTCAAAAAACAGCTTTCTCGCTGGTCTCCAGCATTTCTGCCTTTCTCTCCTGTACATTAGGAGTTTCCGTCTGGTCACATAAGTCAGGGAAGTGAGCAGGGTGTAAGAGGATCTCATTTATTCCACATGTATTTATGAAGCATCCTTGTGCCAGACTGGGTGCTTGTCACTGGACTTAGCAGAGACCAGGACAGGTGTACTCCTGCCTCCTTAGAACTCACGATTCAGGGGAGGCTCTTCTTAATGTGACTAATTAATGATCAAAGGGTGTGCACATTAAAATTATGAGGTAAACATACAAATTCTATGTGTTGTACATGCTAATTTCACATAACAGGCAAGACCTGAGAAGCCCTCAGAATCACGGTCCTATGCCTTAACCCTATCTGTCAGGAGCCTTAACCCCACTTGTTAGGAGCTGTGGCCGTGCTCAGAAAAGATGACGAGGATGACCAAGACAGACACTGTAGGTGCGAGGACAGTGCAGAGAAGACCTTGTTGACTGCCCAGATGTGGGATGTGAAGAGGATTCTGACCCATCCAAAGCACGGGAGACTCTCGGTGGGGACCTGAGTGACCCTTCCACTGAGCACTCTGAGTGGTGTGTGTGTGTGACCTGCAGGGACACTGATTGACTGGACCTGAGCTCTTGGGAAGGGCAGGGGTGGGTCTGTAGGACCAGAGTTGCCTCTGTGGGTGGGAAGTGGTGGGAATGAGGAGGGTGAGGGTGACTGGGAGGACTCTGGTCTGTTTTTGTCTCCTGGAGAAGTTGGGCCCTACCCTGGGAGACAGATGTTCAGGCCTCCACTTGTCCCTCAGGAGGATTGTGTGGGAAGGACTGGCAGATGGCAAAGGCCTCTGACATGGGGCACGAGGCCTGGCCTGGAGTCACTGAGAGGATTGTTCAGGGGCTCGGTTCAGCTCAGCTTCCCAGGGGCTTAGCTGGAGCTCAGGGAACAGGATGCTGTGCTCAGGCAGTGCTCCAGGCTGGGTGATGGTAGTGGTTCCAAGGTCAGGCACGGGGGTCGGAAGTTAATCATGAAAAGTTCCCACTGTGTTGTAGGCAGAGACAATGGCTTGAGTCTCAGAGGTAGGGACATTCACTGGGAAACCAGAGCAGACTCAGCCTCTCCAAGGTCATACTTTGGGTACAGAAATCAGCCCTGCCAGGGGCGTCAACAACCTTTGCCAACAACCCTAACATTTAGTCATGTGCACAGGGCTCACAACAAATAAATTAGAGAAGAATCAGGTTCTCCCTCATTGTGTCTTTCTCAGGCAGAATAGACTGGGCAGCTTTTCCCGGCAGTTTCTTTCCATCTGTGCGCTCCCTGCTGCAGTGCCTGGGGATGACCCTTCCGTGGTCACTATCCATGGTGCTGATGTCCATGAACGATTGAAGGGCTGGTGAGTTGTGATCTTCCAGTCACATCTCTTTTATTCTTTGTTTTTCTTTTCTTTTCTTTTCTTTTTTTTTTTTTTTTTTTTTTTTTGAGATGGAGTCTCACTCTGTCACCCAGGCTGGAGTGCAGTGGCATTATTTTGGCTCACAGCAACCTCCACCTCCCAGGTTCAAGTGATTCTCCTGCCTCAGCCTCCAGAGTAGCTGGGATTATGGGCGTGCGCCAGCACGTGCAGCTAATTTTTGTAATTTTAGTAGAGCCAGGGTTTCGCCATGTTGGTCAGGCTGGTCTCGAACTCCTGACCTCAGGTGATCTGCCTGCCTCGGCCTCCCAAAGTGCTGGGATTACAGGTGTGAGCCACCACGCCCAGACACATCTCTTTTATTCTTAACAACTAAGCTTGTCACCGAGGAGAAGGTGGAGAGGTACTAGGGGCATGGAGAGCCCTCCGTCTCCCTCTCTCAGGACCTGGAGGGTGCTGGGACGTCACTGCAAAAACTGATGCCACAGTCAGGATAACCCTATCCAGGTGCCCATGTGTACTTTGTAGTGAACAATCATGATAAAATGGCCTTGAGAGGAGAGATGGATAGAACAAGCCCCTCTCAAAGATGCACACATCCTCATCCCAAGATCTGTGAATATGGCACATGGTCAAAGACACTTAGCAGATAAATGAAGGATGATGAGATGGGGAGATTATTGTGGTTTATCCAGGTGGGTCCAAAATAACCATACAAGTGAGACAGGGAGGCGGGGAAGTCAGTGAGGATGGAAGCAGAGCACAGAGAGGTTTCAAGATGCTGTACTGCTCGCTTTGAAGATGGAGGAAGGGGCCAAAGTTAAGGATGCAGGCGGCCTCTAGTAATTGGAAAAGGTGAGGGAACAGACTTTTCCCTGGAGCTGCCAGGAAGAACACAGCCAAGTGGACACGTTGTTGTTTTATGCCACTAAGTTAACAATGGAGTTGTCATCTCTGTTGCCTAGGCCAGCGTGCAGTGGTGTGATCAGAGCTCACTGCAGCCTCAACCTCCTGGGCTCAAGCGATCCTCCTGCCTCAGCCTCTTGAGTAAGTGGGACCAAGACACAAACCAACATGCCTGGCCTGTGGGAATTTGTCACAGCATCAACAGGAAACTGACACAAGAGACATCACCTTGTCTCATCTGACGATGTGTACAAGTGAGGTAAGGAGTCATTTAGAGCTAAATCCTGATGTAAATTTGCAGGTTGTTTTTCCTACTTCCCATCTCATGGCAAACAACCCTGGGCAGTGGCAGAATACCCTCAGGAACCGTGGCTCTGTGCTTTAGTGCAGGGACCAGCCTGATTGTGGGAAGGGGACACCTGGTCTGAGTGAACCTACATGAGATCATTACACTCCCCAGGGCCCTCAGGAGGGACAGAGAACTGCCGGCCCAGGTATGTGGTGGAGCTGCTGGTGAGGCCTGAGTGGAGGGCCCTGCAGGCCAGGGAGAAGAGGAGAGAGGTTGTCCCATTGCCATGGTAGACTGCGTGAGCTTTAGGTGAGAGAGCCCTGTGTCTCTGACCTGGAATCTCCTGTGTGGAGTGGAGGATTGTTCAGTGAGATCCACTCCAGGGGGTAAAGTGGGAACTGATGGGAAATGATGGGCTAGAGTCCCAGGTAGTGTCTGGGAGGATTTTACTCCAGGACTAAATTCTGGGTCTGTCCTCACCTTGATTACTCTGACAGGCCCTCTGTGTGTCCCCTGATATGGGTAAAGATGTCCTGAGCACTGGCCTTTTGGACAGAGAAGAAACCCAGTGGCCAGGGCTAGGCACCGTGGGTCCCTGGGGCAGTATGAGCACAGCCAAGCGCTCAGCTGGCTGGGCAGGTCTCCTGTGAATCCTGCCCTTTCCTGTGTAGGGTCCACCCCAGCCTGACTCCCAACCCCCTATTTCTGCCTCCCAGGGAAGAGAGACTGGGGTTGAAATAAGTTGGAGATGACATTTTCCTTGTGTGACCCAGGAGAGAATGGATATGGAGTTTCAGGCGAATTTTTGCTAAGTTCCCACTAGCAGAAAAACAGCTAATGAGAGGAAGGGTCCCCTTTATTCAGATCCTTTCCAAGTGACCCCAGGTGGGCCACAGGCCCATTCACTTTCCCTGCAAGCCCCCGCTTTCTGCGGTGATGAGAGGCCTTTGTCCTGACCCACCCAGGGCCTAGGGCAGGCTGTCGAGGTCTCCAGATATTCATCAGGGACCCCCATCCCTCCCTGCCCCCAGACACCAGTGTCTTCTCAGGACTTATAGCTGGTTCTCTGGCTCAGGCTTCATGTCCTTCCCCATCCCCAGGGCTGGGGGCCTTGGGGACTCTCCATCAACACACAGGAGCAGCTCCTGGAGGAAGCTAAGAAGCCACTTCTGCTTTGTGGTCCATCCGGCAGTAAATGTTTGTGTCATGTTTTAGCAATTCCTGTTAAAACAGAGAAGAGGCCTGGACCCCTCTAGTCTCCTCAGAACAGGGTGTGGCGTCTCCCAGGCTCTGGGCCCATCCAGGGCTGCTCTGGGGCTGAACCTGGCTGTGCTCAGGGGGTTCCTGCTCCCAAGCCCCTCCCTCCTCTGCTCGCCACCCCCGTTCTTATTTTCACAGCAGTTTCCTGAATCTCAGAGCTCAGCCGATGCCAGTAGGGGAAGATCCTGGGTCCCCTGGGGCCTGTGGGACCAGAACATCCGTGGCCCACACTCACCTCATAGATGGAAGCTGCTGTCCTGGGGTTGGGTAGGGGGGCCTGGGCAGTGGAGAGAGGGGACATCTGTGGACAGGGAGGGAGGGTCATGGAGGCCCAGCCTGGAAGTTTCCTGTCTCTGATTGGCCAGGATTTACTTCTCTGTGTTTACTTCTGGTCATTTCCCCTCAGGAGTGACCAGCTCTGCCCCTGAGCTCAGCCTCCCAGTGTGGACACAGCACCCTGACCCTTTTCCTGGCTGGGCCCACCCTGCACCCTTGTTAATGTGGGCCCCTGACTGATGGTCCCAGTGTCCACTCTGCACCTGCTGCACTCCAGGGGTCTCCTCAGGTGATGGAGGGTCCCGGGGAGGGGTCAGCACAGGGCGTGGGTGGTCCTGACCCTGTAGGGAGGCCCAGCTCCTGGCCAGGGCAGGGCTAGCCTTGTCCTGTGTGTTTTGGGGGAAGGTGGGTCTGTTCTGTGCTGGGGGGCTGATGGTCCCTCTGCCCAGAGCCTGCACAGCTGGGACCCCAGTAGAAAGGGGCTGGAAGGGGACAGGCTTACCGAGAAGGCAGAGCTGTGGGAGGGACCACGGCCTGGAAACAGAGACAGGAGTGAGCAGCAGGGTGGGAGGAGAGCCTTATCCCCTCTCCAGGAAGGCGTAGGGGGTCCTCAGCTCTAAGATACCTGAGCAGCTGAGGTTGGGGAGGTGACCCATGACCCAGAGCCCACAGGTGAGGGCTGACCCAAGCAATTGGGGTCCCCTGTGTGATGTTTTATGAGATCCTCCTTGCAGCCCCCGGGAAAGGATCAGAGTCTGCCTGGCAGTGACTGGCAGGAGCGGACACTGTGGGGCTGTCCTAGG
This sequence comes from Homo sapiens, assembly GCF_000001405.40. NCBI lineage: Eukaryota > Metazoa > Chordata > Mammalia > Primates > Hominidae > Homo > Homo sapiens. Next base: position 41,810,053 of record NC_000019.10, on the reverse strand, counting down.
GGTTCCCAGCCACACCTGGGCTGAGAGGACACTCACCAGGGGCAAGGGCTTGGGGCTGCTGCTCCTTGAGGTCACGCTGGATGCTGGTTCTAGGAAAGGTCAGGGTCATTTGGGAGGGTGCCAGGTTAAAAGCCACAACTTTGGAGTTCGAACAGGGGACAAGAAGGGAAACCCATTTTCAAGGATGGGCATGGAGACCTCCTGTCTCCCTCAGGTTTGTGTTAGGGGGAGCCCAGCAGAGGGGAGTTGAGGAAAGGCTTTAGGAACCCACATCTGTCCTGAGCAGAGGGGAAGGACCCTCAGGCAGATGCCGGGCCAGGAGAACATTGACCCAGGGACCCAGGAAAGGGACTGAGGACCCAAGGAAGGAAACAGACCACGAGGGTTTGCCTGAGAGGAAGGGTCAAGTCCCCAGAGGCAAAGCAGGGCCACGTGTGCAGGACACGGAGGGGACCGCAAGTGTCTTGGATTCTCCTGGAACTCAGTGTCCCTGCTGTGGCCAGACCCTGCACTCAGGGCTGGTGATGCTGAAATGGGACAGTGTCCTTGTCCTCTCTCTCAACCCCTTGGCAAGAGACACAAAGGACGCTCCAGGACATGCTGTTCTGAGGCCCAGGTTCTCCCATCTCACACCTCAGGGCCTATGGTTACCACATCAGCCATGGGGGGCACTGACCCCACCCAGCCTGTCCAGGCTGGTCCACTCCCCATTGTGTGACGGTGCCCAGGATCCGGAGCCTGCAAATCCCCCTCACTGTGTGGATGGATTCAATGAACAATGGGAGGTACCAAGTACAGAGCACGCCCTCCCTCCCTCCCTCCCTACTTCCCTCCCTCCTTCTCTCCCTCCCTCCAGGCAGCTGTGGCTTTGCTGTGTGAGGGAACTAGGGCCACACTCAGGGGTGGGGCCTTAATTGGGCCAAATTCACAGAGGAGGAAGCTGTTGAGGCAGCAACCCAGGGTCAGGAGCTGACGAGGGAGGAGCCGTGGAATAAGAGGGAAGGATCCCTGGGGACTTGGGAGGCCGTGGAGAGCCTGGCCCTGAATACAGGACAAGGTCTCCTTTCTTTTGGCCTGGAGTCAGCCTAGGGGGTGGGAGAAGGATGGGAAAAAGCTGTGGTACCTTCCAGTTTTGGCAAGGAGCAGGAAACACACCAGCGCGGCCACCAGCGCCACTCCGACCAGGACCCCGGTCACGATGCCGGCGACGGCCCCCACAGGAAGGCCTGGGGCATTTTCTTCTGCAGAAAGAAGAAGGCAAAGGGGATAGAGGCCCAAGTCTATCCCAGAGGAAACCACAGGGGCCTTGCAGGGAAGGTGTGCAGTCAGGGAAGAAGGAGATGCCATGGGGCCTGAGTGTAGTCTCTTGTGTTGTCCTCATCACAGATTCCCTTGCTTTCCATGGTGGCACCATTTTCTGCAGGCTTGACACACTGGGCGGCACCAACTCATACATTGTCCCAGAGGTGCCTGCACCTCACCCTGCTCCTGTGCCTTTTAGTCCCTCCTTCCTCTCGCATCATGCCTCTTCCCTCTGTTTCTCCTTTTCCATCCCATGACACTCACAAAGGGCAGGCCCTTGGCATCAACTCAATGCTGATAAGCAGGGATGATGTTCATTGACTGTTTTCAGGGGCCTTCCATGTGCCAGTTCCAGTGGGCACCAACCTACCTACAACTCATCTCATCCTTACATCACCTTGAGGGAGAGGGGGCATCACCCCCAGCTGCAGAGTTAGAATCTGAGACTTAAAGCACCTCAGTAAGTCAAGGAAGGTCACAGAACTCGTAAGTGATAAAACAAAATTTGTACAACATTCCAGGCTGGCCCCAAGGTCAGCTGTGAGAAATCAGAACAACAAGGGGAGGAGGGGTCCTGCAGAGGTGGAGTGAGAGGGCTCAGGGTAGAGTTTGGGATTTGCTTGTGTCCAAGACATGGGCTGGGAAATAAACTTCTAGGCTCTTTCAGAAAACTGAGTGGCTTTACCCAGGGCTCAGGGCCTATGCTCCAGGGATCCACTTAGCAGAGACTGTGATTGTCTTGACTGTGATTGTACTGAGGCCAGTGGCTGAGTTATGGGCGAGGCAAGCATAGGATCCACTCTTATCCACTGCGATGTTGGGGATAAAGAGCTTTTGTGTGTGTTGCTGGAGCATTCCACTGACAAACCAGGAGTACTGTGCAGGTGGGTTAGAGGCCATGTGGCAGGAGAGGTTGAGATTTGCCCCTGGATGGTAATAGGAGTCTGGGGGGGAAATGGTGGGAATGCCCGGTCCATCTGGAGTAGCGAGAATAAAGTCATAGATGATATCATCAAAGGGAAGGGGAAGCTCCTGGTCTGTGGAAGAGCCACAGTGTCCCTGTGAGCCAAGTCACAACCTTGAAGTCCTAACGAAACCCAATCTGTCCACTGAGTCTGGGTCTGAGATATTCACCTGTTTCTCCCATCACAGGCTGTGGACCCTGAGCCTCCCAGGACAGGAGCAGCCTCTCCCCTCCTATTCTTGGTCAAGGCTGGGTCTGCCCAGGTTTGCTTGGGACAGGAAGTGATGGCCAGCCTGGGTGAGAGTCTGAGTCCCTGGACTTGAGAGGGACTGAGAGGCCTGGCCTCTGGCTGTGTGGATTTGGGCTGGAAGCCTGGGCCACAGAGGAACAGAAGATACAGAGGACATTCAGCGTGACTGGGTCACTGTAGCTGGCACCCACTGGGTTCGGTATTTCACACTCATAGGGTCCTGTGTCATTCCTTGTGACACTGAGTAGAGTGAGGGTCCTCTTGTCATTGGACAGCTGCAGCCTGGAACTGACCGGGAGGCTCTGACCATTTACCCACTACAGGCAGGTTGTGCTGTGAATCTCAGGTTCACAGGTGAAGGCCACAGCATCCTTGTCCTCCTTGGGGTTGGAGTTGTTGCTGGAGATGGAGGGCTTGGGCAGCTCCGCTGTGCAGAAAACAGAGAGAAGATTGCCCTGTGTGGCACCTGTGATTCCTCCACAGGCATATTTTAATCAGAATCAACATCTCCTATTCTTTGGCCAACTCCACTCCTTAAAAGACCAAGACAAGGCCGGGTGCGGTGGCTCACGCCTGTAATCCCAGCACTTTGGGAGGCCGAGGCGGGCGTATCACGAGGTCACGAGATCGAGACCATCCTGGCTAACACGGTGAAACCCCGTCTCTACTAAAAAATACAAAAAATTAGCCAGGCATGGTGGCAGGCGCCTGTAGTCCCAGCTACTTGGGAGGCTGAGGCAGGAGAATGGTGTGAACCCGGGAGGCAGAGCTTGCAGTGAGCCGAGATCGCACCACTGCACTCCAGCCTGGGCGACAGAGTGAGACTCTGTCTCTCAAAACAAACAAGCAAACAAACAAACAAACACACAAACAAAAAAAGACGAAGACAGATGTGTGTGTCACAGACAGATGCATGACCGTCTGAGGGCTCAGAGACTGTGAGGCTGCCTGCCTGTGAAAGAAGAAGAGACTTTCTCAACTGTGAATTAAGCAGCAGCATTGGGTGTTGGACAGACACAGGACCAGGAGTCACATCCCCTGGCACCTCTCCTGTTCCTTCCCTGATGGCTGACTGCCTGGCTGACCTTGGGGTCCTCACCTGGAACATGCTGGTGCTGAGGTCTCAGAATTACAAGGTGAGGTTATTCTTTCCAGGTATATCATGGTGACTGACATGAGACAGTGAGTCAGTAAAAGGTATAGTAGAAGGCCGGGTGCGGTGGCTCACACCTGTAATCCCAGCACTTGGGGAGGCCGAGGTGGGCAGATCACCTGAGGTCAGGAGTTCGAGACCAGCCTGACCAACATGGCGAAAAACCCAGTCTCTACTAAAAATACAAAAATTAGCTGGGTGTGGTGGAGCATGCCTGTAATTCCAGCTACTCGGGAGGCTGAGGAAGGAGAATCACTTGAACCTGGGAGGCAGAGGTTGTAGTGAGCCGAGATTACACGACTGCACTCCAGCCTGAGTGACAGAGCAAGACTCCGTAACAACAACAAACAACAAACAACAACAACAACAACAACAACAAACAACAACAACAGGAAGAGTAGAATCCCAACTTAGAAAGAGGGCGGGGACATGCAGGAGCTGGTGGCTTTGGAGCAGAACCATGTTCTCTGTCCTCAGTCCTTAATGTGTTTTCTCCTCCTGCAGAGGGCAGGTGAGGACTCCGTGGAACTTAATAAGAAATACATATGAACGTTTGCAAATGCAGAACTGACTGGTGGAAAGAGGGAGCATGAAGCTGCTGGCAATCTGGTCCTCATGGACTCTGTGTTTGATGGATATGAGAGAGACATTTGGGAAGAATCTTTGCAAATATTTTCTCCCATTGGAGATTATGTTAAGTGAAAGAAGTCAGTCGTACAAGGACAACTACTGTACGGTTCCACGAATACGAGGTCCCTAGAGTAGTCAAACTCATGGAATCAGAGAGTAGAATGCAGACCGGGTGCGGTGGCTCATGCCTGTAATCCCAGCCTTTTGGGATGCTGAGGCGGGCGGATCACCTGAGGTCGGGAGTTCCAGACCAGCCTGGCCAACATGGTGAAACCCCGTCTCTACTAAAAATACAAAAATTAGCCAGGTGTGGTGGCACATGCCTGTAATCCCAGCTACTTAAGAAGGCTAGGGAGAATTGCTTGAACCTGGGAGGCGGAGGTTGCAGTGAGCCAAGATCACACCATTGCACTCCAGCCTGGGTGACAAGAGTAAAACTCTATCTAAAAAAAAAAAAAAAAAAAAAAAAGAAGAAAAAAGAATAAAAGAGCAGAGTGGTGATTTCCAAGGGCTGGCAGGGAGTTGTTCCTTGGGTGTGCAGTTTCAATTATGCAAAATATGGAGGTTCTAGAGATCTGCTGTACAGCTTGGTGTCTATAATTAATAGAGTTTGAGTATCTCTTATGCATAAGAGCAAAAGTGTTTTGGATTTCTAATTATTTTTTATTTTGGAATATTTGTATTACAAGTATCGGTTTAGCATCCCAAATCTGAAAATCTAAAATTTCAAAATGCTCCAGTGAGCATTTCCTTTGAACATCATGCCAGTGGTCAAAAAATTTTGGATATTGGCACATTTTGTATTTTGGATTTTTGGATTTGGGATTCTCCATCTGTAATAGTCCATTTTGCCCTTAAAAATTTGTCAGGAGTTTAGACAAAGGAGTTATGATCTCACTATAGTGAAAAAAAAAAAAGAAATTTGGGGGAAATTAATTTTTTTTCTATCAGTGGAAATTATTATTAATGGTCGAAAGGTCTGAGGTCAATTGGTTGCTGTAGCATTTCTCTTGATAACATAATAAGGTTTAGGTCTGCTAAATGCTGAAGACCAGCATAATCATGTTAAGCTCAAAGAAAGATGCTGACTTTGGTTTGAAATCAGTGACTCTCTGGGTAGAGAGAGAATTGTGAGTCCTGTTAGGAAGACAGAACTGGTCAGAGGGAAAGTCTGAGATGTCTCAATAATACACAGAAAAGAAAAATACCAAATTAGGAGATGTGATGTGTGTATGTCAGTAAATGTCAAAAGAGCCCTCACCTCAATTTCCTGTGCAGAGTTAGGCAAAATAGGAAGGGGCCTAAACAGGCATATGAAACACCTTCCTCCTTTTCTTTACGCCTCAGGAAACACAACTAGAATTTGATTAAATTAGCCCGAATTGGGCAGAGTCTAAGTGAGATGCCGGTGGCTGGTGCATCTCCCCACCCGAAGACCCCATCTTATGATAATGGCATCATCATGAGGGACACATGTGTGTGGAACAAGCAGTGGGCCCATCAGACAGCACAGGGCTGGCCAGCTCCACCTGGTCCCAGGAACCACCAGTATTCCCATTACATGTATGTTACAGCTTTTAGAAAATATAAAATATGCCATTGTCAATACAAAATCTTGAATGTGAAGTTGAATCTGCTTTTCCACTTTTTTTACCCACTCTTTTTTTTTTTTTGAGGCAGAGTTTTGCTCTTGTTGCCCAGGCTGGAGTGAAATCGCGCTATCTTGGCTCACTACAATCTCTACCTCCCAGGTTCAAGCAATTCTCTTGCCTCAGCCTCCTGAGTAGCTGGGATTATAGGCATCTGTCATCATGCCTGGCTAATTTTTTGTATTTTTAGTAGAGACAGGGTATCATCATGTTGGCCAGGCTGGTCTCGAACTCCTGACCTCAGGTGATCCACCCGCCTCAGCCTCCCAAAGTGCAGGGATTACAAGCATGAACAACCACGCCCGGCCTTTTCCCACTCTTTTAAAGCTTTGCTGTTTCAGGCCGGGCATGGTGGCTCATGCCTGTAATCCCAGCACTTTTGGAGGCCAAGGCGGGCAGATCATGAGGTTGGGAGGTCGAGACCATCCTGGATAACACGGTGAAACTCCGTCTCTACTAAAAATACAAAAAATTAGCCGGGCATGGTGGCGGGCGCCTGTGGTCCCAGCTATTTGGGAGGCTGAGGCAGGAGAATGGCGTGAACCCAGGAGGCAGAGCTTGCAGTGAGCTGAGATAGCATCACTTCACTCCAGCCTGGGGTACAGAGCGAGACTCTGTCTCAAAAAAAAAAAAAACAAACAAAACAACACACACACACACACACACACACACACACACATACACACACAAAACTTTGCTGTTCAGTTTTGGAAGTTTCTACTGACACACCCTCAAGCTAGAGATTCTTTCCTCAGCTGTGTCCAGGCTACCAGTAAGCCCATTGAGGGCATTCTTCATTTACCTTACAGGAGGGTTTCTTTTTTTATCTCTAGCATTTCTTTTGGTTCTGTCTTAGAATATCGATCTCTCTGCTTACATCACCCATCTGTTCCTGCATGGGGTCTACTTTTTCCATCATAACCTTTACTGTATTAACCAGAGTTGTTTTAAATTCCCGTTCTGCTAATTTCAACATCCCTGCCACATCTGAGTCTGGTTCTGATTGTTGTTCTGAGTTTCAAATTGCATTTTTTTTTGTTTTTGCCTTAGTCTGTCTTGTGCAGTTTTGTTGAAAGCCAGACATGATATTCTGGGTAAAAGGAACTTGGGTGAGCAGGTGTTCAGTGACGCTGTGGTGAGTGTTGGGAGGGAAGGGTTCTGTGGTCCTGGATGAGGTCTGCAGCCTGGGCTGTGAACTTCATAAGTGACTCTCTGTATTTTTGCCCCCTTAGGTGGGACATGATGGCTACAGGGGGCTGGAGTTGGACATTTACCCACTGCCAGGCCAGTTAGGCTCCCATAAAACCCCAGCAGGTCAGGCTCTGGTAAAAGTTTCTCTTAAAGGCAGCTGTTGCTAAGAAGAATAGAATTCACGGAGATCTTTCCAAATAATTCCTTTCCCCCTCCCGCTTCAGGAAGGAGGAGGGGATCTTTGTTGCCTATTCACTATGAGAATCTGGTAGCTCTAGGAGTTAAGACTCACAAAAGAGTCCCTCCTTGTCCCAGCCCCAAGATTGATCCCTCCCCTGGAGTGTTTAGTTTAACTCTGGGGCATGTCCATGCTGAGCCTCCAGCAATTTGTCAGTTACAGTTCAGATTTCTGACCCCAGCGCTGGTTCTGCAGGGTTTCTGTCCCTGGGCTTCTGCCCAGGTGAGGTGTGCTGCTCCATCTTTGCCTGTCGGTCTCTCCAATATGCGGGGCAATTAACACCGAGGCCTAGCTTCTCTGAGGGATCTAAAAGAGTTGTTGATTTTTCAGTTTGTTCAGTTTTATACTTGTTATAACTGAGTGACAGATTTCAAGCTTCTTACATGCCAAATTGGACACCAGAAGTCTCTAGGGAATGACTGGAGGATGGGAGCCCCATAGCTGAATGAGGGTGGAGTCGGGAGGGAAATGGGTGAAATGAGCCATGAGCTTTGGGGACTGCAGACCTCTCCTCTTGCCTCTGACCCCTGGTGAGTCATTGTAGAGAGTGAAACCACTTTTGCAAGGATTAAGATGGCGAGAGTAAGCTAGCATGGCTGACTTCATCTGGCTTCTAGCCTCAAGGTGGCTGTCCTTGCTCATTCCTGGGCACAAGCCAGGCTAACCATGGGAAAAATTCAGTGTATAGTTTAACTTTGAAGCAAGGATGATTATAGTCCCTCCCTAAAACTAACTTCCTCTTTGTCAGGGATTGCCTTTGTAAACTAATGAAACATTACGAGATCAGCATTATGGGAGGGTCACAAGATTTGTGACTTCCCTAATTGCTCCCATAGATAATATCACTATTGTAGAACCTGAGATTGGTCTTTTGAGATGTTTCTCAGACTTCTGCATTCTGGCAACTGACTGACTCCACCTGGACTGTGACCCATGATTCAGTGGTCTTGTGGCCCCCACTCAGAGGCAGTTTCAGCACACCAGGATCAGTTGCCACATCCCTATGATTTTATCCCCAACCAATCAGCTTTCCCCATTCCCTAGTCCCCTGCCATCAAACTATCCATGAAAAACTCTAATCTCAAGCCTCCAGGGAGGCTGATTTAAGTAATAATAAACTCTTGTCTTACTGTTTGGCTTACTTAGCATTAATTAAACTCTTTCTTGACTGCAATATCGTGGTCTCAGTGAATTGGTTTTGTCTGTGCAGTGGCAGGAAAAACCTGCTGGGAAATTACAAGAGTAGGTGGAGGAGTCGCTCGTCCCTGTCCTGTGGCCTTTTCCACATGTTGGCCTCAAGAAGGGAAAGAGCCCTGGGTGGGGACACAGTGGAAGCTCGTTCTCCTGGTGGCCTGGGGACACTGGCTCATGATGAAGCCTGGCAGGGGCTCTGATCCAGCTGATTTCTGTGCCTTTTTTTATTGCCCCGGAGGTGGGCCAGGCCACAGTGTGAGTGGGAAGGGAACAGAACAGCCAGTCTTGTTAGAGGGAGTTCCTGGGGAAGACCTAAGGGTGGAGGAAGCTGTGCAGGGCAGGGGCATCCTCACTGGTGTGAAAGGGGAGGAAGATAAGGGACAAGGGGTAGCAGAGATAGCCAGAGATTACATCACAGTGAGCTGTGGGGACTACAGTGACCTCAGAGACCCTAGGGACCAGGAGACCCCTGGTTATTCTAGAACCAGTGTAGGGACCAGCCCCACAGGGTCGGTGGGTCTCTCCCCATGTGCGGAGACGAGAGAGTGTAGAAATGAAGACACAAGATAAAGAGATAAAAGAACAGACAGCTGGGCCCCGGGGGGATCACTACCACCAATGCGCGGAGACTGGTAGTGGCCCCGAATGTCTGACTGCGCTGTTATTTATTGGATACAAAGCAAAAGGGGGAGGGTAAAGAGTGTGAGTCATCTCCAATGATAGGTAAGGTCACGTGGGTCATGTGTCCACTGGACAGGGGGCCCTTCCCTGCCTGGCAGATGAGGCAGAGAGAGAGAGGAGACAAAGAGAAAGACAGCTTATGCCATTATTTCTGCATATCAGAGACTTTTAGTACTTTCACTAATTTACTACTGCTATCTAGAAGGCAGAGCCAGGCGTACAGGATGGAACGTGAAGGCGGACTAGGAGCGTGACCACTGAAGCACAGCATCATAGGGAGACGGTTAGGCCTCCGGATAACTGCGAGTGGACCTGACTGGTGTCTGGCCCTCCACAAGAGGTGGAGGAGCAAAGTCTTCTCTAAACTCTCCCGGGGAAAGGGAGACTCCCTTTCCCGGTCTGCCAAGTAGCGGGTGTTTTCCCTTGACACTTACGCTACCGCTAGACCTCGGTCTGCCTGGCAACGGGCGTCTTCCCAGGCGCTAGTGTCACCGCTAGACCAAGGAGCCCTTCTGGTGGCCCTGTCTGGGCATAACAGAAGGCTCGCACTCTTGTCTTCTGGTCACTTCTCACTATGTCTCCCCAGCTCCTATCTCTGTATGGCCTGGCTTTTCCTAGGTTGTGATTATAGAGCGAGGATTATTATAATACTGGAATAAAGAGTAATTGCTACCAACTAATGATTAATGATATTCACATATAATCATATCTAAGATCTATATCTGGTATAACTTTTCTTGTTTTATATTTTATTATACTGGAACAGCTCGTGTCCTTGGTCTCTTGCCTCGGCGCCTGGGTGACCTGCCGCCCACAAACCAGGACCAGGGAGACCTGAAAACCTTCCCACAGGTGAGCTGTGCCAGAGTCCCATGAGATGCGGTTCTTGGGGTAGCTTTAGGGGCAGGGGTTAGAGGAATGCAACAAGGATCCCGGCCCCTGGAGGGACAGGAAACAGGTGTGGCCAGAACCTTATAGGATTCTGCATCCAAGATCCGGTCTCTGAAGAGTTTAAGAATTATTCATCATTCATTCCTTCCCTCCTTCGTCAGAGAACTACTGAGTGTGTGTCTCTCACTGGGCCCTGCGCTGGTGCAGGGTGTGAGTGGGGAGTGTTTTATCCTCCTGTGGGAGTGTCACTGACACATCAGGAAACACAGGATTTCAGGTCGAGTGAGGGCAGTGGTGCGCATCTGAGAGGGAGGCCCGGACATTCCTGGCACTGACTCTGTTGACACAAGGGATTTAGTTCTAGGTTAGGCTAATGTGTTAGGCTATTTTTTGTTACTATAAGGAAATGTCTGAGGCTGGGTAATTTATAAAGAAAAGAGATTTAATTGATGCAGGGATCTGCAGGCTATACAGGCATGGCACCAGCGTCTGCTCGGCTTCTGGTGAGACCCAGCAAGCTTACAATCATGGTGGAAGGAGAAGGGGGAGCAGGTGGTGTCATGTGGCAAAAGCAGGAGCAAGAGAGAGTGTGGAGGCGCCACACACTTTTAAAGAACCAGATCTCCTGTGCACTCAAAGTGAGAACTGACTTGTCACCAAGGGGATGGTGCTGAGCCACTCATGAGAAACAGCCCCCCATGATCCAATCGCCTCCCACCAGGCCTCACCTCCAATGTTGGGGATCACATTTCAACATGAGATTTGGAGAGGATAAACATCCAAACTATATCAGGAAAAATTGATTAATTTTCCATTTGCCCCTTACTCTCCAGACCAAAATCTCCCCCTCTGAGATGTGGATGCCCAAGAAAAAGGAAAGAGAACTTAGGACTGGTCTCAGGCCTGCAGATGTCTAATAATAACGCCAGCCGTCCCCTGGTGGAGAAGAGGCAGCTGTGGCTGCAGAGAGACCTCGTGTGACTCTAATCTGACACCTTTGACTTGTGTGACCCTAGTCGGTGACTGTCTCCCTGTTCCTCAATTTTTTTTTTCAATAAGTAGGATAAGTGCTATTTGGCTGTGACGTTGTTTGTGAATTAATCTCAAAATATTTACAATTACTTGACCTCAGCTGTGTATAGAGGAGCTGCCCAAAGGAACAGCATCTATGCTTATTTGCCTCCAAAAGAGAGGTCCCTGAGTCTGATCCCTTGTGGAAAAGGAGCTGCTGGGAGCATCTTCTCTCTTCTTTTTCCTCCCCCTGGGGATACTGAACTTCCCATGGAGTCATCTAAGTTCCCCTGGGCAGTGGGCTCATGCCCTAGTAATCTTGTCCATCTGTTCACTCCATGCTGAGTCTCAGGTAAAGGATGAGGCCCTGTCCTTGCCCAGGAGAGGTTCTTGGGGCTGGACCCTGGCTGGTGACCAACTCCAGGAGCCACGACCCTCAGACAGCTGGTAAATTCTTGCTCCCAGTCAGCCCTGCCCAGGAGGCCTCACTCAGCCCTGGCACAGGATCCCTAGGGTCCCCAGGGTCACCTGGAGTCAGGAATCTGGGACAGGGATTTGCACAGGGGCTCAGTTCTGGGAAGAGTTGAGCTTCTCTCTGAGAATCCTAGGGGGACCCCTCAGGCCAGGCCCTGATCCAGTTCTCCAGGGTCTTTCTTAGGGTCAGGTCCATGGGGAGACCATGGGGTTCTTTTCTGACACTGACCTTGCCCTGCTGAGTCCCCCCATCAGACTGTCCTTCCTCTGCAGCGAGTGTCTGCAGGGTCTGGATGCAGGAAAGGAATTCTGATCTGTGGAAGTTTGTCTCCCCCGTGTGTGTCCTGCACTAAATGTCCAAACCCTGATACAGAATGTAATGCAGAGAGGGCCACAGGCACAGCCCAGGCCTGACAATCCCATATGTGGGAAGTAGAACTGACCCCCAACACCCAGAGGTCATGTGGAAATACTCACGGTATACATGGAACTGTCCAGTTGCTTCTTCATTCACAAGATCTGACTTTATGACTTGTAGGGTGTAGAATCCTATGTCATTCTGGGTGACATTCTGGATCAGCAGGGATGCATTGGTGTATATTGTCTCTCGACCGCTGTATGCGGCCCCTGGGGTAGCTTGTTGAGTTCCTATTACATATCCTACAATTAGACTGTTGCCATCCACTCTTTCCCCTTTGTACCAGCTGTAGCCAAAAAGATGCTGGGGCAGATTGTGGACAAGTAGAAGCACCTCCTTCCCCTCTGCGACACTGAGCGGCATGGATTCAATAGTGAGCTTGGCAGTGGTGGGCGGGTTCCAGAAGTTTAGAAGTGAGGCTAGGAGGGAGAAAGCATCAGTCAATATTGGGACCCATGTATTGGGATGGAAAGATGGGGCCCTGGGTCCTGAGAGAGTCTCTTCACCCTTCAGCCTTGGAGAGTGTATGTGTGTCCCACTTGGTCAAGGTCAGTAACGTGACCTTTCTTTCTTCAGCACCTCTAACCTTGGCATTTTCCTGTGTGGAATCCCCTTCCCCAGGGGTCTGCATGGCTCCCTCCCCACTGCCCTCAGATCCTGCTCACATCAGGGCATCCTTGGGAGATCCCTCCCCTGACACCTCCTCTAGAGACCCTGGGTCTTCCCTTTCTGACCTTTTTCTGCTCTGTTCCCTCCAGGGCTCTTGTCAACACCTGAACTCACATTCTAGATCTCTTTGGGTGTCTATCTTCATCTCTGCAAGAGTGTAAGCTCTTTGAACACAGAGACTTGTCTGATATTTGTTGTACGCCAGTGCCTAAAATTTGATTGCAAATACTGGTGGATGAGTTAAGGAGTGGTGGTTATTTTGCAACTTGTGGTTGGTGGTCAAAGACAGGTTTTAGTGCCCTGGTTATATTTTTATTTAAAGTATCACCCTGATGTAATTCTTATTCTTATCATTTTCTAATTGTAGTGGCCAGTAATGATTAACTTGGAAAACATGATCAATGGATTTTCCTCCCTCTTATCAATCCCAGTTCAATGTGATTGTCTTGTTGTGACCCGTGTCCCTCTCTGATGTTCTCTCCCCTGAGGCTTCAGCAGAAGCCTTCTGTCCCCTATCAGAGCCCCATCCTCCCCAGGAGACCCCAGCCATTCTCTGTGATCCCTCCTCTTGCCCACTCCCAGGAATCCTCCACTCACCTGTGAGCAGAAGCCCCTGCCAGGGGATGCATTCTCTGTGGGGAGAGGCTGAGGGGGGCCCCATGGTCTCTGCTGCCTGCTCTTTCCTCCTCTGTGGAAAAGAGCCTGGGCTCCAGGAATGCTGTAGTCAGGGCTACTGTGACTTAGGCTCTGCTGTCCTTCCTCTTTCCATGCTGAGCCTCCTCCCAGGGCAGGAGCACTTTCCAGGGTCATGGGTGAAGCTCTGCCCAGGTCACCTCTCTGTCCCCTCCCCTCTCAGTTTTGCCTCATTTTCTCTTCTTCCTTTCTCCCTTCTGTCTACATTTGAGTTCCCCAGACCAGGCTCTGAGAAGCAAGGCTTACTTGGATCCCTGTTTCATAACAGGATGACCCTCCCTCCCCAGCGTGGACCTCTGCTCTGCCTTGGCCTTGGGTCTGTCAGCACCATGCAGAGTCCCTGGGGTCCCTGAACCTGGTGTTATTTTCTCTGTGACGGAGAAACTCCTTTGTGTGTGCAGGGTCTTCTTACTGTTCTCACATGTCTGGGAAGGTTGGATTTACTCCCAGCAAGGAGGTCACAGAGATGTCTGGGGTCCTACAAATGGATATATCTAGGGCTAAAGCCCGGATCTAAGATTCTGAGCTGTTCTTTCTGCAGCATTATGTGACTCTAATTTCCTGGGAGTAACTGAGAATGAGGCTTCACAGTGCTGTAGCTTTATGTCATCCAGACACCAGACATTTCTAGGCTGACTTTATGATTTTCTCTCTAGCTTGTACCACCTTTATTATTATATATTTCATCCTTTTTTCTAAATAAATTTAGTTTACAAAACATCCTGTCCTAGCAGGGATCGGTGGCTCAGATCTGTGATCCCAGCTACTCGAGAGGCTATGGTGGGAGGATGGCTTGAGGCCAGGAGTTGGAGACAAAACATCCTTGTCTTATGCAATATTGTCCATGAAATTACAGATTTGATGTGTGCTTAAATGTTTTCTCAATGTATATTAAAATAAACGCATAAGTATTAAAGTTTTTAAAAAGCTTACTTACGTTTCGCCTAAAATCAGTTTTTGGAAATGCTGACACAGTGGCATAAACATGAACTTTATGTCCAGATGTACCTGGGGACAGCTAATGGTTCTGTCACTTAACTATGTTGACTTGGACAAGTCACGTGGCTTCTATGATCCTTGATTCCCTGATTTGTAAAAGGAGGATGGTAAAATCCTCCTTGCAGAGTTGTTGGGAATAAGTGAGCTGCTGTGGGAGCCCCGTGCCCAGGCGGGTGTTGAGTACATGGTGGTTGTCATCGTGGTTATTGCTGTGGAATTCTGGTTTTCAAAGAGTGTCTACGCCGGAATATTGGGCTTGTGGCTTTCTGCTGATGTGGATGTGTGAAAAAGCTACTTTTGCTTGTTAGAACTTGTGGTGCATCTGTCATTATTTTCATTTCCCAGTTCCACTACCTATTTTCTCTGTGATGTTGGTCAAGTTGCCTAACTTTTCTGTGCCTCATTTACCTAATTTGTGAAATGTGGGTAACAGTACACTAGTGTGGGTGTGTTATTTCCCAGCTCTGACCACTAGAGGGCATAGAAGCACCGGCACCTACTAGCAATGGGCATATGGGCGCCCATGGTCTGTAAACATCATTCTCCCATGAAAGGAACCAGGGTTCCCTGGAGAAATGGCTGATTCCAGGGCTGGGGCAGGAAACCACAAGAGGAGACTGGAGCATCTTGCGGGGCCTGAGAGTAAGGCACAACTTGAAAAATGATGGGGATGTGTGGAAAGTATCACAAATGCCAACTAGAAGAAGCTCCCAATGGCCAATTTGGGGACAATATAGCAACATAATCAATAATAATAGTAATGTAGTCCAACCGATAAATACTTGAGAGTCCATGCTGATATATATATAAATAAGTGAATACATAAATAAATGAGAAAGAAGAACTAGCTCTTTCTTACAGCAGCGTTCCAGTTAATCAGTGTAGAAGCAATGATGGAAGCAGAAAATCACTGGCTAACACCACAGTAAGAATTGTTTATCGGCTACAATTATCTCTGGATTCTAGAAATTAATTGGTAAAAGTATGCTAAGAACAAACTGGCTATTTGCATATTTCCAAAGTACCTGTCCACAAGATACTTATTAATTACAATGAGATGAATAGTAACTTCACAGTAGAGAAACCTGGCAGACACCACCTGAACCAAGCGCTTAAAGTGAACCTCATCGGTAATGAGAGATATAGACATCCTGGGGCTCCGGCTGGGATGTCCTGAGAAAGACACATCGCTTCTGTGCTAATCTTGCCCAAAATGCATAACCTGAAACATCCCAAGGAAACATGAGACAAACCCAAATTGAGGGGCATTCTACAAAACAACTGACCAGACCTCCTCAAAAGCATCAAGGTCCTGAGAGAGGGAAAGAGTGGGAAACTCCCCCAGGTTGGAGGAGGCCTAGGAAATGTGACAGTGTTATTCAGTGTGGGATCCTGGGTTGGACTCTGGAGCAGAAAAAAGACATGACTGGGATGATTAGCAAAATTTTAATATTTCTTTTTTTTTTTTTTGGAGACAGAGTCTCACTCTGTCGCCAAGGCTGGAGTGCAGTGGCTCGATCTGGGCTCACTGCAACCCCCACCTCCTGAGTTCAAGAGATTCTCCTGCTTCAGCCTCCCGAGTAGCTGGGATTACAGGTACCTGCCACCACGCCTGGCTAATTTTTGTATTTTTAGTAGAGACGGGGTTTCATCGTGTTAGCCAGGATGGTCTCGATCTCCTCACCTCGTGATCTACCCTCCTTGGCCTCCCAAAGTACTGGGATTAAAGGCGTGAGCCACCGTGCCCGGCCCCATATTTCTATATTTTAAAATTTTTTGTATCAATGCTAGGTGACTGATTTTGATAATTGCTTTAGAGTTAAGGTTATTTGAAAAAGCTGGATGAAGGATATACTGGAACTCTGACTATTTTTACAATATTTTTGAAAGTCTGAAAAATGAAAAGTAAAAAAATGTAAAATGCATAAGATTTCTGTGAGGATAAAATGAGATAAATGTGAAGTGCTTAGAACAATGCCTGAGACACAGGAGTTCTTAAAACATGTCAGCTATTATTATAAGTAATTTTATGATTAACAAGTAATATTATAAGTAATGAGTCATCTATTATAAATCATATAAAATATGATTTCTTTCATAATATCCTCATATATTCTCATCCATTTCTTTTTTCCCTCTCCCCTGTGAAAAGCATATTGAGCATGTATGTCATGAAAAGATAAAATAAGATTCGATTTTATTTTGAGAATTATTTTGGGGGATGAGGAGGAGTGTCATTTCCTCCAGCTACGAAGTAGCTCAGACTCAGGCCCACATTGCAAAGTTTGCTTGGCTGGGAAACAAAGCTGGAGCCTGGCGGCCACCCACCGACGTGGTTTATGATGGCGCCTCCTGGCGGCGCAGAGAACTTTCCGCAGTTCCTCACCCTCGTGCTTTAGGAGCGACTTAGAAATTCTACACAGTCCATTTATTAAACCCTTTCTAGGTCACGCTGCGGATCATTTAATCTTCACAACAAGATTGTGAGAAGGGATATTTATTCATCTTAAGACGATAAAACAGGGTAAAAAAAAGTGAAGCGACTTGTCAGGGTTGCAAAGGGAGTGACAGAGCTAGGATTTGGATCTAGGTCCCCCTGACTTCCAGGCTGAGTGTAAATGTTCAGGTGAGTCTGAATGTGTGGCCAGGTGGAGAACTATTGGTATAGAGTAGTGGTTGTGGACTGAGGGTGGTTTCCGCCCAGGGGACATTTGGCAATGTTTGGAGACATTTTTGGTTTTCATACCGGGGTGGGGACGGGAGAGAGGGAAGGCTGCTATTGGCATCTAGTGGAAAGAGGCCACGTGGATGCTGCTGAGCGTCTCACAATGCACAGAACAGCCCCCACCGCAAGGAACTGTTCATCCCCAATGTCAATAGAACTGCTATGAAGCCCTTGTCTGACTTAAAAACCTGAGGATGCATTCTTGTGGTGAGCTAATGTTTGCCAAGTGCTGAGCTGGATAGCGTGAGGGATATGGAAACAGTGCACCAGTCTGTGCGGCCAAGGAGTTTGAAATTTAGAAGGGCAGGGGGTGGAGGCAGGAGAGGCATATGAAGGCCTTCAATATAAGGCAGCAGATGATAAGTGCAACAAGACAGTGTCCAGTAGGGCTAAGCAGGCTCTCAGGAGGCAGAGCACTCATCTACGTGTGGGAAGAACTGAGCACTTGTCTGGCCTGTGGAAATGTGGTTTTGAGCTGGGCATGTGAGCAAAGTTGAGCTGATGGGAAAACACAAGCCCCGTTCAGGGAAGGGCAAACAGGCTAGTTTGAGTGGAGAGAAATTTTTAGTGAGTAGAAGGGTTTGCACTGGAAAAAGAGGTTGGGGTTAGAGCTTTGAGTGCAGGCAGAGGACTCCAGCCTGGGTGTCTGTCATAGTAATGGAAAAGTCTTCCCTTTTGGAATAGTGGTCTAGGCCCTAGGGCTATGGGGCTCAGTGGCTTCCAGAGTGCTCTCTCTACAAAGGAGGGGATGTTGGAAATTGGGGTGGAGAAGGGTGAATGTCTCCTGATTTTAGGACCAAATTGATGCTGAGTATGTAAAAAAGCCATTTCACCTCAAAGTGGCCCTTGGAAAGATGATGCTCCCAAGTGGAAATATACATGGGGTGAGCTCTCTCTCTTTCTCTCTCTCTCTGAGATGGAGTCTTGCTCTGTTGCCCAGGCTGAAGTGCAGTGGCGCGCGATCTTGGCTCACTGCAACCTCTGCCTCATGGGTTCAAGCTGTTCTCCTGACTCAGCCTCCCATGTAGCTGGGACTACAGGCATATGCCACCATGCTCGGCTAATTTTTTTGTATTTTTAGTAGAGACGTGGTTTCACCATGTTAATCAGCTAGTCCTGAGTTGCTGACCTCAAATCATCTGCCCGCCTTGGCCTCCCAAAGTGCTGGGATTACAGGTGTGAGCCACTGCACCTGGTGGGGTGAGCTCTCTTCTAGGTGGTTTCTTTGCAAAGGTCTGGGCCACTTTGCTTGTAGTGAAAACTGGAGTAAACTCAAAACCTTTAACCAAAGGTCTGCTTCCCAAAGGGTGCGTTGTTGCAGCAGGGCTTGGTGTGACTAAAGCTTCAAAGTTGGACACTATCTGGTGATAGGATTTTCTTCAGTTTATTACATTACCATTAAATAGCATTAAAATGTGTGCATACTTGGTACACTCTAAAGAATACAAGTGGGCCAGGTGCGGTGGCTCACGCCTGTAATCCCAGCTGGGAGGCCGAGGCAGGTGGATCACAAAGTCAGGAGTTCGAGACCAGCCTGACCAACATGGCGAAACCCCGTCTCTACTAAAAATACAAAAATTAGCTGGGCATGGTGGTGTGCACCTGTAATCCCAGCTACTCAGGAGGCTGAGGCAGGAGAATCGCTTGAACCCGGGAGGCGGAGGTTGTAGTGAGCCAAGATTGCACCACTGTACTCCAGCCTGGGAGACAGAGTGAGACTCCGTCTCAAAAAAAAAAAAAAAAAAAGAATACAAGCAAAGTTTGAGATCTGCCTGAGCAACACAGTGAGACCCCGTCTCTACAGAAAAAAAAAATTAGCCAGGCATGTGGGGTACACTTCTATTTATATATATTTGCGAGACCAAGGCAGGAAGACTGCTTGAGCTCAGGAGTTTGAGGCTGCAGTGAGCTATGATGGCACCACTGTACCCCTGCGTGGGTGATAGACTGAGATCCTGTCTTTACAAAAAGGGAATGAAAGCAAAAATTTCCTTAACTTTAATGAACGTGCAGTTGCCTTTAACATCCTCCCACAACTGCCACCAAGTTTGGCCCTGGGGAAGTGCATTACTTTTCTGGGAAAATCTTGGGGGAGAAGGCAAGGAAGCAAATCTTTCTTGAACCAGTGTGTATATATATATATATTTGCCGGCTGTAGTTGCAGACACTGTCACATACAATATCTCATTTAACCCTCGCGACCATGGAAGTAAGTACAGTTTGCTTCTTTTAGTAAATGAGGAAACTGGCACTGAGAAAGGCTCACTTGCTCCCAATTTCTGTGGCTGAAAGGGCTACATTTTGATGCACGTGTGGCCTGTTTTGCCACATTTTCTCCCCCCAGTTTTCCCTTCACAGACAGTCTTATTTACCTGGATTCAGGCTGCTAGAGACCATGGACATCAGCGTTAGTGGCAGCAACAGAAGGAGGGAAGAGATTAGAATTTATTTATCTATTTTTATTTTATTTTATTTTTTTGAGATGGAGACTCACTCTGTCACCCAGGCTGGAGCGCAGTGGCGTGATCTCGGCTCACTGCAACCTCCGCCTCCTGGGTTCAAGTGATTCTCCTGCCTCAGCCTCCTGAGTAGCTGGGATTACAGGTGCACGCCACCACGCCCGGCTAATGTTTGTATTTTTAGTAGAGATGGGATTTCACCACTTTGGTCAGGCTGGTGTCGAACTCCTGACCTCATAATCTGCCCACCTCAGCCTCCCAAAGTGCTGGGATTACAGGCGTGAACCACCACACCTGGCTGAGATTAGAACTTTAATTGTGACTGTTGGTGCAGCTGTACGTCGCTTGGAGATTGTATGGAAGGTTCCCAGTCGGAGGCTCCTGATCTCTGGGGATGGCTGAGGCCAGTGTACATGACCTGCCAGTCTGTGCTTTAGTCCCACAACACTGTTTTCATGTGAGGGCAAAAGCAGTGAACTGATGCTGTCTTGCTGTTAGGTAACGGATTAGACTTATACCTTTCTTTCTTTCTTTCTTTCTTTCTTTCTTTCTTTCTTTCTTTCTTTCTTTCTTTCTTTTCTTTCTTTCTTTCTTTCTTTCTTTCTTTCTTCTTTCTTTCTTTTTCTTTTCCTTCCTTCCTTCCTTCCTTCCTTCCTTTCTTCCTTCCTTCCTTCTTTCTTTCTCTCTCTCTCTTTCTTTCTTTCTCTTTTTTTTTTCAAGACAGAGTCTTGCTCTGTTGCCTAAGCTGGAGTGCCATGGTGCCATCTCAGCTCACTGCAACCTCCGCCTCCTGGGTTCAAGCAATTCTCCTGCCTCAGCCTCCCGAGTAGCTGAGATTACAGGCACACGCCCCCACACCTGGCTAATTTTTGTATTTTTAGTAGACACGGAGTTTCACCACATTGGCCAGGCTGCTCTTGAACTCCTGACCTCGTGATCCGCCCACCTCGGCCTCCCAAAGTGCTGGGTACAGGCATGAGCCACTGCGCCCAGTCCCACCTTATACCTTTCAATGACCCTTTCTAGCTGAGTATTTGGCAGGAAAGTGGATGCTATGTATTGGTAGAAGAGATGTTGAAAAGGTCTGCTTCCCCTCTGTGCTCCTGCTCCCATCCTTGGCAAAATATTGGCAATAGTAGCGTTGTTGCCTGGAAAGTTGCCTTGTTCCGGCTCTGTTCGCAATTCCTTTCCATTGTCTGGCTTAGTTGTTCTGGTCTAAAGGGGAGGGAACTGGGTTGGGGGAAGAGACCCCCCAGAGCTGCAGGTCCCAGAGGGTTTGAGAAACAGGAGCCACAGGAGGGAAGGAGCCCTGAAGTGTGTTTGCCCAGCTGCTGGGGCGCCTGGCTCCAGCCCTTGTTTGGAAATGGCCCCGGGCAAAAGAAGAAAGGTAATAATACTTGAAGTAAACATTAGGGGCATAGAATATCAGCACTCACTAAACTTGACATTTATTTGAGACTTTAGGCAATGTGCTCAAAGGGAGAGGAGAGGCTGGGCTTGAATGCTGGGTGATATTCATGGGGGCTGAAGGGAAGGCCAACAAGGGAGCCCTCCCTGGAAGCCTCCAGGCAGGAGTGAGAGCAGGGGGTGTGACTTTGTTTCCCTGAGAAAAGGGAAGAGGCAAGGCATGAGTCAAAGCCCTTTGATTTTTGTTTGACTGTTCTTCTCTGTCTGCATTTTCAACTTATCCCAGCCTGTTGACTGACACACGAGTTGATTGTGGACTTTGCTACTGCAGGGTTTATAAAGCACTGCAGGGACCAGGGACTGTGCTAGGCAGTGGAGTCTCTGTCTAAGTTGAAGGCTTGAGCAGAGTCTAAGCTTGTTCTGATGCAAATTACTGATGTGGCTTTTTTTCTGGAAAATTCTAAAAATGGTCTCTGCCTTCAGGAAGCTCAAGTCTAACCAGGGAGATGACATCCACTTCATAAAACCTAGAGATATGAGTGCAGTCATCTCTCAAAGTGGCAGGAGTGGAGGGGGACTGAGAGGGACTTGGTTGGGTGGAACTTGAGCTGGAGGTGGAGGAGGATTTGGGTTGGTGGAGGGCAGAGAGGAGGGCCGTGCAGAGCAGGGGCGTGTTGTAGGAGAGGTGCTCCCTGGAGCTCATTGGATGGGGATCTTAGAGGACAGGAGCTTTTATGTTCATTTTTGTATTGCCTGAACTCACACAGGGCCTGGCACTTTGGGAGTATTCTATAAATGACTGCTGAATGGAATGATGGTTTGTAACCTATTAACTTGTCCTGATGTGTTAGAAAGTGGGCAAAAGTGAAGCCCATTAGCAGAAAGAAAATCTTACTGAAAAATGGTCCCATGTATGCATAGAGCCTGGTGCGGCCACTTTACTTACTTATGCTGCTGAGTTCTGCATCAGTCCACACCGAGGCCACCGCAGGGGCCGGGAGCTCCTCCTCAGACCTTCCTCCAGGTGCCTCAGTCTCTTTATCCCTCTGTTCTCCCAGGTCCCGCTACCTGTCAGTTCACTCCATCTGGTTTCCCCTCCATGCACTTGGGGTGGGTGTCGCATCCTGTGTCTCATCGGGGGGTCTTCAGGTCCCTCAGGTCCATTGATTAAAACACCCCCAAGACAAATGGACTTTCCTCTTGTTAACATGATAACTTCTTACAATGCATCTCGAGAACATTATCTGTGTCAAGAGTCTGTCTGATGCACAGAGGCCCTCCCTCCCCCAGGAAGGAGGTCAGGGGAAGTTAGGAGAAAACACCACCCTGCCTGGGTTACTTATTTCCCTATTCTACAGTGTATTTGGTAGACGTTCAAAAATATTTGTTGACTTTGTCCATGATCCACATGGCTCTCATATAGTCATTTATTCACACATACATTCAGTGAGACTTTGAGCCCCTAGTGTGTGCCTGGTATTCGCTAGATGGTGGATGCTGAGATCAGGTGTGCTGCTGTCTCTGAGAAGTTCTCACTATACAGTGGCACCTAGGGTGACCGAATCCACCTGCCCCACTTTACAGACATGGAAATTAAAGTGCAGGGAAGTTATAAGATTAGTTCAATGTCACAAAGTCACTAGCCTCAAAGTTACGGGAATAAATCAAGTTTCCTGACTTTGTGGATTTTCTGTTAGTGTGCAGCCACCTGGCTGCTGCAGGTGCAGACATGTGAGCTCCGATAGGAGAGAGGACGCTCAGAGTGAAATGGGAGCCCTGAGCACCCTGGATTAGCCAGGAGGACATGTCGGGTTCAGCTGTGACCACACAAAGGACCATCGGGGACATTTGCATTCTCTTTTTCACTTTGAGCTTGAAATGACGAAATCTCAGCTCAGAAATGATCCCATGTATGCGTGGAACCTGGTGAGAAAACCAAGAGTGGGAGATTTTTCACAAGGCATTGGTGAGATGGGTCAAAGAAACCTGTGCTGATGTCTGTCACGGTGTTTCTCACTGAATGGTAATGGTCTGGCTTTGAGTGGGTTCCTTCCATAACCTGGAGCTCTGTGAGGCAGGGACCGGGTGTGATTCACCTTTGTCTCTCCAGTGACAGTACACAGCAGGCTCCGACAAATATTTCTTACAAAATAAAACTGAATAAAAAGTAGACACCTGCACAGGTGTAGGATGACTGAGCAGCAGCAGAAGCAGGAAAAGTCAGCGTCCCCAGATCAGCTGATACGGGGTTCAGCTTCTACATAGGGGTGAGGTGCCAGGACGGTGACGGGGGTCCTGTGGCTCTGCTGCTCTGGGGAACACCCCTAGGATTTGGAGCATCTGCTATGGTTGCTGCACTTCACTCGTCCGTGGGAAAGGGACCGGAAGGTGTGGGACTTCACGTGACCCAACGTGGGAAACCACCAAGGGAATTTGGGATGGGTGGCACATGTTTTTTTTTTTATTTTACCCAATATTTGAAGGTGGGTTGTACAAAGAAGTATTAGACTTATTTCAGCCTATGGAGGACACAGGACAAGGATTGGTGAGTGCGAATCACACACATTTTGGCTCAGGATGTGAAAGAACTGTCACAGTAAAGTAAGTTTCCTTGGGGAATTACCAGTTTACTGGCGGAATTCAGGCTGAGGCTGATGTTGAAAATACCCATTACAGTGGCCTGGCGCGGTGGCTCACGCCTGTAATCCCAGCATTTTGGAAGGCTGA